>NC_000004.12:183163805-183466835 GCF_000001405.40 Homo sapiens | reverse complement strand
AGGCTCCTTGCTACTTACACAAATTTCTGCAGCTGCACTGAATTTCTCCCGAGAAAATTTTTTTTTTTCCTATTGCATAGTCAGGCTGCAAATTTTCTGAACTTTTATGCTCTGCTTCCCTTACAAAACTGAATACCTTTAGCAGTACCCAAGTCACCTCTTGAATACTTTGCTGCTTGGAAATTTCTTCCAGATACCCTAAATCATCTTTCTCAAGTTCAAAGTTCCACAAATCTCTAGGGCAGGGGCAAAATGCTGTCAGTCTCTTTGCTAAAACATAACAAGAGTCACCTTTGCTCCAGTTCCCAACAAGTTCCTTATCTCCATCTGACACCACCTCAGCCTGGATCTTATTGTCTATATCGCTATCAGCATTTTGGAAAAAGCCATTCAACAAGTCTCTAGGAGGTTCCAAACTTTCCCACATTTTCCTGTCTTCTTGTGAGCCCTCCAACCTGTTCCAACCTCTGCTTGTTACCCAGTTCCAAAGTCGCTTCCACATTTTCAGGTATCTTTTCAGCAACACCCCACTCTAATGGTACCAATTTACTGTATTAGTCTGTTTTCATACTGCTGATAAAGACATATCTGAGACTGGGAAGAAAAAGAGGTTTAATTGGACTTACAGTTCCATGTGGGCTGGGGAGGCCTCAGAATCATGGGGGGAGGTGAAATTCACTTCTTACATGGCAGCACCAAGAGAAAATGAGGAAGAAGCAAAAGCGGAAACCCCTGATAAACCCATCAGATCTTGTGAGACTTATTCACTATCACAAAAATAGCAAGGGAAAGACTGGCCTGCATGATTCAATCACCCCCCCTCCGCCGGGTCCCTCTCACAACATGTGGGAATTCCGGGAGATACAATTCACATTAAGATCTCGGTAGGGACACAACCAAAACATATCAGCATAGTAATTGGTATTTTCCTTTAATGGCTTCTGAATTTTGTGTCAAAGTTAGAAAGCACCAGCCCCCACCCCACACCATACTTCAAGATTAATTTGCTCATGTTAGTACTTTCATAGTTTTACACTTTATATTTAAGTCTTTGAATTTATCTTGGTGTAAGTTGGAGAGCAGAGATGGATCTTAATTTCATTTCCAATTTGCTACTTAATTTAGTTTTTGATTAAGCTATCTTTCTCCCACTAGTTCAAAATGCTGCTTTTATCATATTTTATATTCCCTAGAAAATTTGACTGATTTCTGAACTTTCTATTTTCTCCCATTTATCTCCTATCTTGTTATGCTCCACTACTATACAATTTTAACTTTTATGACTCCAAGGGTTAAAATATGTTTTTATTTATAGGGTTAAAATATGTTTTAATATCAGGTAGGGATAATACCCCTTCATTATTCTTTTTTTTTCTGAGTTTTCCTGACTACTTATATTTTTTTTCCTACAAACTTTTGAATCAGCTTATCTAGTATACAAATCCTCTTGGTATTTTTCTTGGGATCATGTTAAAATATAGATAAACAAACATAACTATTACACTTATGAAGTTAATTTTTGTATCTAAGAGCTTTATGTGTTTTCCTGTTTGTTGAAAAATTCCTTCTTGTCCCTTAGTATTTCAATGTTTTCTGCATGCAGATTTTAAATGCTTCTTTATCACTAAATAGTTTATTTTCTGTTGCTATTGTAAATAAGGTCTTCTCTATTATGTCTTCTGGTTGGTTATTTTTATATTCTAAAGCACCAGATTTGTATTGGTATTTGGCATTAATTTCATACCCAGGTACTTGACTGAATTCACTTATTTATTTAGATTTTTAAATTGATTATGGGTGGAAATTCTAGTATACAATTATATCTAAATAACAATGATTTTACCTTCTTTCCAATGTTTAAACATATATTTCTCTCATTGAATTTTTTTTTTTTTAAGACAGAATTTCGCTCTTGTCGCACAGCTGGAGTGCAATGGCAGGCTGGAGTGCAATGGCACCGTCTCAGCTCACTGCAACCTCCACCTCCCAGATTCAAGCAATTCTCCTGCCTCAGCCTCCCAAATAGCTGGGATTATAGGCATCCACCACCATGCCTGGGTAATTTTTGTATTTTAGTAGAGACGGGGTTTCACCATGTTGACCAGGCTGGTTTTCTCTCATTTAATTATATTGCTTTGTAGCAGGATGGGCTGCAGGCAAAACTCCTCAGACACCGGCTGAAAGAGGGAAGAGGCTTTATTTAGCTGGGAACCTTGGCAGACTTGCATCTCAAGAACCAAGCTCCCTGAAGAAAAAATTCCTGGCCTTTTTGAGAGGTGAAGCGAGCTGGACTTCCTGGGTTGAGTGGGGACTTGCAGAACTTTTCTGTCTAGCTAGAGGATTGCAAACGCACCAGTCAGCACTCTGTGTCTAGCTAAAGGATTGTAAACACACCAATCAGCACTGTGTAAAAATGCACCAGTCAGCGCTCTGTGTCTAGCTAAAGGACTGTAGACGCACCAATCAGCACTCTGTAAAAATGCACCAATCAGCACTCTGTGTCTAGCTAAAGGATTGTAAACGCACCAATCAGCACTCTATAAAAGCGCACCAATCAGCGCACTGTGTCTAGCTAAAGGATTGTAAACGCACCAATCAGCATTCTGTGTCTAGCTAAAGGATTGTAAACGCACCAATCAGCACTCTGTAAAAATGCACCAATCAGCACTTGGCATCTAGCTAAAGGATTGTAAGTGCACCAATCAACACTCCGCAAAAACACACCAATCATCACTCTGTGTCTAACTAAGGGATTAAATGCACCAATCAGAACTCTGTAAAAATGCACCAGTCAGCACTCTGTAAAATGGACCAATCAGCACTCTGTAAAATGGACCAATCAGCAGGACATGGGTGGGGACAAATAAGGGAATAAAAGCTGGCCACCCCCCAGCCAGCAGCGGCAACCTGCTCAGGTCCCTTTCCACTCTGTGGAAGCTTTGTTCTTTCGCTTTTCACAGTAAATCTTGCTGCTGCTGACTCTTTGGGTCCACACCACCTTTAAAAGTTGTAACACTCGCTGTGAAGGTCCGCAGCTTCATTCTCGAAGTCAGTGAGACCAAGAATCCACCAGAGGGAACCAAGTCTGGACACACTTTTAAGGGCTTACAACTCTATGGGGGTCTACGTGAAAGATATCCAGCAAGTGATCTATAGGTAATACACGTAGTTAGAGTGGGGGGTTAATCTTTAACCTCAGGCCTGGTCAGTGGCACCGGTTGGTCTTGCCACTGACTTCATTTCTGTTGTTTTTCAGCTTTTACTTCCTCCTTCTCTTCAGGGACAGGAAACAGTAAGAGAAATGGCGTATCTCCTCAGCTTAAGATAGTACTTGCCAGGCAGGGTGGCTCACACCTGTAATCCCAGCACTTTGGGAGGCTGAGGTGGGTGGATCATGAGGACAGGAGTTCAAGACCATCCCGACCAACATGGTGAAAACCCCATCTCTACTAAAAATACAAACATTAGGTGGGCGTGGTGGCACGCGCATGTAATCCCAGCTACTCAGGAGGCTGAGGCAGGAGAATTGCTTGAACCTGGGAGGCGAAGGTTGTAGTGAGCCGAGATCGCGGCATTGCACTCCAGCCTGGGCAACAGAACAAGACTCCATCCCCCCACCAAAAAAAAAGTGCTTATCTTGTCCATAACTTAGCAGGAGTGTTTCAATATTACATCCACGCTGTTTCCATATTAAACAGATTCTTTGTGGTTGAGATAAATATATTTCATTATGCTAACAACGTATTTGTATACTCCTGTTAAGAACTTACATCAAGTATGAATATGGAATTTTTCCAATGTCTTTGATAGCTTTTTTAGACATGAGTAGTTATGTGCTGCATGACGATGTTTTGGTAACAATGGACCATGTATACCGTGGTGGTCCCATAAGATTATAATGGAGCTGAAAAACTCCTATCACCTAGTGCTATCATAGCCATCATAACACAATGCATTACTCACGTGTTTGTGAAGATGTTGGTGTAAAGAAACCTACAGAACTGCCGGTCATCTAAAAGTATAGCACATACAATCATGCACAGCACATAATGAAAGGCTTGATAATAAAGGGATATGTTATTGGCTTATGTATTTACTATCCTATATTTTTCATTGTTATTTTTGAGTGTACTCCTGCTTTGCGGTGTCTCACGCCTGTAATTCTATCACTTGGGGAGGCCAAAGCCGGCGGATCACTTGAGGTCAGAAGTTTGAGCCTGACCTGGCCAACATGGTGAAACTCCGTCTCTATTTAAAATACAAAAATTAGCCAGGTATAGTGGCGAATGCCTGTAGTCCCAGCTACTTGGGAGGCTGTGGCAGGAGAATCGCTTGAACCCAGGAGGTGGAGGTTGCAGTGAGCTGAGATCACACCATTGCACTCCAGCCTGGGCAACAGAGCAAGACTGCATCACAAAAAAAAGGAAAGAAAGCTGTAGAATAGCCTCAGGCAGGACCTTTAGGAGTTATTCCAGAAGAAGGCATGTTATTACAGGAGATGACAAGCTGTAGGAGTGGAAGGCAGTGATACCGATCATCCTGGCCCTGTGTAGGCCTAGGCTAATGTGTGTGTTTGTCTTAGTTTTTAGCAAAAAATGTTTTAAAAGTAAAAACATAAAAAATAAAAATTTTAAAAAACATGAAAAAGCTTATAAATATGTTTGCACAGCTATGCAATGTTTTCATGTTTTAAGCTTTTATTACAAAAAAGTTTAAAAAATTAAACTCGATAAAGTAAGTTACAGTAGCCAAAGGTTAATTTATTATTGAAGAAAGAAAAATTATTGTTTATACATTTAGCATAGCCTGCGTGTACAGTGTTTATAAAGTCTATACCCATGCCCAGTAATGTCCTGGGCCCTCACACTCACTCCCCACTCACTCGCTCACTCACCCAGAGCCACTTCCAGTCCTGCAAGCTCCATCCATGGTGAGTGCTCTGTGAAGGCGTTCGTTCTTTATCTTTTGTACCATATTTTTACTGTACCTTTTCTATGTTTAGCTATATTTAGATATACAAATACTTAGCATTGTATTACAGTTGCTTACAGTATTGAGCACAGTCACATGTTGCACAGGTTTGTAGTCTAGGAGCAGTAGGCCATACCTATAGGCCAGACCATAGATCCTAGGTGTGTAGAAGGCTCTACCATCTAGGTTTGCGTAGGTACATGCTATGATGTTTGCACAATGACAAAATTGCCTGACACATTTCTCAGAGCATATCTCCATCATTAAGTGATACATATCTGTATAGAATTTTTCTTCTTATACCTATTAATAATAACAATATATTTCTGTAGAAATATACTTGGTTCATTAACTAAACACTGGAAATGTTACCTCTTTTTATATGCTCTGAAAAAATTAAAATAAGATATGGGAGTTGTCTTTTCTTTAAAGGTTTTACAGAATTCCTCTGGAACTGCTGGAATTTGAGGGGTCTTTTTTTTGACAATTTCCTATTTATTTTATGGTAATTGATCTGTTTAAATTTTTTTCTCTTCTAAATCGATTGTGGGCCCGGCATGGTGGCTCACGCCTGTAATCCCAGCACTTTGGGAGGCTGAGGCAGGTGGATCACTTGAGGTCAGGAGTTCGAGACCAGCCTGGACAACATGGTGAAACCCTATCTCTGCTAAAAATACAAAAATCAGCCAGGTGTGGTGGCGCACACCTATAATCCCAACTACTTGGGTGGCTGAGCCAGGAGACTCACATGAACCCAGAAGGCGGAGGTTGCAGTGAGCTGAGATGGTGCCACTGCACTCAATCCTGGGCGACAGAAGGAGACTCTGTCTCAAAAAAAAAAAAAATCGATTATGGTAAATGACACTTTTCTAGAAAACAATTTTATTCATTTTTATATGAGATTTCCACTATATTTGTGGTTACTTTCCTCTTATCAGTAATTTTTTTTTTTTGGAGACAGAGTCTCGCTCTGTCTCTCAGGTTGGAGTGCGGTGGCTGATCTCAGCTCACTGCAACCTCTGCCTCCCAGGTTCAAGAGATTCTCCTGCCTCAGCTTCCTGAGTAGCTGGGACTACAGGCATGTACCACCACGCCCGGCTAATTTTTTTGTATTTTTAGTGGAAACGGGGTTGCACCATGTTAGACAGGCTGGTCTCGAACTCCTGACTTCAGGTGATCTGCCCACCTGGGCCTCCCAAAGTGCTGGGATTACAGGCGTGGACCACCACACCCGGCCTCAATAAATTCTTATTTGCGTACTTGTTTTTCTCCTTCATTAGGTTAAGCAATGGCTTGTCCATTTTATTGTTTTTGTTTTGTTTTGTTTTGTTTTGAGACAAGGTCTCGCTCTGTCACCCAGGCTGGAGTACAGTGGAGCAATCACAGCTCACTGCAGCCTCAACTTCCCAGGCTCAAGTAATTCTCCTGCCTCAGCCTCTTGAGTAGCTGGGACTACAGGTATGTGCCACCATACCCAGCTAATTTCTTAAAATATATTTTGTAGAGACAGGATCTCACCATGTTGCCCAAGCTGGTCTTGAACTCCTGGGCTCAGGCAATCCTCCTGCCTCAGCCTCGCAAAGTGCTGGGATTACAGGCATTAGACACTGCACCTCGCCTATATTATTGTTTAAAAAAAGATTTCGAATTTAGTTTCCAGTTCTGTGGATTTAAAAAATTGTTCTATTTCATCAACTTATGATTTTATCATTATTCATTTCTTTATTCTGCTTTCCTTACATTTATTTTTTATTCTTCTAATTTGTATTTTCCTTCTTATTTACTTTGACTCTGTAGCTAAGCTTCATATCCCATACATACAAATATGGAATGTTTTCTATTATTTTTATTTGCTATTTTGCAGTTTCTACTTTGATTTCATCTTGAATTCCAGAGCTGTTAAGAAAGTATTTTAAAGTTTCCAGATGGCAGATAGTTTTTGTTTTGGGTGATGTTATTACATAACTCCTAATTTCGTTGCATTGTGATTGAGATTGTTGTCTGTACGTTTTCATTTTTGTGAATATTCCATGAATACTTGTAAAAACAGACCGTTGCCTTTTTTCAGCAATCATCATTTGATATATATTTGGATATATAACTGAGATCTGTTTCATTAACTGTGTTATCTAGCTCCTCTGTAGCCTTGATTTTTGTCCAGTTGATCTGTCACGGACCTTGAGAGGCGATTGAAAGTCATCAGTGCACTGAGGTCTGTTTTTCTGGTCTCTCCTATAATTTTTCCTTTTGAATATTGAATGTTAACTCTCTGCTATTTGGTGCTTAACTGTTCATAACTATTAGATGTATATTGTGAATTATGTCGTCTGCCATTATGAAGCGCTCTTCTTTGTTTTGTTTCTTACTTTTGAACCTGAACTCAACCTTGTCTAACAGTAAGAGCTCAACTCCTGCTTTGTTTTTGGATAGTTTGTCTATTTTTGGTTGATATTTTAATACTACACATTAGGTGCAAGGCAATGTTGTAAGCACTCTACACATTACCTCATTTAATATTTTTTACTTTTAATGATATGTTTTTGCTTATCCTTTTATTTTCAAACTTTTTGCGTATTTTTAATTGTGTCCCCTGAATGCAGCATAAAGTTGTATTTTGCTTTATGATTCAATCTGAAAATTGTTTTCTTTATATAGGTAAGTTTATTCATTTATACTTTTGATGAGCCACATACATTTGGTGTTGATTCTGTCCTATTTATTTTGTGCTTTCTCTTTTTACATCTTTTAAAAGATGTCACTGTATGACCTATTTTCTGTGTTGTGTGTATATGTTTTTCTTTTGAAAGGTAGGAAGATTTGGGTTTTTCCTCCCAGAGTTTACCCTTCTAAATGTGACTTTATATTGTGCCCTTAATCTCTCACTTCTTTAGAGAGTATCTATTTATTTATTCTTGCATTGTGATAAAGGAATACCTGAGGCTGGGTTATTTATAAAGAAAAGAGCTTTAAGGCCAGGTGTAGTGGCTCACGCCTGTAATCCCAGCACTTTAGGAGGCCGAGGCGAGCGGATCATCTGAGGTCAGGAGCTCGAGACCAGCCTGGCCAACACGATGAAACCCTGTCTCTGCTAAAAATACAAAAATTAGCCAGGCGTGGTGGCAGGCGCCTCTAATCCCAGCTACTCGGGAGGCTGAGGCAGAATTGCTTGAACCTGGGAGACGGAGGTTGCAGTGAGCCAAGATTGTGCCACTGCACTCCAGCCTGGGTGACACAGCGAAACTCCATCTCAAAAAAAAAAAAAAAAAAGGAAAAGAAAAGAGGTTTAATTGGCTCACGGCTCTGCAGGCTGCACAGGAAGCATGGTGCCAGCATCTGCTTCTGGGGAGGCCTCAGGAGGCTTCCTATCATGGCAGAAGGCAAAGGGGAGTCAGTGTGTCACATGGTGAGACTGGGGACGAGAGAGAGAGAGGACAGTGCCACACTTTTAAACAACCAGATCTCATGTGAACTCAGGCCCCACCTCCAGCACTGGGGATCATATTTCAACATGACATTTGCAGGGACCAAACATCCAAACCATATCAATACTATTCCCAAATTTAGTTTATTATCTTTCTCATTATTTACCTTTCAGCGTGTTTTTTAAAAACCTAAAACCCTCTATTATTTGACTCGCCAGCATTGAATGGTAAACGCTGACCTCATCTATTAAAGATGAGTAAATTTGCACACTTATTTCTACCTACCTTCTTTCTCTTTTCTGCTCCAACTTTTATTAATTATATCATTTCTACATTATCAGAAAATATAAAATTTACTTTCTTTTCTGTCACTTTAATCCCTGAGTTTGCTTTCATCTTGGTTATACTGTTAAATAAAGTTAGCCGGGCGCAGTGGCTCACACCTGTAATCCCAGCAGTTTGGGAGGCCGAGGCGGGTGGATCCCAAGGTCAGGAGATCGAGACCATCCTGGCTAACATGGTGAAACCCTGTCTCTACTAAAAATACAAAAAATTAGCCGGGCGTGGTGCGGGCGCCTGTAGTCCCAGCTACTTGGGAGGCTGAGACAGGAGAATGGCGTGAACCTGGGAGGCGGAGGTTGCAGTGAGCTGAGATCGCGCCACTGCACTCCAGCCTGGGCGACAGGGCAAGACTCTGTCTCAAAAAAAAAAAAAAAATAGAGTCAGTGATTGCTTCCCATCCCTTTGTGCTAACTTTCCCGGTCAGCTTGCTGGTTAAAACTTCCTTACTTATGCAGAGTTCATGGGACAATATCCTTGAGTTCTTGGGTATTAAAAATTGTGTCTGTATTGGAATCATCATTTGCCTGGATAAAATTCTTCTTCACAATTTTTTCTTAGTGTCTTCTGGTGCTTCGTGTTGCTATGAAGTATGAATTTACCCTGAGTTTTTTCTTATACATTACTTGAACTTTTTGCCTGGACACCCAAAGGATCCCTTCTAAAATCTATGAAGTCCAATAATTTTATTAAGATACATGTAAATATTTAGAGCTGGGCATGGTGCATGCATCTGTAGTCCCAGTTTTTCAGGACGCTGAGGCAGGAGGATCTCTTGAGCCTGGGATTTCAAGACCAGAGTGGGCAATATAGCAAGACCCCATCTCAAAAATATATATATATATGAATATTTAGTATTATAGGCCAGTTTTCCCTGAAATATGGTGTGCTCTTTCAGCATGTTGATCCTATTTTATTTTATAAAAATGTTTGAAGTATTATTGTTTGTCCTGTTCAACAATTCAACTTTATTTTTTGAGACTCCAATTATGCTCTTCACCTCCTTTGTCTATTTTCTCTGTCATTTCGCTCAAATTTTAAAATCCCAAATTGATACTTCCTTTGATCCACTTTTATGCTTTCGACTCTGCTCCTGTGTCGTCAGCAGCATCTTCTCTGCCTGTGCTTCTTCCGATCTCGTTTTCAATTCTATGCTGACTTTACTGCTTCCTCTCAGTTCCTGAGTCCCTCCAGCCTATGTTTTATGTATTCCTGGTGCTCATTCTTTCTTCCCTGAGCTACCACACTTCTGCTTTGAGCTCTTGCTTCATAGAACTGATTGCTGTTTTAAGTTGCTGCTGCTGTTTTTAATTCATGGAGTAATGTTTGGTCCCAATTTTCAGACTGTCATTGTTGGCTCATAATGTGGCCCATAGGGTCTACGAATGTGAGACTGTCCGCTGTATACCTCAGGGCTCCGCAGACTCTCGGGTTTCTGGGATTTTTTGATAGATTAAGTATTTTGGAGGACATGGGTGAAAATGCCTGATGTTAGGACAGGCACCCTGTGCTTAGGACGTGCTAGCATGCTTTGAGCCTCATTAACACTCAAGAGTGGCCAGTTTTCTCCCTGCTAAGTATTCCAGCCAGTGCCTGAAAACAGTGTTGCTAGAATACTAACAATTTCTCCTGAAGAGTGGAAGAAAACCAAAGAGCTACACCGCTACCGGACTCTCCTGAGATAGACTTTGTCTAAAAGGGCGTAATGCTGTGAGTCTGGCTCTTTCATCTCTTGAGGAGGCAGCAATTTTCATTTTCATCAGCGTGACACCCATTGGCTCTAAGTGATATCACAAGTAATTTTTTGCTAATGATAGAATAAGGAAGATTGAGTGATCTATTCTTTTTACAGATTATATCAGATTTAAAGGCACGTACTGTATTTGTGATGACCATCTGTCTAACTGTTGGAAGGAACAAAACATTACAGATTATCTTAGTGGAAACAGCTTTCCCAGGAAGGTAGTGATAACCAAAAAATTAGGGTAGGAAACTAAGAGAGACCAAGTCCACTGTAAGATAAGATTGTTGGCATCGTTCAATGGCTCTTACCAGTGGTTTTAATCGATAGACATCTGGTGAAAAAGCTGCCCATATTGGCAGCATTGGCAGCAAAGAGTTGCTTTGGCTGGATGTGATGGCAGCTTGGAGACCAGTAGAATGAAAACCACAGGAACCAGGGGGAGGAAATCCGTTGTGGGAGGGCACCAGCATCACCCTATTCTGATCAGTTGTTTGAGTTTCTGAGGGAAATCTCCTGACCATTTTTCTTTCTGAGGCACAGTGTTTGGGGAACTTGCTAGGAGAAAGACCTTGAGAATGGGGAGAGTGTGCTCCAGGACCTGGGAGTGCTGGATGGCTTTCATGACCATCTTCGTACAGCGTGGACCATGGCAAGAACTTATTGGAGGTCTCAACGGCTGTTTGTTCACCCTGAGTCATTCTACAGGACATCTATTTTGGCCTGCCCAGCACATTTTTTCCTTTTATGGTTAAAACATCCCTCTGGAAAGTCATCCCTGAGGCAATGAGAACTTTCAGGAATTCTCCCCACCACCACTACTGCCCAGCCACCCATACCCAGGTCATATGGTCTCAGTGGGGATGGCAGTCAAGGTGCCCAGCTCAGGATAGGCGCTTTAGCTGCTTCAAGGGTCTGTTGTCTAATGCCCAGGGACAGATAGGTTAACCAACCTTCATTCTGGTCCCATAGCTTTGAATTCAAGTATGTTCTTGGCTCAGGCCATGTTATCTTGGGAAAGCTAGGAGCAATAGATGAAAATGAAACTGGGCAAGAGATGGTGGGTTTACACCAAATGTTCAGAAACAAGTGATGTGATAAATTAAGGGACATTATCTATTTGTAGGAGAGAACACAAAGCAGACACTCAAGTTTTATTCCGTATCTGAGCCAACACAATTCTTCATCTGTCTAGTTCCTGATTTTCCCCCAAGGTTTGGGAATAGAAACAAAACAAATATAACATAATCTAAGCAGCCTTACATTATCTTATGTGCTTTTATTTTAGGACAGTCTTGAAATAATCCCTCCTGTAGAAGAATATGTTGGGCAAAGTAATTCATGACCAAGTATAAATAGTGCCCCCAGTATCAGCACATAACTAGCATATATGCTACTTCCAAGAAGAGTTTCTTAGAATTTATGTGCTATCAATGCTTCATAGACCTTTAATACTATTTTTTTCAAAATCCTTTCTTTAGCAGCTCTTTCCATATTACAGAACCAAATTCCTTTTTAAAGTAAGGTTTTAAAAATAAATTCACTATATACAGCAATCACAGGGATTCCAAAAAGGGCCACCTTCTTCCACAACTTCAGGGGGCACCACTCATTGTAGTAACTGATGTCTATTACATTGCTTGTGAACGGCTCCCCGTGGTGTGTACAGCTAGGTGGCTCTGTATTTAAGGTCCTGATGCTTTCACTATTTCTTACTCAAGCCCTCTTTGCTTTGCTCTCTTGGAACCTCCTAAGAAGTGATGCATTCTTTAATTACAGCCAGGGGATAAAAGAAGCAGGATCGGCCGGGCGTGGTGGCTCACGCCTGTAATCCCAGCACTTTGTGAGGCCGAGGCGGGCAGATCACGAGGTCAGGAGATCAAGACCATCCTGGCTAACACGGTGAAACCCCGTCTCTACTAAAAATACAAAAAATTAGCCGGGTGTAGTGGCGGGTGCCTGTAATCCCAGCTACTCAGGAGGCTGAAGCAGGAGAATGGCGTGAACCCGGGAGACGGAGCTGGCAGTGAGCCAAGATTGCGCCGCTGCACTCCAGCCTGGGTGACAGAGCGAGACTCCGTCTCAAAAAAAAAAAAAAAAAAAAAAGCAGCAGGATCATTGGATGAAAATTGTCATCACTCTCATCTCTGCTATATTGACACAGGTGAAATTCATGCTACACCATAGAGCAGGGGGTCCCCAACCTGCAAGCCTCCAGTACCAGTCTGTGGCCTGTTAGGAACGGGGCCACACAGCAGGAGGTGAGCAGCGAGTGAGTGAGCAAAGCTTCATCTGTATTTACTGCTGCTCGCCATTGCTCACATGACCGCCTGAGCTCTGCCTCTTGTCAGATCAGCGGTGGCATTAGATTCTCATAGGAACACAAACCCTATTGTGAACTGTGCATGTGAGGGATCTAGATTGCACACTCCTTATGAGAATCTAATGCCTGATGACCTGTCACTGTTTCCCATCACCCCCCGATGGGACCATCTGGTTGTAGAAAACAAGCTCAGGTCTTCCACTGATGGTGTATTATGGTGAGTTGTATAATTATTTCATTATATATTGCAAAGTAATAACAATAGAAATAAAGTGTACAGGCTGGGTGTGGTAGCTCATGCCTGTAATCCCAACACTTTGCGAGGCCGAAGCAGGTAGGTAATATGAGGTCAGGAGTTCAATCAAGACCAGCCTGACAAACATGGTGAAACCCTGTCTCTACTAAATATACAAAACTTAGCCAGGCATGGTGGCTCATGCCTGTACTCCCAGCTACTCAGGAGGCTGAAGCAGAAGAATCGCTTGAATCTGGGAGGTGGAAGTTGCAGTGAGCTGAGATGGCACCACTACACTCCAGCCTGGGCAACAGAGCGAGACTCTATCTCAAAAAAAAAAAAAAGTGCACAATAAATGTAATGTGCTTGAATCATACCAAAACCATTCCCTACCCACCATCCGTGGAAAAATGGTCTTCCCTGAAACTGGTCCCTGGTGCCAAAAAGGTTGGGGACCACTGTCATAGAGGTCAGGACCCTCAGGTCTCAAATGCCTGCCTCTTTAACCTCCTCCTTGACATCCTTCCCTATGAGAACCATAGTGGCAGAATGATTGCTAGAGAATGCAAATTACAGGGGAGTGTAGTGAATATTTTCAAAATAGTATCCTTATTTTACTCCATCTTATTTCTCTTGTTAATCACATACAATATTATTTTGAAACAAAAAACAAAGACAGAAAGGTGCACATATTTCTACCCCATACTAGTTTCCAAACTGCAGGTTGAGCATTCATGATAAACTCCTGCATTAAGTATATATGATCCACTATCAGTGCACATAGCTAAGATACACTAGAAATGCTTCCCGGGAACTCAGATTTTATTTCATGAGAATCATTTTTTCCTTAGCTAGTATAGAAAATTATTTAATAATATGCAAGTGGTGAAGAGTAACAGACAGCATTCCTAAGATACATCATGCGTCTCGACGCATTGGTTATATCATTGCCTCTGTAAATTGTCCCTGAATTCTACAAATAGAATGTCTAGAAAAATTTTCTAATGATTCACATCAAGTTTTCTTTAAAGTTTACTTTTTTAGAAGCTTCCTAAATAGTTGAACATAAAATTTCTCAAATTTTCCTCAAAGTGTGCATTTCGCTTACTATTTTCTGGAATATAGGAAACAAGGATCATGGGACAGCACGTCTCACTGGCATTTACATTCACTGCCCCAAATCAGAACCAAACCACTGTTCAAGTCTTCTGTAAGAACACTGGATTTGGGTCCCTGAGGTGCTGATAAAATTTTATTTTTTGGCTTACATAATTATTATATGGGCATTCAGTAATTGTTGGACTTTACATGTGTGGACTTTATGGGTTTTTGCAATTGTATTTCACAATAAAAAGAAACAAAAGGCAGCTATTTTTAGTATTACTTAAATGTTAATTTATGTAATAATCCCTTAAACCCGATCTGAGTCCCCACTCAAGTAAATTTTAATATGGCATACTACTTTAAAAAACTAATTAGTTCAACTTTGTAGTAAACTGGCAGCTTCGACCCACATCCACTCTAACACCTATTGCAGAAGGAGGCTGGCTGTTTACACTAAGCCTCCTAGTTGCTGCATCCCCTCTGCTCATAGTCCAAGGAGGTAGCTCAGAAATTGAGTCTGAGAACAGAGGCTGGGTGTGGTGGCTCACGCCTGTAATCCCAACACTTTGGGAGGCTGAGGCAGGTGGATCACCTGAGGTCAGGAGTTCGAGACCAGTCTGGCCTAGATGGTGAAACCCCATCTCTACTAAAAATACAAAAATTAGCTGGGTGTGATGGTGCGCACCTGTAATCCCAGCTACTTAGGAGGCCAAGGCAGGAGAATCGCTTGAACCCGGGAGGCAGATGTTGCAGTGAACCGCTGCACTCCAGCCTGGGCAACATAACCAGATCTGTCTCAAAAAAAAAAAGAAAAAGAAATTAAGAACCAAACGTATAATTCAGTTGTAGGGTGTGGCCACCCTCCTTTGACCAAAGTAGTTCTCTGTTTTACATACACAATGCCCCCATTTTTCTTTGAAGAAATATGGCTAAAGTTTGAAAACCACTGATGACATATTCAGAACTTGGGTTTTATCATTTTTAAGTGTCTAAGCCCTGGTACACTGAAAACAGTATAAGGAAATCACTAGATGATTCCCTCCCAAATCACCTTTTTGTACATTTGTCTCTAGCTTCCAAGTTATATACATTGCACATGATAGTCCCACTTCAGTAAAATGGTAGTCTTTAGTGTATTTACTACTTATATTGTTTAGTTTGGTTGCTTCCTAAGACCTCCAAGGATTCTGATTCTATTCAATAAAGTTTCAAATTCACAAAGTATTTCTGATTGCTTCTTAAGTACTGGCATATGTAATCTCTAGTTTTTACTCAAAATGTCCTGTATCCAACCCTTTGTGTTTAGTATTACTTTTTTTTTTTTTTTGACACGGAGTCTCACTCTGTCACCCAGGCTGGAGTGCAGTGGCACAATCATAGCTCACTGCAACCTCCACCTCCCAGGTTCAAGCGATTCTCCTATCTCAGCCTCCCAAGTAGCTGGGGTGACAGGCACGCACCACCACGCCCAGCTAATGTTGTAGTTTTATAAGATAAAGTTTCACCATTTTGGCCAGGCTGGTCTCAAACTCCTGACTTCAGGTGATCCGCCTGCCTTGGCCTCCCAAAGTGCTGGCATTACAGTTGTGGGCCACCATGCCCAACCTAGCATTACTTTTCTTTTTTCCCTTCAAAGTTAAAAGTCCATTTAGTTTGGGGCCTTGTCTACTCTTTTTCTTGCTAGATGAATAGCAAAGGAACAGAAAAAGAACTTTAAAAACTAATAATTTTCAGATAATGACTTTTAAAGGAGAAAAATCGGCTGGGCACAGTGGCTCACGCCTGTAATCCCAGCAATTTGGGAGGCTGAGGCAGGTGGATCACAAGATCAGGAGTTCGAGACCAACCTGACCAACATGGTGAAACCCCGTCTCTACTAAAAATACAAAAAAATTAGCTGGGTGTAGTGATGCACGCCTGTAATCCCAGCTACTCAGGAGGCTGAGGCAGGAGAATTGCTTGACCCCAAGAGGCCGAGGTTGCAGTGAGCCGAGATCACGCCACTGCACTCCAGCCTGGGTGACAGAGCAAGACTCCCTCTGTCTCAAAAAAAAAACAAACAAAAAAACAAAACAAAAACAAAAGGAGGAAAATCGAGAGATATTAAAATTAAAGTTGGTAGTAAGAAATGGTTCTAACTGGATGGCAACTAAGCTGTGTGCAGGGATGCCAAAGAAATATGATTGATATTTTTCTTGGGGAGGAATAGTTGGGCAATAAATGGCTTAACCCTTCATTCAACTTGAACATTTTGTTCTAGTAGAAAGTGAAATAGTTTATTCATCAATCACAGAAAATATTATTTAAAAATCATGCAGGAATGGATAACCAATGTCTAGAAAGTAGGTCAATATAGGACTTCAGCACAATTTTTGAGGACAAAGTCCACAAAGTAGTAACACAATACCTGTAGGACTGACCTGATTCCCAATTGCGGCTTGTTTTTGTTACTTTCTCACTGCTGTTACTCAAAAATCTAAACAGCAAGTAGAAATTTGTACCAAGAAAAGCTGCACTTGGCAGGGAAAACATAATTCAAATTGGAGCAGGCTCCTGATAATACATATCAAAGGCCTTAAAGTTACACATATCCCTATGACAATTATCCTAGCCAATGACAGCAGTGACAGGCTCCAAGAATTTAGGTCAAAAACTCATGACAGTATCATTCTTACAAGTCAACTAATTTTACCATTAAAAAAAAAATCTCATTCTAACATCAAGAAAAATCTTGATGTCTCAGGAAATCGTCTCCCCTCACTCATCTGAAAAAAGCAGTATATCCCATCTTGGTAGCCGACTTTATTCACTCAACTTGATTATACACTATTTTAGGCAGGTGTGTTTGGTTTTTTGGTTTTGGGGGGTTTTTTGTGCAGATTTCTTTTGTGTGTGTATGGTCTTTTTACAAAGTTCAACTGCATCCATATGGGATGATTCACTAGTTGAGGATATTCAAGATATGCAAGTATTAGAAGCATTAATAATAGAAGAGCCTCTGAAGTGACTCATTTCAAGGAGGCTTTAGAAAGATGCGGTCACTTAATCTGGTAAAAAATCACGTTCTGGGAGGGATTTTCAGAAATTTCAGCATATAGAGAAGTGACAAGGATAATAAGCAGTACAACATACTTGAGCTTGGGTTTTGAAATCAGATATGGGCTTGAATTATCTGACCGAATTACTCTGTGTAAGTTTCTCCATCTGAAAAGTAGGCCAAATGAGAAGAGCTCCTTGTAAGAGGAATAAGAATATATAAGTGAACCATGGGATATCTGCACCATGCCGGGCACTTTGAATGTATCATCTCATCTAACTGCCATGCTCTATGAGACAGCTATTAGTCCTATTTCACAGACGAAGTAAGGTTAAAAGGTTAAATTCCCAGAGGTTACATGTCTAGTAAGAGACAGCCAAGATTCACTCTCAATAATAGAATTCTAAAATATGCATTTCTCTTAAACCAGGATTCTTTAAATGTTATTAACCAAGAGCATTTTTCTAGGTTTTTAAATAGGATTATCATAAATGTACACTAAACAACTTCCTCCACATCAAAAGTCACTATAAAACATTCTCAATAACCTTCATAGTAACTTGAAACAAGCCAATTTAGGAAATTACCAAACCACCTAATTGGATATATTATATAAATTTATTTGTTCGTTGTAATTTTTTGCTTTTCTGATAATCATTATCCCACAAAATACACATTCCAAGACTGAGGAAAGTGAGGTAACTAAAAGTGCTTTCACAATACATTCATGTTATTGTGTCCCGCAATCTATAAAGGCAACCCACTTACAGTATATGGATTTTAGCTTTGGTATCCAATTAAATATCCTCAAAAATGAATCATTTTTAAAGGTTATATGGTAAAATTAAAACATCTGATTATGTAATTATGTAATTCTAGCATAAAAAATTAAAGTATCTTTTTATTCCTAGAATACAAAATAGGAATAACTGCTACATACTTAAATTGTGCTTACGTTTGATTTTCCTATTCCAACACAACTGGCCCATGAAAGGTCTTTCTTTTCTCTCTATATTATCACCATTATTGCTCAATGGGCAGTATCTAAAAATAGAATCTAGAAAGCCAGAAACCACAAAAATAACATCTTGGGGCCAGTTTGAAGCAAAGTAAACAGAATATACAATGACAGACAAACAGGCAGAATCACCTAAGACGAAAACAAAATTCCACTTCATTTTAACGAATGTAGTTAAATTGAATAGGCTCATTATCAAGAGCTGAACACGGCTCTCTGTTCTTTCCGGTATTCTAAAAGATGCATAAACACAAAAACCATCCAGTTCTAGATTTGAAAATTGAAGGGAATCGCTTTTAATCTATTCTGGCTCAGGGGATTGCTGTAAAAAAAAAAATTAAATAAAGATGTATATCACACAATTACCTGGTTGTCTAATTTATAATGACAAGTCATGGGAAGCCTATTTGCAGGAATTGGTTCTGACTTGGAGAAAAAAAACACAACTTCTTGAAAAGGTAAAATAGCTTAAAGCATTTAATATCTAAACAAATCAATCTGTTAATAGTAGTCACAAAATATGCTTAATATAGAAACCCACATTCATGTTTTTAAGAAAAAAGTGTAAATTGTATTCCACCTCAAAACATAAATTAACCCGCTTAAAGAATCTTCAGCGGTCAAAGTCATGGTGAATTTTAAACAACTTCAGAGTAAAATAACAAGTACTTTATACTGCTTTATATCTAAAAAATGCTTACAACTTCTCATAAAAATAGTTTGAAGCAACTATTTTTTCTTTTATTTTTTAACAGACACGTTCAACATTACGGGCAACATTTTTAAAACCTTAAGCTTTACAGACTTTCAAACATTCAAATACTGTGGTCCCTTTCCTTTGATGTGGTTTATTCAGCTAGAAAAGAAAACATGGTAGACAACTTAATACATTTTCACCAAATTGAAAGTAGTACAAAAATTTTAGGACTCTACCGAACTACACATCGTACCTAATGTATCATTAAAAATAGAAGACAGTATTTTCTTCAGCAAATAAAACAGCATACTAATATGCTGCTAATGCATACCTTTTAATGTGTACTGTCATTCATAAATTATTTACAACTGCTACTGTGTGAAGAGAACTAGAATGTAAATTTTCTGCAAAACTGGAAAAAAAGCAATACAAAATTTGTGAAAGCCTGTGTTTTATACTATACAAAAGTCAGTTTTTCTCTTCAAATACCAGATATTGTATGCAGTGATATTTTGGACACATTATAGTAATTCTTGAGGATGTTTTAGTGCTGGAGGTAAGTTTACAGGCCTCGATTCTTCATCAAGGAGTACTAGATCTTCTATTTCACTGCCTCTGTATTTCCTTTTACATATTTTTACCACCACCTTTTTCTTGAGAAATAACTTCAATGCTTCTCTTGATGCAACTGCTTTTGCATTTTCTTTGCTTTTTCCACAGCCAGTGCCCAAATACACAGACTTGCACCTCAATTCACAAACAATACTTTCTTGAGAGCTCTTATTTTGAGGCAGATCTGCCAATTCTTTTAGTGGGACAAAAAATACATCCAGTGTTGCTTTCAGAGCCTCAATAGCTGCATTTAGGAGCTCTCCATGATTCACATTGGGACTAAAGCCACCAACAGCTACCAACTTCCATGCCACCGTTTTATATAGTCTATTGAAAAAAGGTTGCTTCTGTTTCACATCTTCATTGGTTAACTTGCAAGAGAATTTGACAGAACTCTCACTTGACTGTGAAGTACTTTTAGAAGGCAACTGTGAGGTGCTAGTCTGAGAACTACTCTTAGAAGCCAACTGGGACACACTTGCTAAGGAAGTGCTTTTGGAAACCAGAGATCCACTGGTCTGGGAGCTGCTCTTGGAAGCTAGTAGTGATGCAGCTACCTGGGAAGTGCTCTTGGAAGTTAGCAGCGATGTATTTGTTGAAGAGCTGCTCTTGGGAGTCAGTAAGGATGTGCCTGATGAGGAACTGTTTTTAGCAACTGATGATGAAACACTTGCCTCTGAACTAGTTTTGGAAGTTAACCCACTTGAAGCTGTCTCTGAACTAGGTTTGGAAGACAATAGTGGCAATTCTACCTCTGAGCTTCCTGAGGAGCCCAACAAGGGCACCTCGATCTCTGAGCTGCTTTGAGAAGCTGAGGCTGAAGAGCCTTCCAAAGCACTCTTTTTAGGTGATCCACTTTGTTGTCTAGAATCAGTGGATTGGGTCATGTGACTATTCACACTGGATTTCAGCAAGGAAACAAATGATGCAGAACCGTGTTTATCTGGAGCTTCTGCTTCAGAAGCTTTCCCAGATCCTGCCGTTGTTACCTGAGAGGAAACGCTGCTGCTGCTTTGGCTGGAAACAGATCGATCTCCATCACTTGTAGAGCTATTCTGACTGGAGATGCCAGAGCTCCGAGCTGAGTTCCCACTCTCTGATTTGATGGCCGACCCTATACACGTTGAACTGTTTTCCTGCTGAGCTGATGCACGTTCTGTCTTGGCAGAGGTTTTTGCGTGATCTTGCTCAACTGCAGAACTGTTTTTTCCTTCTATAACTCGTTTTTTGGATGGCTCTTCTACCCCTTCTAAAAAGAAGAAAAACATAGATATGTGACTAAGAATACCTCGTACAAAACGGGTGATGAGACAAATACACATTAAAATAAAGGCACAAAGTGAAAACATTTCAAGACTAATCGTTTCTTTAAAAAGTGTGGAGTCATTAATTTCTTAAAACAGTGTTGAATAACATCATGAATGTCTAATATTAAAAAAATAACAGCATCAGACAACAGTGGACACTTCAAAATCTAAAGCAGTCAAAGCAAACTATCAAATTCAAAGCCTAAAGACACAGATATATACTTTAGGTTTAACATTCCAACTTTATTACTTATTAATAACATAAAAATTCTGGCTTGTTAAAAAAATTAGTAACAATAATTCCTAATTATATCAAACTTATGCTCTAAACTCCTATGTATGTTCACATCTATGATCTGCTAACCATTGCTACTCGATATCCCTCTTTTCTTCACCTTGGCAACCAGTTCATCTCTTGTTGTATAGGTTGGAGCATCTGTCACTTTGATGCCTTCAGCCATACTAAGTATTTTATCCATAACTTTTTGAGGGTATCTGAAAAAGAAGGAAAAGTCATTTTTAAAAAGTGTTTTTTCTAAGGTCCTACTTGTGCAAAAAACAGGCCACAGGGACTGCATTTCCTGGCTGCAATCAAGAAAGTGAACCAACCGCCAAGAACTGTTTCCTGGAACCCCATAAACAAGTGCCCCAGGGTCTGGGAGGCAGGGCACCTCCTCACTAATCTTAAATCTCGCACCCGTCCCCAAGAGCGTTGTTCCCTAACACAAGCAACCCTACCAGCAGCTGCGCCCACACCACCGGGCACACAGACGTCCGGGAATCATGTCGGCTCCTCGCAGGGACGCCCTTCTCCCCCTTAGAGGGCAGCCGGGCCGGCGGATTCCCGCGCTTCACAACTTCCCCTCCCCGCCGAGGCCGGTCCCGCGGAGGGCGCCGGGCCCCGGTCTGCAGGTGGCACACAAAACGAGGCGTGCTGGTTAGGGACGCTGCCTCACTCACCGGCACCCGAGGAAGACGTGGTTCGCCCAGGCCATGGAAAAGGAGATGAGCTGCTGCAGCTGCCGGTTTCGGGTCCCGCTCTCGGCGTCGGCAGCTTCATCCGTGCTAGCGGAGGCAGCGCCGCCAGCGGGGGCCAGGTCCCCGGCGTTGCGAAGCAAAAAATCCCGGCGGTGGCGCCAGTGTTTGTCAGTCTCGCCGTCGCAGCGCAGCGCCTCCACCCAGGCTGCCACCCGCGGGTTCTGGCTCAGGTACTCCGACACCTCCTGCGCCATGTTGGGCCTGCAGGCCGCGAACACAGCTGCACCGGGAGACAGGCAGGACTAGCGGGGCGAGCGGCCCTGTCACTGCGGCCTGCACCCGCGGCCCTCCAGATAACGCCCCTCCGCAGGCCTAAAGACCAAACAACAGCGCCCAGAGCCGCCGAACCGCCCACTTCCGCCCACCGCCGGCTTCTTCCCTTTTATAACCTCGCCGCCGCCGCGCGCCCTCGCGTTCTTCCGGCGCGAGCCGGCGCTCCCAAGACGCTTTGCGGCGCCGGGGCCGCTGCGACGCTGCGTCCCCGTGAGGCCACGGAGGGCACCCCGGGGGTGAGGTGGGCGGGCGTCGGGCGTCTCCCGCCCCACGAGGGCGGACTGCAAGTCGAGCTGGCCTGGGACGACCGAGTCTCGGCGGAACCCCGGGCGTTCTGTCCTCGCTTTGTGACGCCGCGCGCTCCTGCCGTCCTCCTCCCCCGCCGGGTCAGCTGCGGCGCCGGGAGCAGAGGCGAGAGGGGCAGGGCCCGGGCAAGGGAGGCAGCCGGGCGCGGCGGCCAAAGTCCGCTAGGGGGGCGTCCCGGGGGACCTTGAGCCGCCCGCAGCCGCGGGGCCTGTGGTCTCCGCCCTGAGACGCCTGTGTGTGAGCGGGGCCAAAACAAACAAAAGCCGGCCTCCATGTTAGAGTGTTGGGAGCTGCGTCTCGCGCTGCTTTCAGTGTGCCCGAGCGAAGCGTTCCGAGGCCGTCGGGGTCTCCGCGCCTTCAGGAGGGCGGGAGTGCCAGTCCCCTTACATAGCAGCAGTAGACAGTAAGGTCACACGAGGACCTGGCTCCGTGTTGCCGTGAGGCTTGCAGCCTTCGAAGCTGGCCCTGGCCCCGCAGCGGTAGGGCTTGTTCCCGCAGTTTATTAGGTCTCTAGTTAATCCAGGCATTGCCTTCCTGTTCTGGTCAGTAGGAAAACAACACCCCGACAACGCTCTGTCTCTAGAATTTCCTAAAATCAACAGCTTTACCACCAACCGGCAGATGTCCGGAGGTGGAGTGGAAATGTACCTATTTATCTATAGGGCCCCAAACCTCTCTCCCTGTTAGAGCTGTTTTTTCCTTCTATATATTTTTTTCCACTTTACATTTCCCACAGTTACGTACTCTAACTGCTGGCTGGCTTATTGTTACGTTTCCCATTCCAGGTATACATGCACTGTAAGATAAATACGTTAAATGATATAAATTATGAAATTTTTCTTTCAATAAATGTAGACTTTGATGTAAAAATGCATGAATCAGAATAAGCAAGCAAAAAAAGGTCACTTTAGGTAAGATCAGATAAGGTTAACTGTGTAATTTATGTGCATGCTGGAACAAAATACAGCTATTGTATGAAAACAATATTGCCCATTTTCCTGCCATACCAAAAGAAACTACATAAAAACGGAGGCACAAAGAAATTTTGAAGCTTTGTGATTTTGCTTCTAGTTTGCTGTTCTTTCCTCCTTTTCACAGATAATTGCTGAAAATCTAGAGGGGGTGGACGGATTGCAGAAATCTGGCTATTTAAAAGGTGGAGAAATTACGATTTCTCCTTTCATGAATTCTTTGGCAAGGGGACCATGGCAAGTAAAAGAAGCTATGATCGCATACCTAGATTATATATGTGCATTTTAAATCAAGAATGTTCTCACGGCCAGGTGCAGTGGCTCACGCCTGTAATCCCAGCACCTTGGGAGGCCGAGGCGGACGAATCATGAGGTCAGGAGTTCGAGACCAGCCTGGCCAATGTAGTGAAACCCCATCTCTACTAAAAATACAAAAGTTAGCCAAGTGTGGTGGCACGTGCCTGTAGTCCCAGCTACTCTGTAGGCCGAGGCGGGAGAATCGCTTGAACTCAGGAGGCAGAGGTTGCAGTGAGCCGAGACCAAGCCATTGCACTCCAGCCTGGGTGACAGAGTGAGACTTCATCTCAAAAAATAATAATAATAATGTTCTCACTTTTTTTCTTGTTGCCCTGTAGTCTTCTTCCCACTCATGGGCTTCATTGCCTTGAAAGGAGAACAAGTAGAGCCTGAATTTCAAACAATTTTTTTAATTATAATAAAAGCGATAGAGTCTGAAAGATGGAGTACTTGTGCAAAAACCAGGTGCTTGGAATAAAAGATACATGCATTTTTCTTTTTTGATTCTTAAAAAGTTGACTTTGCATATAAAGATTCAAAGACTATGAACCACAAGTAGCTGGGACTGCAGGCGGGTACCACGACGACAGGCTAATTTTTTATTTTTTTGTAGAAACAAGGTTTCACTGTTGTCCAGGCTGGTTTTGAACTCCTAATATCAAGCAATTCTTCTGCCTCGGCCTCTCAAAGTGCTGGGATTATAGGCATGAGTCGCTGTGCCCGGCCTCATTTTTTTTTAAAGACCCTCCCACCTACAGAGACAAATTCCTCTCTAAGCTGGGGGAGACGTTCTGAGAGAAAAGGTGAGAGGAGAATTTAGGTGATAACTAGGAAAGTCTATGGGAGTAGGGAATAAGATGCAGGGTGGGAAGTGTTGGCTGTTAGAAATTGCTAGGTAGATTTTGGGTCTAAGAGCAGAAGGACTTGGCTCTGCCCGAGTTTCTGAGAGAAGACAGCCCAATCGTGCCCTGAGCCTGTATGCGTTGGCCTTTAGAAATGAACATAGAAAGGGCCTTTTATAGCTTTGATAACCAACTATACAACTCCCTCCTCTGCTCCTAACACACGTGTGTATATATATATACATATGTGTGTGTGTATATATACATAACACACACACACGCATTTACGCACATATATCTCACAGGGCCTAGAGGAGATCCAAAAGGTTCCCAAGAAAGAGTTGAATGGTGAAGTGCCTACCAAGCACCAGGGTCCAAGGTGAATGAGGCTAGGGGTGGTCAGCTTGTCAGCAAAGGGAGATGCAGCTAGTTTTCAGCAAGTCATCAGACCAGTGCCCGTCAGGCCGCATCAATAGGAGAGGACCCTCAACCTCTCCTGAAATGATCAGTGTGCATTGCTTGTGCTGGTAGATCAAGCAGTTATACTCCCAGCAGAGCCCACAGGGAAGAAAGCACAAGACAATGCTAGGATGATAACCAAGCCTCACCCCACCACTGCCCTCACTAGAAATCTACTCAGAGGAGAAAAGGGAGAGAATTCTAATGAATTGAGAAAGATCCACTATCATCCCAAATTGAGTTTCAAACAAGTGACTGAGTTCACAGGATTAAATTTTCTGCTGTAAGTGGAAGCCCATTCACTGAAACTGGTTCTGTAGCATATCTCTCTGAAGACATCCAATAAAAATTCCAGCGGCAAGCTGGCTTTTCTGCAGATGGCTTTCCCATGGAGCAACATGAAGGGATTGCCCCTGTTCCTGGATGTGACTGTGGAAGCAAGAAAGCCTTTGGCAGGAAGGTCTGCATGTGGAGAGGCTTGTGAGGAGCAAATACTCCAGTTATGGCCAAGGTTATGACTTGATGTGAGAAATACTTCATGGTGAGGGGAAATATTTTATGCTAATGATGTGTGAGGACACAAATCTGCCAAATTACAGTGATAAGGTGGGATGTTCTGAAAAAGTAAGAGAATGTTTTAAGAGTGATCCCCTCTGTTAGAAGCTTTGAGAAATCAAGTAGGATGAAGATAGGTAGTAACAGTCTGATTACGGACTGGAGCCACCTGTGAGCTTGGCAAAAGCCGTTTTTACTGCAGTGATGAAGACTCCATATCAGAGTGAGTTCAGGAGTCGGAAATGGAGATATTTGGCTGTAAAGGGGAGAAGATAGAGGAAGCTGGACAGGGTCATGGGGTCAAGGTGGCTTCAATTTCAGATGGGAGTAGCCTGAGCATGTTGCCCACTGCTTGAAGGCAACTCACAGAAAAGGAGAGTTTGAGGATCTGAAGAAAAAGAGGGTAATTAGCAATTTCTGCAGACATAGGTGTGGCTGGGATCCACACACAGGTGGAGAGATTAACCTTAGGTGGGCAGACACTTCCTCTGTTTTAAAAGAAGACGTTTGTAAGTTTGGAGCTGAGACGTTGACATGGAGGCCATCTGATGGTGCAGAGAATGCTCGCAATGGATATTTTAGAGGGCAGAAGAGCAGGCTGCCTAGATGAACATAGTCTTTTTGGCCAATTTAAAATTACAGGCTGGGCGTGGTGGCTCACACCTGTAATCCTAACACTTTGGGAGGCCAAGGTGGGCAGATTACTTGAGCCCAGGGGTTCAAGGCCAGCCTAGTCTACATGGCAAGACCCTGTCTCTACAAAAAATACAAAACATAGTTGGGTGTGTTGGTACATACCTCTAGTTCCAGCTACTCAAGAGGCTAAGGTGGGAGGATCACTTGAGCCCACGAGGTCGAGGTTGCAGTGAGTTGTGATCGCACCGCTGCACTCCAGCCTGGGCGATAAAGGGAGACTGTCTCAAAAATTAAAATAAAATAAAAATATAATGTGTGCACACAAAAATGAAACATCTAAGTAGAAAAAAAGAGGCATAAATGAAAGCAAACAATCTCCCTCACTCAACCTGGTCCCACTCTGTGGACATCAGCATTCATGTCATTTCTATCTTGATTTCTTTGGGTGATTATTTTCATAACTCCAAATTAAATGCTTATACTTCCATTTCTTATTTTTTCAACTTTAAGCAGTACTTATTTCACTCCTGAATGTTGAAGCTGAGAAATCCATATCATTTACACTACCCCTTTTTTCTCCTAATTTTTGTTATCTTTTATTGTTTTCCCGTTGGCTACCTGTCATAAATTCAAATATTATACTTAATCATCATTTTTAAATCTATCAACTTCAGGCAGGTAGCTCTTGATTTCCACATCATGTAAGAAAATTCTGGAGAGACCATATTACAGATATTTAGATATTCCCAAAATATGCGTTCAGGATAAAATCTAATCTCTAGTGATAAATCGACAGCAGATGGATAATTCTGAAGTTTTCCTACTTACCTGCAGGATTTATGCCATTGTTTTTACATTAAGCCTTAACATTAATAAATGTTAATAAATTTGTTTGCTGCTGTGAGGATTAAGTAGATTGCGAAGTTATATCTTTCATGGGGGTGAGTTTCTAAAACCAGCATGTAAATGGAAGTCAGATGTGACTCCACTTTACCTTCTTTTCCTGTAGTGTCGCAATTGACCTCTACGCGGTGGCTCATGCCTGTAATCCCAGCACTTTGGGAGGCTGAGGCGGGTGGATCACCTGAGGTCAGGAGTTCAAGACCAGCCTGGCCAACATGGTGAAACCCCGTCTCTACTAAAAAAATACAAAAATTAGCCGGGAGTGGTGGCGGGCGCCTGTAATCCCAGCTACTTGGGAGGCTGAGGCAGAGAATTGCATGAACCAGGGAGGCGGAGGTTTCAGTGAGCCAAGATCGCACCACTGCACTCCAGCCTGGGTGACAGAGTGAGACTCCATCTCAAAAAAACAAAAACAAAAACGAAAAAACAGAAAGGCCCCTTGGGCATCTACTGATGTGAAGTTAGAGAACTATGGACTTTCTCTACAGGTTCACAGATTTTCGTTTGATTAATTTCGGTTGCTAGTGACAAAAAATTATGATTTAAAATGGCTTGTGCTGAAACAAAAAGGGAATTTATTGGCTGTGTTATTCAGAGTCCCGAGGGGGACTCTCCCCCGACTGTGGGATCCAGGTACTGAAACAATATAGTCAGGAAACCTGTTTCTCTTGTCTCTACAGTCTCAGGCAAGCTCTTCCTACGGAGTGGCAAAATGCTTCCTATTAGCTCACAGCATACGTTCTTCATAGCTCAGCAACTTCAGTAGCAAGAGAGCTTCTCTTTCCTGGTAGTTTCTGCCAGCGTCCTAAGGTTCTGTTGGGAGTTCTTTTGTCCTGTTGAGTCATATATCCCTTACATAAACACTATCCAGGTGTATGAAATGACTGTACAGGTCTGAGTCATGCACTCGCCCTAAGAATGATAAAATATCTGAGTAAGGTCAGTATCATGCAAGGAAAATAACAAACTCAATAAATAAAAGAATTTACACTCAAGGAAATGGAGATAAAACAATATGAATAGAAGGATGGCCAAATACCAGAAAAGATGTTAAAGAAACGATAGTAGTAAGCAGGTTTAAATGACACAAGGCAATTCTAAGAGGCACTGCTGTCAGGATGGCTTCCATTTTAGCCAAAGTGAAAAACCTTTTTATACCAATTTTTACATTTTTATATGCTGTTTCGTAGAGCCTTAAGGAAGACAATTTCATCTTTTTAGTCTTCATGTTCCTCCTCATGCCGACAAGGTGAGATATTATTATATTTTATTTTCCCATCCCTTTGTGAAGCTCTACACCTATCCCTCATCCCAGAATGTGGGGGATTTAAATCTACGAGAGAGATGGAGATCAGAGAAGAGTTGGTATTTGGAGAACTGCAGTTCAACTTCCCATAAACCAATAAACTTGATCCTGATTCTTCAGAATCATGGAAAATTTAAGCTGGAGGAGGACCTTAGAGATTGCATTTATTTCGTAGACAAAGAAACCTAGGTTCAGAGTGGTTAACTTACTGTCCAAGCTGATTATTGTCCAATGATTAACTCACAAGGTGTGGTGACTGAAAGATAAATAAGAACTGAGCTAAGACTTGTTAAATCCAGGCCAGGTACAGTGGCTTACGCCTGTAATCCCAACACTCTGAGAGGCCAAGGCAGGCAGATCAGAGGTCAGGAGTTTGAGACCAGCTTGACCAACATGGTGAAACCCCGTCTTTACTAAAAATACAAAAATTAGCCAGGCATAGTCGTGCGCACCTGTAATCCCAGCTACTCAGGAGGCTGAAGCAGGAGAATTGCTTGAACCCAGGAGGCGGAGATTGCAGTGAGCTGAGATCGCGCCACTGCACTCCAGCCTGGGCAACAGAGTGAGATTGTATCTCAAAAGAAAAAAAAAAAAAGACTTGTTAAATCAAAAAACTAAGATTATGACCACAATAATCCACTTAATTGTTGGGCCCTTTGGGAATTAGGAGCAGGAAGGATAAAAAAAAAATTGTGCTTCTTTGTACCCAGGGCTCCAGTTCATCAATGTGTGATTGCCTTGTAAATGTGAGCAGCCAAGGAAGCAGAAAGGAATGTTCCTGGAGGGATCTAGAAAGCCAGAGGAAAGAACAGCATAGAGCTTAATTTAGTGATCAAAAATATAGACTTGGGAGTCAGACATTCCTGAGTTGGAATTCTGGTTCTGCTAATTACCATCATTGTGTCCATGGGCAAATTATTTCACTTTTCTAAGTCTTCGTTTCCTTACCTGTAAAAGGGGATACCAGCACCTATGAATCATAAGAAATAAACGAGATGATGTCTATAAAGGCACATAGTTTAAATCCAATTAATGAACTTTAGAAACATTTTAGGTTTTATTTGGTAATATTGACAAAGTTTAATAATTGTTTGTTGTTTATGCAGAGAACATTTTTTTTCAAATAAATTCTGAGTATGGTAGGTACAAATCTCTGTCCATAATTTCAAGGTGTGTAAACAAATGTAGCTACAGTATTTTCCTCTGATTAAATTTTTGTTCTTTTCTTTTTTTTTTTTTTTTTTTGAGACAGAGTCTTGCTCTCTCGCTAGCCTGGAGTGCAGTGTCACAATCTCGGCTCACTGCAACCTCTGCCTCCTGGGTTCAAGCAATTCTCCTGCCTCAGCCTCCCTGGTAGCTGGGATTACAAGTGCACACCACCATGCCCGGCTGATTTTTTGTATTTTTAGTAGAGAACAGGGTTTCACCACATTGGCCAGGCTGGTGTCAAACTCCTGAACTCAGGTGATCCACCCACCTCGGCCTCCCAAAGTGCTGGGATTACAGGAGTGAGCCACGGCGCCCGGCCTAAATTTGTTTTCTATTTTAAGGTCCCATCCTACCAAATGGTGGAAACTTAATTTCAGTCACCTGAAGATTTTACTTCCTTCTGTACGAATTTGAGTATCCATTCCAGGGAGCTGACACAGTGCTGAGGCACAAAGGCAGGGTCAGGGACAAGGTGAGGCGCTCCCAGGCATCCCCTGAAATAGCCATCTTCCCACCAGGTTTTGGCCCACAAAGGCCACTGCTGCTTCCTCCTCATCCCTGTAGCAGCGCCTCTTTAGGTCAGGTGACTCTCCCTGCTGTGCTCATGCCCCTCTCAGGCACGGGTGAACATTCCATCGCCTACTGCACTGTGCTGGGGAGCACAGGTTCTCTCTGAGGCCCTCTCAGTCCACTTGCCCACACATGGCACACTGTCATTTCTAGTCTACTCCTCTGTGCCGTGCCAGGGAGAAGGGATGGATGCTCCAGATCTTGCAGCTTCGCTGGCTTCTGCTGGGAATGGGCATGGCCACCTTACTCATGGGTCCCCCAAACCTTTTAAAATTGCCATCATCCTTCCCCACCTCTCTGCTTCCCTTTCTCCCCGCACCACCCGCCCCCCCCCCCCCGCCCCACCCCACCGCCGCGTCCCCGCTGGCCAGTTGCAATTCGGCCTTGGAGGTACAGGTAGGCAGGACAAGGGGCCTCTCTTCTGGGAACCATACCAGCAGTCGAATTCCCTAGCTTCCCTCCTCACCCTTCAAGTTTTCCTTTCCATTGGATAATTTCTTATCTGGATATGAGGTAGCCTGGGTCTTCATTTGTCCTCCGAAACCTGTTATTATGCCCATAAAAGCCAGGGCATTGCTTCTCCTGCCTTCTCTTCTCTGCTGCATCTTGTAAAAGGCAATGGCCATAGAACTCCCACGCCTCGAGCAGAGGCAGAAGCAGGCAGAGGCAGTTTTAAAGGTTAGAGCCGCCCCCGGAATCCCCTGAGGAAATGAGGGAAGGAGCATCCTTAGCCATATCTGCCAAAGCCCCCTTAGGTATTAATACTACAGGCTGATTTTTAATTTTTCATAAGCAATTTCTTTAACCTTATAGAATAGATAGAGCAGCCTTGTGGAAAATTTGCAAGCTAATAAAGAATATGTGGATCAGGCCGGGCACGGTGGGTCACTCCTGTAATCCCAGCACTTTGGGAGGCCGAGGCAGGCGGATCACCTGAGGTCAGGAGTTCAAAACCAGCCTGACCAATACGGTGAAACCCCATCTCTACTAAAAATACAAAAATTAGTGGGTGTGGTGGCATGTGCCTCTAATCCCAGCTACTTGGGAGGCTGAGACAGGAGAATTGCTTGAACCCGGGAGGCGGAGGTAGAGGAGAGCCAAGATCACACCACTGCACTCCAGCCTGGGTGACAGAGCAAGGCTCCATCTAAAACAAAACAAAACAAAACAAAAACACAAAAAAACCAATACATGGATCAATGTAGTCATTCCTGCAAAGATCTTATGATTAGCTCCCTACCAAGGACTGCACCGATGAGGCCAAGGTTATAAAATATAATGGGGGAGAAATGAAGCAAAGGCGAAGAAAAGTGCTCAGCAAGTGGCCTAAACAGGAAGAATGTGCTGACAATCTTTGATGGGCCACCAAAGACAATATTTTAAAATCCCATTTTCGTCTCTTCTCCCCTTTATGCGACAGTTGGTTGAATAAGGATAAGTTTTTAAAAACCTCAATTAATTTTAAGAAAGGAAACAAAGTAAACGTTTTTCTTCCCACCAGGGAAGACAATTTTGATGTTAAACACCTCATTGATAGTGGTAATACTATGCAGTCAATTTTAAAAACGAGAACAAAAGCAGTGTTTTATTTCTCACTAGGGAAGGCAGTTTTAAACACCTTATTGAGGGTTGTACTGCCAGGCTCATTTGGGACTTGATAATAACTGCTCTTGACAAGACAATACTGAAAACACAGGGTGAAACCTACCAGCACTCAGACGAGTTTTCACTCCACCTACTAGCAAAGGCACATTTTCTCTGTTTCCTGAAAGGAGTGTTAGAGGGCAGTGCCATCCAATTATTTCCACAATGCCAAGTCTCATGGAAATGAATGCAGGAGCTTACGCGGTTGACTTCAGTGAGACTCAGTGTGGTAAAAATGGATTCCCCAGGGCTTTGATACAGAATGAAGAGTGGGGGATGTCTATTCACATTCATTTATTTTTCCAATCTAGAGTTTAAGAGGAGGAGAACACTCCTTTTATCACTGCCACCTGAAACTAGAACCAGAAAGGAAGGGAAAAGAACACGGTTATATCACCCCCAAGGCTGTGAATTTACTTCTTATCGTGGGGGAAGGCCTCTGGTGGCACATTTTAGTAAGCAAGTAGGTAGAGTCATACACTGTGGCCGAAGGCTTCAGCTTAGACTCACGAGAGGAGCTTGATGTGTGTGGACTGTCCCGCTGCTCACTGGGCGTTGGCCTGGCCTCAGTGGCCCTGGGTCATAGTATTGTGGACTTAGCATCACCATTGTGTGTCCGGAATTGGTGGGTTCTTGGTCTCACTGACTTCAAGAATGAAGCCGTCGACCCTCGCGGTGAGTGTTACAGCTCTTAAGGTGGCGCGTCTGGAGTTTGTTCCTTCTGATGTTCGGATGTGTTCGGAGTTTCTTCCTTCTGGTGGGCTCGTGGTCTAGCTGGCTCAGGAGTGAAGCTGCAGACCTTTGCGGTGAGTGTTACAGCTCATAAAAGCAGTGTGGACCCAAAGAGTGAGCAGCAGCAAGATTTATTGCAAAGAGCGAAAGAACAAACCTTCCACAGTGTGGAAGGGGACCCCAGCAGGTTGCCACTGCTGGCTGGAGCAGCCTGCTTTTATTCTCTTATCTGACCCCACCCACATCCTGCTGATTGGTAGAGCCGAGTGGTCTGTTTTGACAGGGTGCTGATTGGTGCGTTTACAATCCCTGAGCTAGATACAAAGGTTCTGCACATCCCAATTAGATTAGTTAGCTACAGAGTTTCAACACAAAGGTTCTCCAAGGCCCCCCCAGAGCAACTAGATACAGAGTGTCGATTGGTGCACTCACAAACCTTGAGCTAAACACAGGGTGCTGATTGGTGTGTTTACAAACCTTGAGCTAGATACAGAGTGCCCATTGGTGTATTTACAATCCCTGAGCTAGACATAAAGATTCTCCAAGGCCCCACCAGAGCAGCTAGATACAGAGTGTCGATTGATGCACTCACAAACCCTGAGCTAGACACAGGGTGCCGATTGGTGTGTTTACAATCCCTGAGCTAGACATAAAGACTCTCCATGTCCCCACCAGACTCAGGAGTCCAGCTGGCTTCACCCAGTGGATCCTGCACCGGGGCTGCAGGTGGAGCTGCCTGCCAGTCCCTCGCCATGCGCTCGCACTCCTCAGCCCTTGGGCTGTTGATGGGACTGGGCACCATGGAGCAGGGGGCGGTGCTCGTTGGGGAGGCTCGGGCCGCACAGGAGCCCATGGAGCGGGTGGGAGGCTCAGGCATGGCGGGCTGCAGGTCCTGAGCCCTGCCCCGAGGGAAGGCAGCCAAGGCCCGGTGAGAAATCGAGCGCAGCGCTGGTGGGCTGGCACTGCTGGGGGACCCAGTACACCCTCCGCAGCCACTGGCCCGGGTGCTAAGCCCCTCACTGCCCGGGCCGGCAGGGCCAAGCCCACGCCCACCCGGAACTCCAGGTGGCCCGCAAGCGCCACGCGCAGCCCCGGTTCCCGCTGGCACCTCTCCCTCCACACCTCCCTGCAAGCTGAGGGAGAGGGCTCTGGCCTTGGCCAGCCCAGAAAGGGGCTCCCACAGTGCAGCGGTGGGCTGAAGGGCTCCTCAAGTGCTGCCAAAGTGGGAGTCCAGGCAGAGGAGGCGCCGAGAGCAAGCGAGGGCTCTGAGGACTGCCAGCACGCTGTCACCTCTCAATTGGTTGTCTTTCAAGACAGAGATCATATATGCTTGAGTTACTGGTTCAGAGAGAGGAGATGTAATATACCCATTGGGGGATTGGGGGAAGAACTATTAGAAAAAAACTGAAAGTAATTCAAATCTAATTACTCAATTCTAAACATTTCAATTCTCTTATAACAGGGGTCCCCCCGCCACTACCTCCAACCCTGGGCCACACGGCAGGTGGTGAGCAGCTGGCAAGTGAGCAAAGCTTCATCTGTCTTTACGGCCACTTCCCATTGCTCGCATGACCACCTGAGCTCCACCTCCTGTCAGATCAGACAGGAGCGTTGGATTCTCACAGGAGTGAGAACCTTACTGTGAACTGTGCATGTGAGGGATCTGGGGTGTGTGCTCCTTATGAGAATCTAATGCCTGATGATCTGTCACTGTCTCCCATCACCCAGATGGGACCATCTAGTTGTAGAAAACAAACTCAGGGATCCCACTGATTCTACCTTATGGTAAGTGTATAATTATTTCATTATATATTACAATGTAATCATAATAGAAATAAAGTGCGCAACAAACATCATGTGCTTGAATCATCCTGAAACCACCCGCCGACCCCCCTTCCATGGAAAAAGTGTCTTCCATGAAACCGGTCCCTGGTGCCAAAAAAGTGGGGGACTGCTGTCTTACGACATCATAGATTCATGGAATTCTTTTATAGGCAGGTTCCTTGGGGGTAACTGAAGCTGTTTCCTCGTTTTTAGGAAATTTAGGAAAGACTAGGAAATTGAGGCTCAGAGAGGCCATTTAGCAGTGACTAACACAATTTCCAGGTCAGTATTGTTTCTACGAGCCCTGGTCTCCAGAAGAGAAAAGGCTAGTCAGGACTACCACTTGAAGTCCCCTAGTCGGATACAAAGAAAGGATCCAGGATCCAAGTTGATTTACAGTTAAACTCACTTGGGGAATTCACAATGCTTAAAAGGCAAGAAGAAAACAACGCAAGACTGTACATACCACAGTATGAAAAATCTTAACCACATAGCAGCACCTCCTTCAGAGCCACACTGGCCACTGCTGTGCGACTCCCTCCCCTGGCCTCCCCCTCACCCCGAGGTTTCAGCATGGAGACCCACGTAGGCCCATGGGGAGAGCTGTGTGGAGCTTGGGAACTGTATTTAGTCTCCTTCCTTCTGGGGCCTTTTACATTTAAAAATGCAATTTCGGCCGGCGCAGTGGCTCATGCCTATAATCACAGCACTTTGGGAGGCCAAGGTGGGCGTGTCACCTAGGTCAGCCGTTCAAGACCAGCCTGGCCAACATGGCGAAACCCCATCTCTACTAAAAATATACATATATTTTTACACACATATATATATACACACACACTCAAAAATTAGCCAGGTGCGGTGGTGCGTGCGCGTGTAATCCCAGCTACTTGGGAGGCTGAGGCAGGAGAATCACTTGAACCCGGGAGGTGGAGGTTGCAGTGAGCCGAGATGGTACCATTGCACTCCAGCCTGGGCAACTGAGTGAGGCTGTCTCAAAAAAAAAAAAAGAAAAGAAAAGAAAAAGAGAGAGAGAAATGCAATTTTATTCTTACGACTTTCTGGAAGCAAGAATGTGATTTTGAACATTCTAAAGAAAATTTTTATAAAGGAATGTGAGAAAGCAACAAGATAATGTTGGCTGCTGTGGTATTAAAATTCTTAAAAAGTAAAAGCACTGTAGAAATATAAGGTATATCATTCTACTTATTTTGTTCCAGAATAATATGCATGATATTAGGTTAGCTTTTTCCATAGGAGGCCATTTTTTTCTGGGTATGGTGATACCACTCTCGATGAAGCTGAGCATGAGCCTCAGTAGCTTCGAGTGTGAATATAACCTTTTTGTGAACTCTGTCACATTACTGAGTATAGAATCTGCTCCTGGATGTTTTAGTTTCTCCCAGGGTTAGCGAGAGACTTTCATTTCTTCTTTGTGCTTTCCTCACTCTCAGGAATCACAGGGAAGCTGTGATTGTTCTAGGCGTTAGTTCTTTATTAGTGCTCAATCTGCTTAACACTCCTCTTGTGTGCCGCCTTTGAAGTCTCAAGAAATCTCCTGCCTGGCAGGAAGTGCCAGAGGCCCAAACAGTGCAAAGGAAATCACACCCATGGCGGCCTCTCCAAAGTGCAGGCCTGGGGCTCAGTCCATTTCTCCTGGTCGTTCTCACAGTTCTGGATTCAGAAGGGAGGAGAGAGGCAGTGGGGGGCGCTATGCATTCCTAAGGGATTGCATTCGAGTCTGCTGACCAGGCCCTGAGCTCCCCTGAGGCCAGTAAACCTCTGGCCGGTAAACCCCTGCTCCTGGGGGGCTGAGAAAGCCGTCCTTCTTGGTGCAGACCCTACCCAGCCCTATGTCTTAAGAGTCCCTTCTCTCTGCTGTCCCACAGTCAAGCCAGCCCTGCTCTGCCTGCTCTGCCCTGCCCATGGAGAAAAGCTTCCAAGCCTACGAGGATCTCCTTCTCACCATGCCAGCTGTTTGACCTCAAGGGAGTTACTTAACCTTTCTGAGCCTTGCTTACTTCATCTGTAAAATGGGACAACAGTGGTGACTACCTCTTAGGATTGTTGTGAGGATAAAACGAGATAATCCAAAAACTGGCCAGGTGTTGTGGCATACGCCTGTAGTCCCAGCTACTCGAGAGGCTGAGGTGAGAGGATCGCTTGAGCCCAGGTGGTCGAGGCTGCAGTGCATCTTGATTGCACCACTGTACTCCAGCCTGGGCGACAGAGTGAGACCCTGTCTCAAAATAAATATAAAAAATAAATTTAAAAATGAGATAATCCTTATAAATATCTCAGCATCTTGCCTAGCATTTTGTGGATGTTTGATAAATGCTGCTACTATTAATAATAAACCATTTTTATTAGATTAAGGAATGTGTATTGACAAGAGCTGGACTTAGGAGATCACAGTGAGAAAGAAAACAAACACCTAGAACATTTGCGAAAGAAGAAATCCTTGGTGAAGGGTGTGGCCCGAGTGGTTGTGCTTTTCTCCTGTTTGTTTCACCGTTAACGTTTGTCACATGTGAATTCTTACAGCCCTCAGTGTGTCTGTGTCTATACATTTCCTTGACCTCTTCCTAAATGGTTGAAGCAGGCTGACCAAAGAGAATGGATTTGTGTTCTTGTCCCCCTTCGTCTGATAACAGTTCCTGATTTCCCCAGGATTCTGCTCCTTTCCCTCTGGCAGTCCCTGTGGTCTGTATGGGGCTGGCCCCAATCACTGGATCCAGCGGACACGTCACCCAGGCCTGGCCACTGAAAGCCAATTGTGAGACTTTTGCTGGAGCAACCAGGAAAAGAATGTGTGTATCCTTTGGATGCATAGAATGCAGAGCATGGATTGCAATCGTGAAGGAGCAGGTAGCTCCAGAACCCAGAAATGGAGAGAGCGAGGGTCAGTCCTCAGCATCTGCTCTGTGCAGGCACCGGGATTCAGCAGTGAACAAGTCTCGGTCCTTGTGAAGCTCTGGTGAAGAAAACATCAAGACATAGTGATAGGTGGGTGGGTGGATGGGTGGGGTACATGGATGGGTGGATGCACGCATGGATGGACATGTAGACCTATAGATCATTCTGGTAGTGATACGTTCTATTAAGGAGAAAGGAACAGAATAAGAACACATTAGGGGCCGGGCGCAGCGGCTCACACCTGTAATCCCAGCACTTTGGGAGGCCGAGACAGGTGGATCATCTGAGGTCAGTGGTTCGAGACCAGGCTGACCAACATGGCGAAAACCCCGTCTCTACTAAAAATACAAAAATTTTTATGGTGGCGGACTCCTGTAATCCCAGCTACTTGGGAAGCTGAGGCGGGGAGAATCGCTTGAACTGGGAGGCGGAGGTTGCAGTGACCCGAGATCGCGCCACTGCACTCCAGCCTGCGTGACAAGAGCAAAACTCCGTCACAGAAAAAAGCAACACATTAGGGCAGTACTGTTTTAGATAGTATCATTAATGATCCTATTGACCTAAAGAAAGAAATTGAGGCAAAATTAATATAAGTAGAGAGTTTATTTGAGCCAAATTTGAGGACTGCAACCTGGGAGACACAGATTGCAGTTGCCTTGAATTTATGCTCTGATTAGCAGCAATTGCCAGTAAGTTTTTAAAGAAAAAAAGAAGGGGCAGTTCTTACATTGGTTCATAAAATAACATGAAAATAAGCTACTGATTCGCTACACATTGTTCTTTGTATCACAAATTCTAGGAACAAGAAGATGATGGGTGAGGGTCACATTATATAACTTGTAATAACTTTTTTTTATTATTATGGGATATGATGAAGTTATTAAAAAGAACAAGCCGTTGTGTATGTACTCTTGTTCTGGATACATTACTTATTTATTTATTTTTATACTCAGAGATGGAGTCTTGCTCTGTCACCCAGGCTGGAGTGCAGTGGCGTGTTCTCGGCTCACCTCTACCTCTGCCTCCTGAGTTCAAGCAATTCTCCTGTCTCAGCCTCCCGAGTAGCTGGGATTACAGGTGTGCACCATCATGCCCAGCTAATTTTTCTGGGCCTGATACATTTTGCATCTTTTGCGTAGGATTGCTTTGAGTTACTTTTCTTTCTCACACCAGTGAACTCCTTTTTTGTTAAAGCTAGTTTTGGGTGGATTTCTGCCACTTGCAACCAAAGGATTTCTCATTGACATTCTGTATAGCCAGGATTTTAAAACTACGTTTTGGCTGGGCGCGGTGGCTCACGTCTTTAATCCCAGCACTTTGGGAGGCCGAGGAGGGCAGATCACCTGGGGTCAGGAGTTCGAGACCAGCCTGACCAACATGGCGAAACCCTGTCTCTACTAAAAATACAAAAATTAGCCAGGCGTGGTGGTGGGTGCCTGTAATCCCAGCTACTCGGGAGGCTGATGCAGGAGAATCGCTTGAACCCGGGAGGCGGAGGTTGCAGTGAGCCAAGATCACACCACTGCATTCCAGCCTGGGTGACAGAGTGAGACCCTGTCTTAAAAATAAAAAAAAAAAAAAAGCAAGTCATAGAAGAGGACTAGAAAATGGCAAATAAATATGTGAAAAGATGTTAAGCTTTACTAGTAATCACGTAAACACAAACCAAAACAACAGTGGGATAACTTCTTTTGCTTATCAGATTATCAAGCTTTAAAAGTTTTGCCTGCAGGCTGGGTGTGGTGGCTCACACCTGTAATCCCAGCACTTTGGGAGGCCGAGGCAGGCGGATCACGAGGTCAGGAGATCGAGACCATCCTGGCTAACACAGTGAAACCCTGTCTCTACTAAAAATACAAAAAATTAGCCTGGTGTGGTGGCGGGTGCCTGTAGTCCCAGCTTCTGGGGAGGCTGAGGCAGGAGAATGGCGTGAACCTGGGAGGCGGAGCTTGCAGTGAGCTGAGATCGCGCAACTGCACTCCAGCCTGGGTGACAGAGCAAAACTCTGTCTAAAAAAAAAAAAAAAAAAAAAAAAAGTTTTGCCTGCATCTCAGCCAGGCATGGTGGCTCACACCTGTAATCCCAGCACTTTGGGAGGATAAGGCGGGTGGATCACCTGAGGTCAAGAGTTTGAGACCAGCCTGGCCAACATGGTGAAACTCCATGTCTACTAAAAAAATGCAAAAATTAGCCTGGTATGGTGGCAAGCACCTGTAATTCCAGCTACTCAGGAGGCTGAGTCAGGAGAATTGCTCGAACCTGGGAAGCAGAGGTTGCAGTGAGCTGAGGTTGAGCCACCGCACACCAGCCTGGGCAACAGAGCAAGACTCCGTCCCCCACCCCCCGCCCCCCCCCCCAAAAAAAAAAAGTCTTGCCCTCATCCATGTTAGTGAGTAGGGAAATAGATCCTCTCATTCACTGTTGCTGGGATTCAATTACTGAAGCCTTTGTTGAAAGTATCTATCAGTGTTTATTAAAAATGTTTAAATGCATGTACCTTTCAATATAGCAATTTTACTTCTGGAAATTTATCTGACAGAAATAAGAGCAAGATGTTTTCTGATATCCATCCACCCTGCCTTCCTCAGTAACAGAGGAACCTATGATGCTGAGCTGGGCAAATGGTCACCTGGAATAATGTCATTTCCCAGCACACGTTATAGTTAGGTTTGATCTTGCACTGCCGTTCTAGGCAATACAATATACTTCCTGGAAGTAGCAGCTTCCAGGAAGTAACCTCTAAAAGGAGGAGTAATGCTCCCTGGGACTTGTTTCTTTCTTCCTCCTGTAATACAGGCTGCTGGCTGGAGCTCTGGCAGCAAGATGGGCCATGTGGGGACTTCGGAGTGGAAGCTGTGAAGGGCAGAGACGGCAAGGTAGCAGGAGCTTGAGCCCCGAATCCAGGGAGCTCCAGATCAGTTCTGACCTGACCTCCTCCAGACTTCTTGAACATAAGACAGTGAAATATCTATCTTGGCAACAAACGTGAAAAAAATGTTCAATATCACCAATCATCAGGGAAATGCAAATGAAAACCACAGTGAGATACCATTTTACTCCAGTCAGAATGGCACTTATTAAAAAGTTTTTAAAGAAAGAATTTGGCACAGATGTGGTGAAAAGGGAACACTTAGACACTATTGGTGGGGATGTAAATTAGTACAACCTCTATGGAAAACGGTATGGAGATTTCTCAAGGAACTAAAAGTAGACCAACCTACCATTCAATCCAGCAATCCCACTACTGGGCATCAACCCAAAGAAAAATAAGTCATTATGTCAAAAGACACTTGCATGCATATGTTTACTGCAGCACAATTCACAGTTGCAATGATATCAAACCAACCCAGGGACCCACTGACCAATGAATGAATACAGAAAATGTGGTATATGTATACCATGGAATACTACTCGGCCGTAAAAAAGAGTGAAATCATGTCTTTTGCAGCACTTTGGATGGAACTAGAGGCCAGTATCCTAAGTGAAGCAGCTCCAAAATGGAAAACCAAGTACCAGATGTTCTCGCTTATAAGTGGGAGCTAAGCTATGGGTCTGCAAAGGCATACAGAGTGGTATGACGGACACTGAGGACACAGGAGGGGGAGGGGGGGAGGGGGTGAGGAATAAGGAATCACCTGTTGGGTACAATGTACACTATTCCTGGGAAGGGTGCACTAAAAACTCAGACTCCACCACTACACAATTCATCCGCGTAACCAAAAACCACTGGTACCCCTAAAACTATTGAAATAAAAATAAATGAATGCAAATATTTAAAAAATCTGTCTTGGCTAAGCCACAATTATTTGGGTCATTCTTTTACTCTCCAAGCCCAGTCCTAACTAATTCGAGTGCATAAAGATTGAGGGTTGGCCCTCCATATCCCTGGATTCTGCATCCATGGATTCTACCAACCTCAGATGGAGTTTTTTTTTTTTTAATGGTGATTGTGTCTGAACTGAACATATACAGATTTTTTTCTTGTCATTATTCCCTGAACAAAACAGTATAACAGTAATTTATATAGCATTTACATTGCATTAGGTATTATAAATAGTCCGGAGTTGATTTAAACTGTACAAGAGGATGTGTGTAGGTTCTATGGAAATACTATGCCATTTTATATCAGGGAATTTGGTATCTGACGTGGGGCATTGTAGAACCAATCCTCCATGGTTACTGAGGCACAACCGTAGATACAGATAGGTTTATTGAAGTGTTGTCTGAAATAAAAAATAACAATGTGTATATCTGTTGATAAGGCAATGGTTGAGTCCATTGTGGGCCATTTGTTTGTTCATTTGACAGATATTTTTAAGCATCTACCCTGTATCTGTCACTATTCTAGACTCTGGGGTATAGTAGTGGATAAAAGGAGACAAAACTGTCCCTTCATGGAATTCACATTCAAATGGGGAACATCCAAATTATGGGATATGATGAAGTTATTAAAAAGAACAAGCTGTTATGTATGTACTCTTGTTCTGGATACATTACTTATTTATTTATTTTTTATACTTAGAGATGGAGTCTTGCTCTGTCACCCAGGCTGGAGTGCAGTGGTGTGTTCTCGGCTCACCTCTACCTCTGCCTCCCGAGTTCAAGCAGTTCTCCTGTCTCAGCCTCCCGAGTAGCTGGGATTACAAGTGTACACAATCATGCCCAGCTAATTTTTGTATTTTGGTAGAGATGGGGTTTCACTATGTTGGCCAGGCTGGTCTCCAACTCCTGGTCTCAAGCGATCTGCCCGCCCCAGCCTCCCAAAGTGTTGGGATCACAAGTGTGAGCCACTGTGCCCAGCCTGAACACATCATTTAGCTTAAAAGTTAGAGATATGCCACATTAACCTTTTATTTTTATTTTTAAATTTTCTGTACTCTTGCTAATCTGGCATCTTAAGGTGTCGCTGATCCTGGAGAAACCAACCCTCCCAGGGCTGGCTAGTTCCTACAACAGCAAATGACTCCCCTAGGAGTGCACTTTGCATTTTCATGAATCCAGAGCCCATCCCTGCCACCTCCCTCCTTTACTGACCTCTCCCAGATTTGGCCACTGTCTCTCTGCTCTAATCACACCAGGGCCAGGCACAAGCAACTAGGGTAGTGCCTACATCCGTTATTCAGACTAAACACTCCCGTACCTGCCTGTCCTGCTGAGCCTGCCTTGCCCATTTCTTCCCAGGAAAACCACAATAGAGGCTCTTGGCCAGCCTTTCCCCTCACTCCTGCTGCCTCCTGATTGACCCTGGCACCTCCCCAAGTGGCCCTGCCTGGTATAGTGTCTCCCTTCCTCTTGGGAAATGGGAGTAATAAACTATCTCTTTTCTTTGGAGACAGACAGGCTGTCGCGCTGTCACCCATGCTGGAGTGCAGTGGCACAATCATAGCTCACTGCAGCCTCCAACTCCTGGCTCAAGTGATTCCCCTGTCTCAGCCTCCTGAATAGCTGGGACTCAGGTGTGCACCACCATGCTTGGCTAATTATTTTCATTTTTATTATTGTAGATATGAAGTCTCAATATGTTGCCCAGGCTTGTCTCAAACTCCTGGCCTGAAGTGATCCTCCTACCTTGGCCTCCCGAAGTACTGGGATTAGAGGCACATGCTACCGGGCCTGGCCAAAACTGTGTTTTTAATGGCAGTTGTTTCCTGATTAGTTGGCCTCACCCTACCTGAATAATAATGAAACCTACATTTTAAAACATATAGTGTGATCCCATTTTATGTTTTAAAAATCTACAAATGCACGTGTTTACATGTGTTTCAAAAAATAAACTAAAATTCAGGGATAGAGATAAAAAAAAAGTGTTAACAGTAGGCTGGGCACAGTGGTTCACGCCTGTAAACCCAGAACTTTAGAAGGCTGAGGTGGGTGGATTACTTGAGGCCAGGAGTTTGAGACCAGCCTGGGCAACATGGGAAACCCTGTCTCTACTAAAAAAATACAAAAATTAGCCAGGCAGGTGTGGTGGCACGTGCCTGTTATCCCAGCTACTCTTGAGGCTGAGTCAGGAGAATTGCTTGAACCTGGAAGGTGGAGGTTGCAGTCAGCTGAGATTGCGCCACTGCACTCCAGCCTGGGTGACAGAGCAAGACTCTGTCCCCCACCACAAAAAAAAATTGTTAACCATAATTATGCCAAGGAAGTACATTCCAACTATTGGAGGGTGACAGGCAAAGATGACTCATTTTACTTTAGGCATTCCAGCAGTAATTGAATCTTTACAGAAGCATGTGTGACGTTTGTAAGAAAATAAAATATACATATATATGTATATGTTCCATTGCATTTCATTATTTCACTCTCCTCTCACCTCCTGCCCCTGTCATACCTGAGCTGTGTATACCTGGGGCTTCTGGCGCTGTGCCCGGCAGGTCAGCCGTCTGCTCAGCCACATGCCCCCTCTGGAGGGCAGCTTTCCCTGCATCGCTTCAGACCCTTCCCATCTTCTCTAAATGTGTTGAAATACCTAGCCTGCTGAATGCGCCTCTGTATCATTGGTATTGTGGGATTAGTGCTATTTTATTACTTGTAATAACTTTAATGGGATTGCCAGGAGGAAAGGAATACAGAATCTCGGAAGCCTGGTGATCTCTGTCCCTGCACAGGCAGTAAGTCCCTGCACAGGTGTCAGCCATCCAGCACCTTGTCCTGTCTGAGAATGTAACTGGGCCTAGGATGTTTAGCCACAGTCAAATGGTGGGAGGAATAGGCCCAGCCCTTGACAAAGACCCTCACGCTGAGATGGGTCAGGCCCTCGAAAAACGACAAATCTTCACTTGTAGGGACCACAGGGAAATTCAGTCCAGCAAACTAAATATTTGGAACCCACCTGCCTGGAAAACCGCTGGTATCACAGCCAAGCAGTTGGTGGGGAAATGGAGGGGGTTTCCAATACAAATAGGGTCCCATCAGATAGTGGGACAGAGGAGTGGGGCTTGCAGGATGGATAGTTTCAGGGAGGACATTCTGGGGTCAGGCAGCCTGTGAGAGAGAAGGAAGCTCAAGTTCAGGGGCAGGTAACCACTCCTAGGTAGAGGTATCATGCTTTCACCAAATGTTTGTGGAGCACCTTCCCTGAGGCTGCAGGCCCGGCAGGAGCCAGTGCTCATCACGGTGATGACCTGGCTGGAGCCTGGGGCAGTGCCAGAGTGTGCCTCCTGTCACAGACAGGATGCTATCGGCCACAAATCACAACGATGCCACTTCACCAGTCGTGTGACTTTCTGCTACCTAACTTCTCTGAGCCTCATTGTTCCTGTTTCAAAAATGAAAATAATGAACCCCAGCTCGTGGAGCTGCTGGAGTGTTAAGCGAATAATCCCATGTACTGAGCAGGAACTCGATCGTCCAGCCAGCTCACCTGCTTGCGCTGTGGGCCCCTGAGGTGCTGGGAGGTAGACGGGCTTTCCTGTGGAGTAACTGGTTTCCGAGATTGGCTATGAGTCCTTTGGAGACGACTAGCTCAGACTCCTCAGAGCTCAGCTGGGCCTGAGGGCAGTCTCCGGATTTGATTCAGATTATTTCAAGGAAAGGGAAAAAAAGAGACATCTGAAGCCGTTGAAACTTATCATGTCAGCCAGCGCGGTGGCTCACACCTGTAATCCCAGCACTTTGGGAGGCCGAGGCAGGTGGTCACTAGGTCAGGAGTTCGAGACCAGTCTGGCCAACACAGTGAAACCCTGTCTCTATTAAACATACAAAAATTAGCCGGGTGTGGTGGCACGCACCTGTAGTCCCAGCTACTCGGGAGGCTGAGGCAGGAGAATTGCTTGAACATGGGAAGCAGAGGTTGCAGTGAGCCGAGACGGGGCCATTGCACTCCAGCCTGGGTGACAGAGCAAGACCCTGTCTCAAAAAAAAAGAAAAAAAAAAAGAAACTTATCATGTTAACCTGCCACATACATGGAGTGAGAGAGAAACAACAATCTTCCAGGCTCCCAGGCCTTTCCAACGTTGGCAAATTCCAGCACAAATAGGGAAGGAAAATGCTGAGGGCTGTCTCTTGAAAATGAAGGGTGGATAAATAATAGTGCTCCTTTATCTGGACCCTCTGATCTCAGGATTTCGAAGACTGCTAGACAAGTACCTAGCGGCAGATAAAATTTTTCTCTATTTTCTAGATAGGTAGTTGGAGGCTCAGTTGATAGGCGGGAACAGAGCCAAGAATGCAATGTAGGTCAGATGCTTTAGAGCTGAGAAGGGGTGTCATAGATGCGTGAATGCAGTGGTTTTCAAATTTAAGTGTGTGTCCAAATACATGAGACAGTCTTTCAAAATGCATACTCCTGGGCCCTACCCCAGCAGACTCTGATTCAGGAAATCTGGGCAAGGGCCTTGGATTTTAAACCTTAATGTATGCTTTCAGGTGCTGTGTTTATCATACTCTGAGAAACTCTGGTCTAGGGAGAGTCGGGAGGCTGTGCCTTCTGTTCCGGGCTTGGCCCCAGAGGGACGAGGCACATCTCTGGGTATTTTATCCAAGGATGGAAATCTATAACAATTCTACTATCAAATTTTATCTTCTAGAGGGAAAGGCATGACAGAATACACACTCAAGGGGCTTAGGCACACTCAGTGTTTCTTTCTCTTTTTTATTTTATTTGAGACAGGGTCTCACTTTGTTGCCCAGGCTGGAGTGCAGTGGCATAATCATGGCTCACTGCAGCCGTGATCCTCCCACCTCAGCCTCCCAAGTGACTGGGTCTATGGGTGTGCACCACCATGCCCAGCTAATTTTTTTCTTATTTTTTTTTTTTTAGAGATAGAGTCTTGCTATGTTGCCCAGGCTGGTCTCAAACTCCTGGGCCCAAGCTATCCTTGGCCTCCCCACGTATTGGGATTACAGGTGTGAGACACTGCACCCAGCAAGGACTCTCTATGAGGCCACATTCACAGGTCTCAGGTGCACAGATCTTTTTGGGGGACACCAATTAACCCATCACACCTCCCCCAACTCCCTGTCACTCTAATCATTAGTAACTGCAGTGTCACTGAGGGTCAGTCTCCACTATAGCGTAACCTCACAGGCAGGAACCACATACAAACATAGGTTCTGTAGTGCCCACTGCCTGGAACATATTAGATTCTCAATTTTCTTTTCTTTTCCTTTTTTTGAGACAGAGTTTCTCTCTTGTTGCTTAGGCTAGAGTGTACTGGTGCGATCTCCACTCACTGCAACCTCCGCCTCCCGGGTTCAAGCGATTCTCGTGCCTCGACCTCCCGAGTAGCTGGGATTAAAGGCATGAGCCACCACGCCCAGCTAATTTTTCTGTTATTAGTAGAGACAGGGTTTCTCCATTCTCCATGGTAGTCAGGCTGGTCTCGACCTCTCGACCTCAGGTGATCCGCCGGCCTTGGCCTCCCAAAGTGCTGGGATTACAGGCGTGAGCCACTGTGCCCGGCCAACATACTCAATTTCATTCAATACATTTTGTTTCATTGATCTACTTGTTGGATAATCCAACAGCACTACTGTTTTATTAAGTATTTATGTAGTTTAATAAAATGCATTACTAGCATTAGCAATTATTGGATTTAGTTACTCCTCAAATTGCATAACTGCTTTTACTCCTCAAATTGCATAGCTACCGCGGCATTCTTTAAAAGACACACTGTACTGCATGGTGGCATAAATTGCTCCTCAGTACTCTTGTGTTTAAAAATGTCTTCCACTCTTTCCCACGTGCGAAAGCCCCAGACTTGTGGCGTTGTGGATTCTGGAACTGCGCAAGTCAGGGCTCACTATGAAGCCAGGTTTTAGTCCCTGTGGGGTGGCTTCAGCAGCTGAGGGGACATTGGTGACCATGGCGGTTGTGGTGGGGTCGAGGAGGCTTTGGTGAAGGCCGAGGTCCAGGTGGAGGTGAAGGAAGAGAGGGAGGAAGTGAAGGAGGAGGAAGAGGTGGTGGGGGAGGAGGAGATAGGGGAGGAGGAGGAAGAGGTGATGGAGGATTCCTTTCTGGTGGCCACCGGGGTGGTGGTGGGGTAGAGGAGGAGGAAAGCAGTCTGGGAAGAATGTGACAGTGGATCTGTATGGGCTGAGGTGTCTTCATTATGGAGGAAAGGATCATGCACTAGTCACTGAGAATCTGGTCCCTGGAGAATCAGTTTATGGAGAGGAGAGAGTCCCCACTTCGCCGGGAGATGACAGCATGGAGTCCCAAGCGTGGAACCCCTCCCACATCAAGCCAGGGCCCAGGTGCTCTCCCTCGGGGCTGCCTCAGGCACCACCATCTCCCATGTCTCTGACATCGTAGGCCCAGGTGGTCTAGTCTAGGCCATGGAGTCCTCCCACCGCTCTGGCCGTGCCTCGTTAACTTGACCAAGAAGAGGACCAACATCCTTCCTGTGAGGGAGGGTGCTCGGCAGCAGCACAAGTACCATGTGCTCATGGCCGTGGTGATGTGACTTTTGCTGACGTGGCCCTGCCAGGCCAAACCCGGACTGTGGTCCTGAATGCCCACCCCTTCCTGCCGATTGGAGGACACGGATTTCCACTGAGGCCAATTGCAGGGAGTCCACAGCCCAGCAGAGGCCGTGTTTGTGTGCGATGTGAAAAGGATGGAACAAGAGAACACGAAGCCCCGGAGCAGCTGGCCTGAGAGCCACACCAGAGAGACCAGCTTGTGGTCCTGGGAGTGGACAGGCCACCCGCCAAGGTGAGGAGCTGAAGTTCAGCACATTCCGGATTGCGATGAAGTGTGTTGATAGTGTGGCAAGGGGGCTTTCTTTTTCTTTTCTTATTTATTTTGAAGGGTGAGGGTGGGAGGGGCTGGATTGAGGGACTCACAAGGCGGGTTTTCTATTGAAAAACTCATCTGTCACGAAAACATCTTCCAGGCCAGGCATGGTGGCTCATGCCTGGAATCCCGGCACTTTGGGAGGCTGAGGAAGGAGGATCGCTTAAGGCCAGGAGTTCAGGGCCTCAATTGTTTATAAATTACCCAATACAAGCTATTTTGTTACAGCAGCAGGAACAGACCAAGACAGGACCCATTTGCACTATTTTTCGCTCTTGTCCAAGATATGTTTTCTAGTTATTTATTTATTTATTTATTTATTTATTTATTCAGATGCAGTCTGGCTCTGTCACCCAGGCTGGAGTGCAGTGGTGCGATTTCAGCTCACTGCAGCCTCCACCTCCCGAGTTCAATTGATTCTCCTGCCTCAGCCTCCCGAGTAACTGGGATTACAGGCATACACCACCACGCCTGGCTACTTTTTTTGTGTTTTTGGTAGAGACACGGTTTCGCCATGTTGGCCAGGCTGGTCTCGAACTCCTGACCTGAGGTGATCCACCCTCCTCAGCCTCCCAAAGTGCTGGGATTACAGGCATGAGCCACCTCACCTGGCCTAGTATTTTATTTAGAATGTGTGCATCTATCATAAATAATATTGGTTTCGTGTTTGTGTGCCCGCAGCAAGGTATTTGCCAGATGTGTTGGTGCCACAGTTGTTTTGACATCAAGAAATGAACTGAGGCCAGGCGCGTTGGCTCACGCCTGTAATCCCAGCACTTTGGGAGGCCGAGGCGGGCGGATCACGAGGTCAGGGGATCGAGACCACGGTGAAACCCCGTCTCTACTAAAAATACAAAAAAAAATTAGCCAGGCATGGTGGCGGATGCCTGTGGTCCCAGCTACTCAGGAGGCTGAGGCAGGAGAATGGCCTGAACCTGGGAGGCGGAGCTTGCAGTGAGCCGAGATCGCGCCACTGCACTCCAGCCTGGGCGACAGAGTGAGACTCCGTCTCAAAAAAAAAAAAAAAAAAAAATGAACCAGAAAAGCCTTCTTTCTTTTTCTGTGTGCTGGTGTGGTTGTAAAGCATGGACTATTAGTAATAACCACTTGAGCTGGCTTCACTGAGTGTGTGCAGACAGCCCATAAAAAGAACAATTGGAAATACTGCTTAGGGGTGGTATTTTGCACTGGTGGACAGACCATTTTGTTCCCAGATGTTTGCGGAGTGAAACAGATTGTGTCTCTGCCTTCCCATCTGGCGTAGAGGGTCAGCACCGCTGGCCTCATAGCCAGCTTGCCGGGATTTTGCAGGATCCTCCAGCATGCATCCATGCCATCTCCCCTGAGCTGTCTCCTTCAGCAGCACAGCCTGGAAGGAAGAGGAGAATGCAGGGCGGATAGAGATGGGCCTCAATTCAATTCCTCTGAATTGCTTCATTTGCCAGGACTGAAGGAAATGAGCGAGGCCGTGATTCAAAGTCAGCAGCATCTGTGTTTTTGAAGGCCTAGGTTGTATTGTGGAAGTGTAGAGTTTCATTGTTGGCTTTAAAAATAATGTTCACAGAGGCTCTTAAAAAAAAAAGAAGAAGAAGAAGGTTATAAGAGGCAAGGAGATTAGACTCTGAATCTAGTTTTCTTTATCTTTGTCGAAGAGAAGTTTTTATTTGAAAGGTTTTATCACCAGCAGGTTGACAGGCTACTGCAGTCACCAGCTCCATTTAGAACGGGACTGGAAAGTAATAAAAACCTCTTCCTATTTTATAGTTGCACCTGTGCCTGCCAGATGGACTAGACATCGTGAACTGTGGGGTGACTGAAATCAATGGAGAAAGGAATCAGGACTCCAGGTGACTTGTTACAGCCCCTCTCTTTTCAGCTAGAGCCTGACAATCATTCATACTTTAACATATAACATGACAAATGTATATAAGAGAAAGCGAGGAAGTGTCATTTCGTGCAATAAACACTGAACACTGTTCATTTCAATATATGGACATTTTAAACTAAATTACAGAAAGTTTTTTCCCCCTAAATTTCACCTCAGGGATTATGAATTAAATGTCATTCTGACATAGTTTTAAATGACCAGATGAAGATTATCATCAGATTGTCATGTGGCTGGAACAATACTGACATAGAAATAGTTGCTTTTTGACAGGTGGTCCGACAGTTTCCTGATTAGACCTACAAATTAGATGTCAGCAAGCCGCCCATACACGCCCTCCCTGGCCCTCAACGAAGAATGCCCTGCTTCTCTGAGATTCCAACTTCTTGAAGCTTAGAGACTTTAATAGTGAGTAACCAAGGGCCTCTGACAAAGACTCTTCTATTGTCTAACATTATAGCGCCCATGTGATATAGATCCATCTTTAGTTGCAAATGAGACTATAAGGTGAAGTGAATATTCTTAATTTTTTAATACTGTACCAATGAAGGAACAGAGTAACAAAGTCTTGTGAATTAAAAAAAGAAAAAAATCCAGCTAGGTGCAGTGACTCACGCCTCTAATCCCAGCACTTCAGAAGGCCAAGGTGCGCGAATCACCTGAGGTCAGGAGTTCGAGACCAGCCTGGCCAACATGGTGAAACCTCGTCTCTACTAAAAATACAAAAATTAGCAAGGTGTGGTGGTGCACGTACCTGTAATCCCAGCTACTCAGGAGGCTGAGGCAGGAGAATCGCTTGAACCCGGGAGGCAGAGGTTGCAGTGAGCCGAGATCGTGCCATTGCGGTGCAGCCTGGGCAACAAGAACAAAATTCCATCTAAAAATAAATAAATTGTTTAAAAAAAAATCCCTCTCTCAGTCGATCGACAACACATAAGTGAGTAATGCATTGTCTAGGCAAACTGCACCCTGGAAAGGTTCTGTTTTGGCTGAAGGACAGCTAGCAACCAGCCATGAGAAGGCGTGCACACACGGACAGCAGCTGCCTCGCAAAGACTGATGAACAGGGCAATGAAGATTTCCATGGGTTCGCGAATTCCAGAAGTATTCATGGAAAACTCCTCTGTGTCGGGCACTCTTCTAGGTGCTAGGGATACAGCACAGAACAGAACAGACACAAATGCCTGCTCTCCCGGAGGCTTTGTTCACTGAGGGATACAGACAATAAATCAGTAAGAATGTGGGGTGTTAGACAGTGGTCTGTGCTCATCAGGGAAACTAAGGAGGGAAGGGAGGGGGGCTTTAGGGGGTAGAGGTGGCAGTTTTAGCTGAGGTGTCCAGGAAAGGCCTCAAGACAAGGCAACATTTGAATAAAGACCTGCAGGAGATGGTGGGGCAACCATGAGGATATCTCTCAGGGACAAAGACCACCAAGGTTGGGGCATGTCTGGGGTGTTGGAGGAAGTGGGGCAAGAGAACCAAGAGGAGGAGGAAGAAGGGTCAGAGATGCAGCGAGGGTCCAGGTACTGTGGGTCTGCGAGCCTTGTATGGCCTTGGATTCAATTTCAGTAACAGAGGAAGCTCTATTGGAGGGTTTGGAGCTAAGGAATTCCGCGATCTAATCATATTTGAACGGAGTTGCTTGGCTTGAGTTGAGAAGAGACCACAGCAGGCAAAGGTGGAAGCAGGTGACGAGCCAGGAGGATCGTGGGAGCCAGGGAGAGAGTTAGCCGAGGGTGGATTCTGGACACGTTTTGAAGGCGGAACTGACAGAATTTGCTGAAGACTGGAAGTGGGAGTGAGAGAAAAAAGAGAAGTTGAAGATGACTATATAAAATATATCTCTTAAGATATTTTATCATATATATAGATTTTGTCTGAGCAACATGAAGAATAAAGTTATCATTTGCAAAGAAGCCCAGAGGAGCAGGGGTTTTTTGGGAGGGATCGCGGGAGGAGTTGATAGAAATGGCTGTCAGGCCAGGTGTGGTGGCTCACGCCTGTAATCCCAACACTTTGGGAGGCCAAGGCAGGAGGATCACTTGAGGCCAGGAGTTGGAGACTAGACTGGGCAACATACCAAGATGTTTAGCTACAGAAACATTTTTATTAAATTTATACATATATATAATTATATATGTGTGTGTGTGTGTGTGTGTGTGTGTGTGTGTGTATATATATATATATCTTTTTTTGAGACAGAGCTCTGTCACCCAGGTTGGAGTGCAGTGGCACGATCTCAGCTCACTGCAGCCTCTGCCTCCCAGGTTCAAGCGATTCTCCTGCTTCAGCCTCCTGAGTAGCTGGGATTACAGACACGTGCCACCATGCCCAGCTAATTTCTGTATTTTTAGTAGAGACGGGGTTTCACCATGTTGGTCAGGCTGGTTTCGAACTCCTGACCTCAGGTGATCCGCCCGCCTCAGCCTCCCAAAGTACTGGGATTACAGGTGTGAGCCATCGCGCCCAGCCTCAATTTATATATATTTTTAATAGAGACAGGGTTTTGCCATATTGCCCAGGCTGGTCAAAACTCCTGGGCTCAAGTGACCCTCCTGCCTCAACCTCCCAAAGCGCTGGGATTACAGGCATGAGCTGTACCTGGCCTAAATTTTTTAATGTACAAAAATTAAAATAAACTTAGAAATGAATATCAGGAGTTTGGGCACTTTAGGTTTCAGATGAGCGTTAGACAACTGAGTGGAAAGTCGGCAGCCGGGAGTCTGCAGCTGGAGTTCAGGGGGAGGCCTGGGATGGAGGTGTAAATTCCAGTCATCAGCGTGGAGATGGTATTCAAAGCGATCAGACCAATGACATCAATGAGGTAATCAAGGAATCTGTAGCCCTTGCTTGGGGAACGATAAAGGGAGGGGCAGAAGAGTGAAGGAGACCAAGAAAGGGGCTGCCGGGAGAGTCAGGCGGCGGCAGGCGAGTGTGGTGTCCTGGGGCCGAGCTTCTTCCAGGAGGAGAGGGAGACAGCAGGTCGGATGCCTGCGCAAAGTCAGGGAGAACCAGGCCTGGAAATTGGCCATCAGACTCAACAACACGGAGGACCTTGCTGACCCCAAGTAGACCAGATGAACGGATGCATAAACCCAAATAGAGGGCAGAGGAAAGGCTCCTGTGCCCCGGGCTGTTGTCCTGGATGTGTCCGTCACAGCCCCTGCCGCGCTCAGCCTGCTCCTGAAACACAGCTGCACCTGCGCAGAACCAGGCTGCTGCTGGCACCTGGTGTCTTATTCTGGGCCACGTGGTAGGCTTGTCATCGGCCCTGCAGGGGCCTGACCTGGAGAGCTCTGCCTTGTCCACCAGGTCACCTCTCTGAAATACGCAGAGGCAGGCTGGCAGCGGTGGAACCTGACTTTGCTGAGAGGCTGCGCAGGAAAGGCGATGAGGCAGGAGGGCTACGAGGGATCACTGCAGGATGAGGCTTCCCTTGGGCAGGAGACATAGACAATGACAAGCAGATGACAGTACAGCGGCTGCCTGGGGGCAGGAGAACTGAGAAGCATCACAAGAAAAAGAGATAGAGACAGTGGCGGAGTCAGGTGAATGGTGGGGCACTAGAGTCATTAGTTTCCAGAACCACCCACCAGCCCCAGACCCTCCAGGCTCCTCCAGATCCTTGCTCACCCATCACGGTGTGTCTGCACATGAAAGCCCCAGTACTTGAGCTAAACTCGAGGGCAAGAAAAACACCCCAACGCCACAGCGGCCACTATTTTACTAATGCAGAGCATGAGCTGGGCACGATGCGGTCACAGGGTCTTGAATTAAAGCAAAAGGACATAAACAAAACAGTGAATATCACAGGAAGACCTAGGATCACGGAGAAGGTGTCAGGATTGATTTACAGTGTGATAACTAAACGCGGGTCTTCCTGGTTGTCTAACAGGAAAGGCGTCAGTGTCTTACTGACTTCTTCCTTCCTGGCTTGACTGATCATGGGATGAAGTGAGGAGAATGACGGGAAGGCCAGCTGTTCATAGTGACGCTATGGAATGATGTTTTGCTCTTTTAGAGAGACCAGGTAGATGTCACCCTCAAACTGTGAGCACCGAGTGAGCCGGGGCCTTGGATTCCTGAGGTTTAGTGACCAGGTAGCAGGCAATTTTTTTTTTTTTTTGAGGTGGCTTTTCGCTCTTGTCGCCCAGGCTGGTATACAATGCCGCGATCTCGGCTCACCACAACCTCTGCCTCCCGGGTTCAAGGGATTCTCCTGCCTCCGCCTCCCAAGTAGCCGGCACCTGCCACCACGCCCAACTAATTTTGTGTTTTTAGTAAAGACAGGATTTCTCCATGTTGGCCAGGCTGGTCTTGAACTCCCGACCTCAGGTGATCCGCCCACCTTGGCCTCCCAAAGTGCTGGGATTACAAGCATGAGCCACCGTGCCCGGCCTACAGGCATTTTTTAAAGATATTCTGGTGTCACTAGATCTTTGACTGGGGTTGTTATTTTTGTTGAGGTCAGTGGTAAAATGTGTTTTTTTACACACTTCCTGTACAAAATTCAGAATTTGTTATCGTTCTGAGCACTGGGGTCAGCTATCAGGAAGATTCTACAAGGGATCAGGAAACTTCCCAAACGAAAGCATCTTAGTTTTCTAGGATCTCTGTTTTAGGGCACTAAAGGAAGAAGTTTCTAGATCCATTCCTGAACCATGGACATTAAAAAAATATTAACTGTAGCCCCTAGATTTTTGTTTTGTGCTATGTGTGCTGAGTTCAATACTCACTATAATGATGTTTATCTTTATTTTATTTTAATTTTTTTTGAGAGAGTCTCGCTGTGTTGCCCAGGCTGGAGTACAGTGGCACAATCTCGGCTCACTGCAACCTCTACCTCCCAGGTTCAAGTGGTTCTCCTGCCTCAGCCTCCCAGGTAGCTGGGATTACAGGCACGTGCCACCACACCCGTATTTTTAGTAGAGACTGGGTTTTACCATCTTAGCCAGGCTGGTCTTGAACTCCTGGCCTCAGGTGATCCACCCGCTTCGGCCTCCCAAAGTGCTCGGATTACAGGGGTGAGCCACTGCACATGGCCTTACAATGATGTTTATTGAACACCTGCTTTGTACCAGGTTGTATAACAATAATGGGAATGCCACATGAGTCAACGATAATGCTATTCCAGTCATGGAGTGTGGCCTAGAAACTCAGTGCCTCACAGTACAATTCGAGGCACTCACATGCTCCGCAATAAAACCACCCAGGAATTATTCTGGCTTACAGCCTATTAACTTTTACCATTGCCTTAATACAAAGAGAATTTTATTACCAATTTACCCAGAGGGTTAAATTAATATTTACAAGAGTCACGGAGGCTGGGAAGTATTGTGAAATTTCTAGATGTGCCTTGTCAATGCTGGATTTTTCTTTGTCATCTTGCGGTCTCTCAGTGGTGTTAAATTAACCTAAACTTGGCCCGAGGATGCCTCCGCACTCGAGCCCTGACATAACAAACTGCCGCCTGGCTTAGTTCAGAAACTAACTGAAAACCTAACGTAGGAGCATACTTCTGTAACTAACAGCTGAGCCTCCACTCATTACAGCAGCTGAGCTTCAGTCAACCATGGGTGGTCAACTGAGTCAACTTAGGCAAATGCCCAGCTGCAACCATTCAGCGCTAGGCTGCCCTTCCATTTTCTATCCTCTGCTACTGCCTGACCACCGTGCTGTCTGGCCACAGTGCTTTGAACCTATTCCAGTACAGGGGCTGCCTGATTCTGGAATCACAAATAAATAATCAATTAAGGTTTTCTTTTTTTTTTTTTTTTTTTTGGAGACAGAGTCTCGTTCTGTTGCCCAGGGTGGAGTGCAGTGACACGATCTCGGCTCACTGCAACCTCTGCTTCCCAGGTTCAAGCGATTCTCCTGCCTCAGCCTCTTGAGTAGCTGGGATTACACATGCACGCCACCACACCCGGCTATTTTTTTGTATTTTTAATAGACATGGTTTCAACATGTTGGCTAAGCTGGTCACGAACTCCTGACCTCAAGTGATCTGCCTGCCTCGGCCTCCCAAAGTGCTGGGATTACAGGCATGGGCCACCATGCCCGACCACAATTAAGATCTTTAAACTAAATTTGTTGTCATTTTTTGACCATTGGGACAAAAAATACTTATTACATTTCCCTTATTGAAATAGAATCAATGGGAACCCCTCCTGGGGCCACCGTCTCCCCAAAGCCTCTGCAGGCAGCTGGTCTGCTTAGCTGGGTGTCTTCCTCTTGGGCTGGGAAAGCTCTTCAGAGGTGACTGAGTGGGGCCAGTTCTGTTTTGCCCACACTCTGTGGCCAAGCTGGGAATCAGTCCCTTTAGGAGAGGCAGAGAATGGGGTGGAGACCCGGGCTTCGGAGCCCCTCTGGCACTGCAGAGATAGGGTCCAGGGATGAAGGCGCAGGGTCTTGTTCTGTGTCTTCTCAGCTGTGTGAACTTGGGCATAAGCTGAACATGTTACTGAGCCTCAGTTTCCTCATCTGTAAAAATGAAAAGGCCAAGTCAGAGGGTTGTACAAGCACTGATGAGACGATGCAGCTCATGCCACACGTTCATGAAACGCCAGCTTTTTCTCTGCGAGGCTCAGCCCTCTCTCCCCTGTGGCAGTGATCAGTGAGGAGGGGCCAGGGCTGCCCCAAGCAGGAGGTCCAGGAAGCCAGTGGGGTGGTATGGAAGAGAAGGAAGGTGGGATAGAGACAGGTCGAGAGGCCCCAAGGGATGGTTCCACAGCCCCCACTCTCGGCAAGTGGCAGGAGGCTGGGAGTAGATGACAGAGATGGTTGGCCCGGTCACTCCCCATGGAAGAATGCAAGCTTGAGGCCAGAAAGAGGCATGGGCTCTGAGTTTCTGTCGCGCCTGGGTATCAGGCTAGCACGAAGCTATTTTGTGACGTAGGGAATTTCAGGCATTGGCATTTCCCTGCTCACGTTATTATCTGAAATATAATTACCTCGTCTGACAAGTGTTTTTCAGAATGTGTCCACTGAATATCCTGTGACCTCTTTTGATCCCAGGGAGGTAGGCAGGGAAGGTGGGATCCCCTGCCTCCACCCCATCTCCCATCAGAGGAGAAAAACCCAAGATAGTGAACGTCAAGGTCCCAGTGCAGAGGCCGAGCACAGAGCCACCGAGGGCTGAAGGACAGCCCAGACCTCCTGACCCGATGCAATTCTCTCCCCTGGAGTACAGTTCTCTCTCCTGTGGTTGAAAGATCAAATCTGCAGTGAGGGCTCACCAAGGGCAGGTCACTTACACAGCACAGTTTGTTTGAACTGATTTATCTCTGTAGATATTGAAAACACACACACACACACACACACACACACACACAGCAGAAACTCACATAGCAAAGGCTTAGGCAGGTCCCCTGAGTGAGCTCTGAGCAAGCTGCTCTCTGCTATCCAGAGCCTACATCCAGACCAGTAGGGCACCAATGGGCAGGTAGGTCCATACAACAAAAGGAACAGCTGAGTAGGCCGCAGCACAGCAATAATACAGCACTAATGACAATAGTTTATGTGTCCCCAATCCAGCCTCTTACATCGATGACAATTCCCAGTTACTGAGGATTTGCCTTGTACATGTGCTATGGTTTTACAGGGTGATTCACTGAGGAATTAATCTGTGTTTTCCACGTTGTCGTTCTTGCTGTTGTCTTTGTTTCTCCTTTGCCATCCCAAGTACTGGGCTCTCCAGCCTCATGTTGGGGATTGTGTGAAATCTCTCCTTCAGGGCACAAGACAGAGCCCTTGGAGGGCAAGAGGTGGAGGGTGCAGAGTGCCAGAGTCTTGGAGACAGCTCCTAAGGCTGGCAGCGGAATAGATGTGTGCGTGCGTGTGTGTCCGTGTGTGTGCGTGTGTGTGTGTGTATTCTGCTAGTAATAAAGACAAGCCCTGCCCCACCAGCCCACACTCAGCCCCCTCAGGAAGGAGGAAGTAACCCAGAGGGCTTGGTTGGGAGGGGGCCCTGGGAGGCCTGGCCCTGCCCTCCATGGCTGTCAGTCTTAGGGACTGGGCTGGGCCGGGGTTTGGCATTACCCTGATGGACTAGAGCTAAAGGCCCAGCACTGGCTTTCTGGACACGACAGGGTTACCAACGACTCTCATGTGATCCTAGAGACAAGAAGGACACCTCAAATTCAACGGATTGAATTTCTCACCATACAGGCAAGCTGATTTAATATGATTTGGGAACATTCTGAATGTGGCACTTTTTTTAATACTCAAGTCTATGAGTAAAATTGATCACCGTTAAATGTATATCACCTCAATAAAAACTCACAACAGTCTTATGAAGTGGGTGTCATTGACATCCCCATTTAGCAGAGGAGGTTGAGCCTCAGAGGGTTAAGTAACTTGATCGCTCACAGCAGAACTTTCAACGCAACCCCCCTGCTTGGGAAGGCCACCTTCCCTGCATCATCGTCTTTGGCTAATAATTGGTTCGGAGTTTTCATTCTTGAATTTGGTGAAACCTTTATTCTGACATGGTTTCTCCTGAATTCCTTTAGGAGAAATTGAATTCATGGTCTAGCACCCACTGTATCGCCTCACTTGGTCACAGCACCTGGATGCATGGCTGTCTGGGGGAGTGGGGGACGGTGGGCACCGAGGCCTGAAGAAGACCAGGGCCCATGGTGCCTACTGGCTCCCCGCCCCAAACACCCTCCTCACCTGGGCCCCCTTTGGTCCCGTGCTGAGCTTCCTGGCATCTCCCCCCCAGAGGCAGAAGCTGTTTCCCTCCCTGACAGGAGGGCACAGAAGGGCACTAAAGGTGTCACTCATCACGTACCCCCAAGTCTCTTCCTCTCAGCTGTGCAGGGAAGGGCAGATCACGCTCAGTGTTATTTAAAAACTCAAAAAAAAAAAGAAAAGAAAAGAAAGGGAGAGAAAAAAATGAAAGAAAGAAAGAAAAAGAAAGGAAGGAAAGGGAAGGAAGGAAAAAGGCAGGAAGGAAAGAAAGAGAAAGAGAGAGAGGAAGGAAGGGAAAGAAGGAAGAAGAGAAAGAAGAAAAGAAAGAAAAAAAGGAGAGGAAGAAAGAAGAAAGAGAAAGAAAGAGGAAAGGAAGGAAGGAAAGAATGAAAGAAAAGAAAGAAAGGAAGGAAGGAAAGGAAAGAAGGAAGAGGAGAAAGAAGAAAGAAAGAAGGAAGAAAGAAAAAAGAGAGAAAGCAAGAAAGAGAAGGAAGAAAGAAAAAGAGAAAGCAAGAAGAAAGAAAAAGAGAAAGCAAGAGGAAAAGAAAGGAAGAACGAAAAGAAAGAAAGGAAAGAGAAAAAGAAAAGAAAAGAAAGAGAAAGAGATCCATAAGAGAGTTCTTTGTAACAGTTTGGTAACCTGAACAGAAAAACCTTTGATGAATTCCCTGAGAGAGCTTCAATCTTTCTCCTGTCTCTCTTGGAGGGATGGCAGCAGGTCAGCCCTGAAACAAGATGATCCGCATCAATAAAGCCCTGGTCCTGGAGGAAGGAAGTGGGCTCTGGTTTCCCCGGTGGCTATAAAAAATCGGGGCTTTGTTTCTCAGGACTGCTCTTCCAGTAGCTGTAAAGCACGGTGCTTTGCTTTGGCAGGACAAGCGCCTTCTGAAGACAAAGGGTTGTTTTACAGGCGCCGCGCTGCGCCCCGCCACCCCGAGCCCCTCCGAGCTCGCCCGCGATTCCGCCCCGAGGCCACTGGGTGGCGCCCGAGGAGCCGAGATTGCGGTTGAGGACGTCGCTTGCCGCTTCTGTGGGGCCCGACTGGGCACAGCGGTCACAGAGGTGACGCGGAAGGAGACTGCGCGGAAGGGGCGCGGGCCAGCCCCTCCACAACCACTTGCAGCGTGGATAGGCCAGGTTTGCTCTCTTTTACATAAAGAAAGAATAGAGCACATCTTTTTTTTTTTCTTTTTTATTTATTATTATTATACTTTAAGTTCTACGGTACATGTGCACAACGTGCAGGTTTGTTACATATGTATACATGTGGCATGTTGGTGTGCTGCACCCATTAACTCCTCATTTACATTAGGTATATCTCCTAATGCTGTCCCTCCCCCTCCCCCCTCCCCCCACCCCTCGCCAGTCCCCGGTGTGTGATGTCCCCCTTCCTGTGTCCAAGTGTTCTCATTGTTCAATTCCCACCTATAAGTGAGAACATGCGGTGTTTGGTTTTCTGTCCTTGCGAGTCTCGCTCTGTCGCCCAGGCTGGACTGCAGTGGTGCGATCTCGTCTCACTGCAAGCTCCGCCTCCCGGGTTCACGCCATTCTCCTGCCTCAGCCTCCCGAGTAGCTGGGACTACAGGCGCCCGCAACCACGCCCGGCTAATTTTTTTGTGTTTTTTTAGTAGAGACGGGGTTTCACCGCGTTAGCCAGGATGGTCTCGATCTCCTGACCTCGTGATCCACCCGCCTCGGCCTCACAAAGTGCTGGGATTACAGGCGTGAGCCACCGCGCCCGGCCTCCTTTTTATTTTTTTAACTGCCCCTTGAGGAGCAGGGCTACCCCATAGGCAGTGTGCCCTGGGTAGCCAAAAGCTACCCTTTATTTTTATTTTATTTATTTATTTATTTATTTTTTTGAGATGGAGTCTCACTCTGTCGCCCAGGCTGGACTGCAGTGGTGCGATCTCGGCTCACTGCAAGCTGCCCCTCCTGGGTTCACGCCATTCTCCTGCCTCAGCCTCCCGAGTAGCTGGAACTACAGGCGCCCGCCACCACACCTGGCTAATTTTTTATATTTTTTAGTAGAGACGGGGTTTCACCGTGTTAGCCAGGATGGTCTCAATCTCCTGACCTCGTGATCTGCCCACCTCGGCCTCCCAGAGTGCTGGGATTACAGGCGTGAGCCACCGCGCCCGGCCTTTATTTTATTTTTTGAGACAGAGTCTCGCTCTGTTGCCCAGGATGAAGTGCAGTAGTGCGATCTTGGCTCACTGCAACCTCCACCTCCTGGATACAAGTGATCCTCCCACCTCTTCCTCCCAAAGTTCTGGGATTACAGGTATGAGCCATCGTGCCTGGCCTACATAAAATTATTTTAAAATATTTTATAAAATTACCCTCAGATGATGTGTATAAGGTGTATATGAAACATAAATGAATTAGACTTTGATCCCATCCCCAAGATATCTCATTATGTATATGCAAATATTTAAAAATCCAAAAAACATCCAAAATTCAAAACACTTCTCGCCCAAGGCATTCTAGATAAGGGGTAATCAACCTGTTTTTGGAAAATGCTATTTTTATTGGTCTGTAGAAGACCATCTGAGTTAAGAGTTAGAGCTCAGCTGCAGGCACATGTTGCTTCCAGGCCCGTGGCCTGGCGAAGGCTTGCTGCCCCACAGCCCCTCCTGCACGCGGGCACGGAAGGCGCTAACACAGTCCTTTGATTAGGCACTTCCTTCCTTGCTTGGCTCCCTGCACCCCGTGGGTCCCTTCAGCCCCCAGCATGTCCACGGTTGCTCAGGGACAGCTCCTGCATTCTGGACCAGGAGACGGTCCAGGGACCAGGCCTTAGGGTCAGCCCCTCCTCTCAGCTGTTCTCTTGAATAAACTTGCTTAGCAACTTCATTCTTTTTTTTTTTTTTTTTTTTTGAGACAAAGTCTCGCCCTTTGCCCAGGCTGGAGTGCAATGGCACAATCTCGGCTCACTGCAACCTCCGCCTCCCCGGTTCAAGCGATTCTCCTGCCTCAGTCTCCCAAGTAGCTGGGATTACAGGCGCCCGCCACCACGCCCAGCTAATTTTTTCTATTTTTAGTAGAGACGGGGTTTCACTATGTTGGCCAGGCTGGTCTCAAACTCCTGACCTTGTGATCCGCCCGCCTCAGCCTCCCAAAGTGCTGGGATTACAGGCGTGAGCCACCGCACCTGGCCAGCAACTTCATTCTTAAAAACCAAACTATCCTAGAAACTAGAGATCTTCCCTAGCCCTCCACCTCCCCCTTGTCTGCTTCATACCTTTTCCCTTCCCTTCTCCACAAGCTTTAGGATGGGCTTGCCTGCGAGCACCCACCGGCTCTACCTCCTCCCTCCTACTCACTCTAAGCCACCCCAAGTTAGTTTCTGTCCCTTCTGCTCTTGGAACTCATGTCCATTCTCCCATATCTAGATGCTTTAGTCTCTTTTCTCTCATGGCCTCTCTATTCTACGTGATATTAATGGTCCTGATCTCCTTGAACTCCTTCCTGCCTGGGCTCCTGCAGCAATCACATCCCTTGGATTTCCTCCTAGACCCCAAACTCCCCTTGTTCCCATTGTGAATCCATTTTCCACAAAGCAACATGCTAGGTGTGGAAGGGAGCCCGCAAAAGGCCCCACGGCAGCGGGGGTAATGGGCTTGGACTTGGGAGAAAAGGTGACTGGGGCTCCTACTCCCCATTTATATTTACTAAGTTACAGCAACCGTGGTCAAGTCTCCCAAATACTGAGCAGGTTCCCAAGATCCAAGGATACGGGTGAGGAGTAGTGGGAGAGGGGGCTGGAAAGCATGAAAGGTGTGTAAAAGGTGTTCAGCGCTGGGCTTGCCGTTTGGATGCCATCTCACAGGCTTGTATCGTCTTGCCTGTGCGAGGCTGGCCAGTGGCCCCTTCCTGAGGCGTGCTGAGTGGTCAGCATCCCTCTGAGCTGCCTCAGGGAATGCTGGAACCCTGGTGTTACGGTTATCTGTTGCGGAGTAGCAAGCCATCCCAAAGCTTCACTGAAATAGCAGATCATCAGATCTGCAGCTGGGACACAGAGGGAAAGCTCATATGAGCTCCACATGGCATTGACTGGGCCCCAGGGCAGCTGCACTGGGGGCTGGAGGATCCATTTACAGGATGGGTCTTGCACATGGCTGGAAAATCAGAGTTGGCTGTTGGCTGGGAGCTCAAGCTAGGCTGAGGGCCAAGGGCCTTGGTCCCTGTCCCCGAGGGCTTTTCTATGATCTGGTTGGCTTTTCTCAGTCTAAGCCTTCTCAGGCTGGGGCTGGGTGGGAACACACACTAGAGTTGAGCCCAGAAGGTTCTGAGCATGGCTTATACCTTCTTTTCTTTCTCCATCCCAGCTTTAAGATGACTTCCCTTTGGACGTGGCCAAGCTTGCAGAGGAAAGAGAGGCTGTTAGAAATTTGATTCATTGCCTCTGCCAGGAGGGTGGACAGGAGGGTAGAAAGACGAAATGCCTGAACTTCAAGGAGTTTTTCAGCAGTCTGACACTTGCATTTGGGGGCAAGAGAATTCTCTGAGTGAAGGGAAGAGCGATGAGGGGCAGACTGAGCTCCTGAGTCAGCGTGTCTGAGCGCCCGCCCAGCTGCCTGCTTCCCAAGCACAGTTTCGACATCCTGCTGCCTCTGTCGTCCTCATGGGTACATTCTTAGTACTGGGCTGATTTTAAGCTTCTCTTTCTAGTTATTTTATTGTGTTTCAAAAGTAATGGAAATTCAGCCGGGTGCAGTGGCTCATGCCTGTAATTCCTGTACCTTGGGAGGCCGAGGTGGGTGGATCACCTGAGGTCAGGTTCCTCAGGTGAGGAACACCTGAGGTCAGGAGTTCAAGACCAACCTGGCCAACTTAATGAAACCCTGTCTCTTCTAAAAATACAAAAAATTAGCTGGGTGTGATGGCGCGTGCTTGTAGTCCCAGCTACTCGGGAGGCTGAGGCAGGAGAGTCGCTTGAACCTGGGAGGCAGAGGTTGCAGTGAGCTGAGATCACGCCATTGCACTCCAGCCTGGGTGACAGAGCGAGACTCCATCTTGGAAAAAAAAAAAAAAGTAATGGAAATTCATAGTCATGAGGCCCAGCCAGCCCAGGCATTTTCCTCTGAGGGGGAGACAAGGAAGTGAGATGTCACGCCAACTAAGGTGGCCATCTGTGCAGCAAGTCTTCAACTGAAGACACTAATTTACCTTCCAAACGCTGCCAAGCAGCTCTCAGGGTAATGACACCATCTCACTGCAGACCCAGACCAATTCTGAGCCCTTGACCTTGAGTGACACTACCTCCCACGGCTCTTCCATAAAGGGGAGAAAGATGGTGAGTCAGTAGAGTGACTCCTTCCAATTAGGAAGGTGACAAAGGACATAAATACACTAAGCACTGAGGCTGGCAGGGTGAGTGGCTTAGTGCCAACAACCACAGTGGCCTTTTACACCAATTAGGTATATTTCCTGATAGAATCTTCCTTTTGCGAGCATTGAATTAATTTCCTTTTCACACACAGTCCCTCCTGTCCCCATCAGACCAGGGGCTCCACGTGGCCTTCACCCAGGGAGAATTTATCAAGCCCAGTGAATAAGGTGAACATTTGTTTTAAAAGAGTTTCCACCCAGAGGAACACGTGACTCTGGGGATGTCACTAGAAGTCAGCTTGGGGCCCAGGAATTATTCCTTTGGAGATCCCATCTATCTCCATCAAAACCTTGCCAGATGACCTTGTGAAAAGTCTACCAAAGACTGTGATTCAGCTTCCCGGAGAAATCTCAGCCGGGAGGATTTGGGAAATTTTGTGGGCTTTTCAGCTGGACCTTGATGGATGGATAAAACCTACATAAAACCAAGAGGCAGGCACTGGGCAGAGAGGGAGGGTGGTCCCTGCGGGAAGAAGAGCAGGACATGGGGAAGGACACCCTGGCAATGAAGCTGCCCGTGGCAAGGGAAGGATGCCCACACAATTTGGGGTCTGACATCCCTAGGTTCAACTTTCTGCCCCATTTTTAAGACCTTTGGCAAGACCATCTTTGAAGTCAGTGTCAGTATCTAAGGAGGGAAGATTAAAATAACTGCCTCAACAGAGTTGCTGTGTGAGTTAAATGAGAGAACGTATGTATGCAGCTGTCTGAGGAGTGGGAGGGGTTCTGATAAGATATGCCATCAGTAGTAAACACAGTGTATTTTTGCATTTGGAGGCCAGGAGACTAGTCTGATGGGGGCACAGGGCTTGTGTTGGGAAGGAGAGGGAGGTGAGTTTACAGGGTGGTGGCGTGTAACTGTGGAATCACTCTGAATATTGGCACTGGAAGATTTTGGACACACCACTTTCCAGGTGCATAACCTGAACCCCAGATTATGTTGGAGTTCTTATCACATGACCGCTGTATTCATAATATCATCTGAATATCTGCCCTTTTCAAGAATACAAGAGCATTGAGGGCCAGAGACTGTAACTTACACATCTTTGCAAACTCCTATAAAACCCAGCACATCATACTGCTGCTCAGTCACTACTTTTTGAATGGGGGGAGCATGAGCTCATTAAAGAAATGTGGTAACTATACCAATGGCTTAGTACTCTGCAGCTCACCAGTTAATCAGATCAAAACTGGTGATCAAAACGAATCAGATGGCTGAGGTATGAACGTAGGTGAGTCAGGCGGCTGGATGAGATGGCTCCATAAAGAGCTCTGGAATTCGTTCTGTCCTGGGCACAGCCCTTATGAAAGAAACCAAAAGAAAAAGGGACTGGAAAAATATAGATAATATCCAATGCCAGCAAAGGTGTCGTTAAACAGGCACTCAGATGCGATTCTCAGTGCAGGATCAATTGGCACAAACACTTAGGAAGGCAATTTGGCAATGTGTATTCAAAGAGGTATGGCCTTTGAGCCAATCATTCCACACAAGTGGATTTATCTTTATTTTATTTATTTTATTTTATTTTTTGAGACAGGATCTCACCCTGTTGCCCAGGCTGGAGTGCAGTGGCATGATCTCACCTCACTGTGACCTCTGCCTCCCGGGTTCAAGCGATTTTCCTGCCTCAGCATCCCAAGTAGCTGGGACTACAGGTGCCTGCCACCGTGCCTGGCTAATTTTTGTATTTTTAGTAGAGACGGGGTTTCATTATGTTGACCAGGCTGGTCTTGAACTCCTGACCTCATGATCAGCCCACCTCGGCCTCCCAAAGTGCTGGGATTACAGGCTTGAGCTACTGCGCCCGGCCGCATTTATCTTTAATGTCTGAATTAACGGAGGGGCCAAGCAGGGAGGTCACCTGCATGGAAGGGAAGACCCACAGGGAATGTACAGCCAACAACGTCGAGGTAGGTGTACATGTGGGGGCGGGGTAGAGAGGACACAGTAGGGTGGCAGAATCTACATGGTTAGAGGGGGCATCTGTGTAGGGGCAGTGGAGGCAGCAGCCAGAGAAGGGTACCCAAGTCCAAGCAGTAGGATAGTGGGGCAGAGGGAATGGGAGACTGGATACATGGAGGGGGAGGACTCCGTAACTAAATATATTGAGAGTGACGGGAGCCGAGTTTCTCACTACTAGAGAGAACAGTTATAATTATGGAAAACAAGAAAACTAGATTGAAGTCTCCGGTGCAGAACTGAAAATGGGGCAATTGATGTGAACTCACAGTTGCAAACGTTACAGGTGAAAAACGCCCTCCTGGCCGGTCACGGTGGCTCACGCCTGTAATCCCAGCACTTTGCGAGGCCAAGGTGGGTGGATCACTTGAGGCCAGGAGTTCGAGACCAGCCTGGCCAACATGAGGAAATCGCATCTCTACTAAAAATACACACATTTGCCTAGAGTGGTGGCACATGCCTGTAATCTCAGCTGCTTGGGAGGTTGAGGCACGAGAATCGCTTGAACCTGGGAGGTGGAGGTTGCAGTGAGCCAAGATTGTGCCATTGGGCAAAAGAGTGAGAATCCGTCTGGAAGGAAGGAAGGAAGGAAGGAAGGAAGGAAGGAAGGAAGGAAGGAAGGAAATTGAGCACCTTTTCAATTTGCTTATCCTCCATTTTTAGTTCCTTCTCTGAAATGTGTGTTTACATCTTTTGTCATTAAGAGTTTTGGGGATATTAGTAAACTTAGCCATTCATTCCTAATAAGTATCATGAATATTTTCCCAGTTCTTCAGTTTTGGTTTGGTTTTGTTTTTTTGGAGACGGAGTCTCAGTCTGTTGCCCAGGCTGGAATGCAGTTGCACGATCTCGGCTCACTGCAGCCTCTGTCTCCTGGGCTCAGGCCATCCTCCTGTCTCCAGAGTAGCTGGGAATACAGATGTGCACCATCGTGCCTGAGTAATTTTTGTTGTTGTTGTTTAGTAGAGACGAGGACTTGCTATGTTACCCAAACTGGTCTCCAATTCCTGGGCTCAAGCAATCCTCTGTGCTGTACCGCGAGTACTTCCTCTTTTATTTTTTTTAAATAAATAGAGACGGGATCGCACTGTGTTGTCCGGGCTGGTCTTGAATTCCTGGCCTCAGGCGATCCTTTGGGAGGCCGCTGTGGCCTCTCAAAGTGCTAGGATTACAGGCCCGAGCCACCATGCCGGGCCCCAGTTCTTCAGTGGTATATTATTTTATAGCCAACCTAGGTTTAAAATTTTGTATTTGGTCGGGCTTTTCCATTTTTTCCCCTGATGTTTTCTGGGTTTTGTATCGTGCTTACAAACAGCTTTGCCTTCTCATTACTCTACATTGATGCACCCGTATTTTTGTCACGGTTTCTTATTCTCGTGCGCGTGCACAGTGTTCGATGCATTTGGGTGCTGCGTGGAAGGCGTGCCCTGCTCAGCGACAGAGCCTGGGCGCGGGCTTCCTCCAGCACAGGGGGCGAGGGGCTTGCCCTGGAGTCACTTAGCCACCGCCTGAGCTTGGGCCACTTCCTCCACCACTTCTATCTGCATTTCCTCATCTGTTAGATGGGCTAACAGTAGAACCCACCTCAGAGGAGACTCTAGAGGTCATCGTGGTGATCCGCACCAGCTTAGAGCTGAGCCTGGCCCAGAGTACATGCTGAATCTAAACGCTCAGTGTTATGTTGTGTTGTGTTGTGTTGTGTTGTGTTGTGTTGTGTTGTGTTGTGATGTGGTGTTGTGATGTTATGTTATGTTATGTTATGTTATGTTATGTTATGTTATGTTATGTTATGTTATGTTATGTTATGTGTTATCATGCACCATGATAGGTTTGAATCCGGGGGCCAGCGTCCCCGGTCCCGGCGCCTGGCAGCGGGAGGTTCTGGATGGAGCCGCAGCAGGGTTGCCCCGCGGGCTGAGAAGCCCTCCTAGCTCTGCCCGCGGCCGCGGCGGACCCGGGAGACGCCGGACCTGTGGCGGGGTGAGCGGGGGCGGGTTCACCGCAGGCGGGGCGAGGCTCGCTGCCATCGCTAGGAGGCTCTGTTGCCGCTAGGACCTTGCGATCTCCGACTTCGGGGCTTGCGGGCTGGTTCTCAGAATGCAGTCTCTCCCGGGCCCGGCGGCCTCTTCAGCACCGCGGTCCCAGTGGGCTCGGCGTGCTTTTTAAATAAAGGAAATTAAACACACACGCTCTCTCTCTCACACACACACAGAGTGCTTAAATAATTAACAAATCGAGGCTTAAGGACAGACATTTCCTGGCTTTGGCTGGGTGGAAGCCAGCCACTAAGGCGGGGGCTGGTGAGCTGCCGCCCCGGGAGGAGCTAGGGGCGCACGCCACGTGCGGGTGCTCGGGCCTGCACCCCTGCTCGGGAGACCTGGAGCGGAGCGAGCGCCCGGGCTGCCCAGGACCTGGCCGTCTGGCACTTCCTCCGAGTTTAGGGTGCGCTGAGTCAGCTGCGGGGGCCAGCGGGGGCCAGTTAGGGGTCTGCAAACCAGCAGTTCTCGGCCTGTCCTCTTTTGCTGACACTCGCAGCCTCTGCCCACGTGGTCACTGTTGCCCCAAGGTTTCTGCTGTGCCGGCCAGCACTTCCTCTTTTTCTTTCTTTCTTTCTTTTTTTTTAATTTAAATTTTGCCTTTTTGAAAAAAAGAGAGACAGGGTCTCGCTATGTTGGCCAGGCTGGTCTCAAACTCCTGGCCTCAAGTAATCCTCCCACCTGAAGCACTTGGTTTGTTGCAGCGACTGATCGCCTCTCTTCCTCTTCCCCACTTGGTTCGGATGGTAAAGTGCATCCTCCCGAGGCAGCCTGGGCTGGAAGGCTCTCCTTCAGGGGGCCCTGCCCTAATTACCCTAACTACCCTCATGTCTCACGCCTCTCTGGTCCCCGTGGCTGCCAAGCCCCCTCGGAGAACCCAAGGGCGCCTGCAAGTTCTGCCTCCTCCAGAGCCTTCACAGCGGCCTGGGGTCCCCCTCTCCCCTCTTTACTGAGCAGCAAACTTCTCTGCTCTTTCCTGAACGCCCCAGTCTAACATGCTTGGCTCTGAGCCTGCTCTTCATTTCAGTGTCCACTAAGCAGACACACCTATATGTTATGGCTGGAAACAGGCCGCATGTCTTTATTAGAGGGCAGGAGGCGGTCGTTCCTGTCTTCTTTATTAGGTTGTATATGCCCATCTCCATCGCGCCCAGAGCATCCTGCCCCGCTGAATCTTTCTAGTCGACTCTTCTCTCAAAACTCTGTGGCTAAATTCTCTTTAAAACCTGTCCTTGTCCCAGCTACTGGGAAGGCTGAGGCAGGAGATTCACTTGAACTCGGGAGGCAGAGGTTGCAGTGAGCCGAGATGGCGCCACTGCACTCCAGCCTGGCGACAGAGCGAGACTCCGTCTCAAAAAAAAAAAACCCAACAACAACAACAACAACAAAACCTGTCCTTATGCCCTCAGATAGGGTTTCTCACTCTTGCTTCTCTGCACATCCTCTGAGGCCTGTACATTCTATTACTATTATTATACTAAATTGGTAGTTATTGAGTTACTTGTCTGTTCCATTTCCTAGACTCTAAGATCCCACATCTTATTTATTTTATGATCTTAGTAAGATATCTCACTATATGGATCTTTGTATCTCCAGGACCAAATACAGTGCCTGACCTTGGGGTCTCTCTTTTCTTTACATTTAGAATCTTCCTTCCACTTCTTATACCGTACGCCTCCCCTGCCTCACTCATTCTGTTTCTAGATGTCTGGTCATGGGAAAGCCGAGCTTCTTAGGGACTGCCATGGGGAGTGTGAGACTGCAGGGATTCTCCAGCTGTTTGTGTGAGTGTTTGTTTCAAGGGCACAGCACCTAATTGATCATAGGGATCTTGTCCAGCTGTTGAACACGTCTAGAAAAACAAATTAAGGCAGAGCAGACCAGAAGTGCATTCCATCGTCAGCCCCCAGAATAGGTGTAGCACCTGTCATAAATCCCAACATGGCTCCCGGCACTTCCAGATAGTGGCTGTCCTTGTCTCTGTGCATGGGAGTTTCTGTAGCAGGAGAAAGGCATGGCTGGGTGGGAGAACGGGGTGGCATAGTTTCCTCAGACCAATTTTAACATTAGCCTAAGGAAAATATTGTAAATAACTAAGAAGGTGGGATAATGCATTTCAGAACCAAACCAAAACGATTATCTTAATTAATCAAGAAGAATTGTCTGTATGATAGATATGATGAAACCAGTCCAGGAGGAGGAAAGAACTAACTGATCTGGAGGAAGAAAGTTAGGACACAGAAAGTGGAAACAGAAACAGGAAGGAAGTGGGAAGTGTCAGCTTCTTCAATCTGAAGCAATTTACCCAGAACAAATTTAACCTGTGCTTCAAGGAACTTTCAGTGCCAAAGTGGATTTAACTACTTGTTTACAGGTTACCTATGACTTGTCCTTTGAAACCCATCTTCTCATAGGTCTGTGATATGGCATCATGAAAAACCCTCAATCAAGACACTGTGCTAGCCTGCCCATGCAGCTAGCCTGACTCAGAAGGTACTAGAACATTCTATACTTCCTCTATGTGTCATCACAGTTTCCAGTGATAGTTCTCATTTAGATAAAAATCTCCACTTTAAGCTATCAATGTTATTTTCTTAAATACATTTGTATCTTCAAATTCAACATTTTATGAGAATTTTCCTTTTGCTATGAAACTCAAATAGCATTCAAAATAACTGAAAACAGGCCGGGCGCACTGGCTCACACCTGTAATCCCAGCACTTTGGGAGGCTGAGCGGGGATGGATCACTTGAGGTCAGGAGTTTGAGACCAGCCTGGCCAACATGGTGAAACTCCATCTCTACTAAAAATACAAAAAAAGTAGCTGGGTGCTTGCAATCCCAGCTACTCGGGAGGCTGGGGCAGGAAAATTGCTTGAACCTGGGAGGTGGAGGTTGCAGTGAGCCGAAATCGCACTACTGCACTCCAGCCTGGGCGACAGAGTGAGACTCCGTCTCCAAAAAATAAAAGAAAATAAGTAAAAACAAACAAAACAAAATCAAACACCTGCCCCTTACTACAGAGCTTGCTACCTGGGAACTCATAAAATATGTTACCAGACTAGAGATGTGTTTGTTTGTTTGTACCATGTTTTGTTTTGATTTTTGCATGGATTTCCAAATTAAAAATTTTGGACATTTCTCATAAACATCAGGATGTCTGACTTCTCTTGAAAAATCGGAAGATCTTGCGTCACTGCACCCCCAGCCTGAATGGCAAAAATTGGCAGGTGCGGGCTGAGTGGCTGCTGCCCCCCGAAGCTTATCTTCAGTTTACAGGCTCTACTGGTCCTGTTGCCTATACTGCCTGTTCATTCATTTATGTAACTGGCCTGTTGCTTATCGTTGGGAGATTTTATTCAGCCAGTAATTCTCTAGCTATTTTTTTTGCCAGGTAAAAATATCCTTATGTAAATGCTTTATTTAATTGTGGATTATAAAAGAGAACATGGGTTAAGGAAAAACAAAGGTGAAACCAGGTGCTGCTACAGTTAAAATTAAATCTCTAACAGGATCTCCTTTTCAAAGCTGCATGCCTATTAATTTGCATACTCATGCTATATACATGTTCTCTCTCCTATGTTTCACCACTGTATTAATGTACTGGAATATGAATTTTTGATGAACTATAATATTCCTACATGCAAATCTGGAGGGTCGAAGTTAGGAAAAGGAACTTTCAAATTTGAAAATAAAAATTTGAGCATCGTCTATGCTTTTGAAAATTCCATCTTTATGGCCAAGAGCTATGTTTGTATTGTTGTATTGAAATATATCTTGGTTTTGTGAACGAGGACAGCATTAGAGTTCCACTATGGAATTCTCCATGTGGCACTTTCTCCTTCCTAAGGTGCTTTGTAAGGGAGCAGGGAGAATAAAGACATTTTGAAAGTCTTAGTTATTCACGGCCTTGCTCCCAAGCCAAGAATCCAAGAGACCCTGAAATTTCACATCAGCCACTTGGAATACGAACCCTAAATCTCCCTCTTACCTTGGAGAACAGTAGTTTTGCTATCTTGTACCACTGCCAAGGCAGGACTGAGCCACGTTGAAATACAACCCCAGGATTGTAGCATTTCCCCGGGGGGATACCTGAAGAAGCCCAGGCAGAAGAATAAACATGTTATAGGGTAGGGCTTGTTTTAGACAAGATCAGGGGAGGAATGCTAGCAAGATTTCTTAGTTTTCATTAATTATTTGGGGGTTCAAGGAGACCTTTTTTCCGGTCTTTTTCCATTGCTTCGCATTGGCTCAAGAGACAGGCCAGGTAGGAGTTTATTAGGACTTGGTGAACCATACCAGGTGAGCTCATGAAGCGTCAGCGGGAAGTCCTGCAATGCAGTGCGTTTGGATGTCACAAATAAAGACCCACAACATGTCCATAAGAACAACGAGAAGTGAGAGTTTCCTGATCCTGAGTTCTCCCCAGCCTTGCGCCCCCGGAGTCGGCTCAGAGGAGAGATTGACTGCCATGAGGGTGAGGGCAGTTGCTGTAAACCTTTGACGCAGGGCCAGTCCTGCACCGAGGCAGCTCTCCCGCTGGCCTGTGGGGAGTGGGTTTTTCCTCCAGTCCCAGCACAGCTGCCCCTCGGTAGACCCGGCTCTGGGCCACCTTGAAAGGAGAGCCATAATTACGGCTGTTTATTGAGAGCTGCCTCTCTGCCCAGGTGCTGTCCTGAGGACTTTGGTCCTCACCCCTAAGAGAGGGGTACTACTTTAATTGACAATCCATAGGTGAGGAAACAGAGGCACAGAGAGGGTAAGTGACCTGCCCAAGGTCATGCAGGTCTTACATGGAGGAGCCGGGATCCCAAACCATTCCAGGGAGCCTGGAATCCCAGATGGGTGGCAGGGATGGCAAGGCCTGGCTGAAGAGTATGGACAGGGAAGCCAGTGTTGGCAAAGGTCTGATGCAGTGAATAGGAGGGAGCTGGGCTTCCAAATGGGAGCTGGGCAGTTGATACAGGATCTAGGTTCCGATTGCAGAATTAAGGCCAGACTTGGGGAAGCACCACACAGGGGTTGATTATGTGCTCAGTTTTTCTCTTAGGTGAATTGTCTGCTCATATGCTCTGTCCATTTTCTTGCTGGGGTTTGCTGCCCCTCTTAACAACTTGTCCACTGTCTACTCCCTCAGGGCAGGTGCTTTTGCCTATATTGTCTGCTGTTGCACACCCAGCACATAGCAAGTACCTGGCATATAGTAGGTGCTCAAGAAATATTTGCCGAGGCCAGGCACAGTGGCTCACGCCTGTGATCCCAGCACTTTTGGAGGCCAAGGCAGGCGGATCAGGAGGTCAGGAGTTTGAGACCGACCTGGCCAGCATGGTGAAACCCCTTCTCCACTAAAAATACAAAAAATTAGCTCGGCATGGTGGCACTTGCCTGTAGTCCCAGTTACTCGGGAGGCTGAGGCAGGAGAATTGCTTGAACCTGGCAGGCGGAGGTTGCAGTGAGCCGAGATCACGCCACTGCCACTGCACTCCAACCTGGGTGACAGAGCGAGACTCTGTCTCAAAAAAAAAAAAAAAAAAAAAAAAGGAAAAAAAGAAATATTTGCCAAATGAAAGAAGAAACATTAACTCCTTGTCTGTCATTTTCTAGCTTATTGTGTTTTAAATTATTTTTTATGTGCCTACGTTTTACATTTTTATGTGGTCAAATTATCTTTTTCTTTGTACTTTCAATGTTTTCAAAGTTCTTTCCCAGCCATAGGTCATATAAGTATTTAGCTATTTTTTCCCCCTAGTTTTCTTATTGTGACCTTTTTTTTTTTTTACATTTACTGCCTTACTTTACCTGGAAAAAAATGGGCCTTCAATTTTTTTTGTATCACTATTTATTTAATAATTCACCCTTCCTTCCATTGGTTTGTCTGTTCACTCTTGTGCAAGTATCACATCCTATGTGTGCACATGTGTTTAATATATAATATGTATTTAAATATGTTTCAGTACACATCTGCCCTCATTTACAAAATTGGATTTGTTATTATGTGTTCCGACTCTAGAATTCAACCTAAAATATCAATTTAGGAATCATTATTATTTTACAATATTCACCTGAAGACAAGACTAGTAAATTGGTCAAATTTTTGACCGATTTTCTTGGGTTTCCCAGGTAGACTGCAAATAATGACAGATGTGCTGCTTGCTTTCCAAGGGTTCTAAAGCCCAGATCTGTCAGATCAAAAGCCTGTGCTCCTAACCACCACACAGAATTGCACTCTGGCGTGTGGTCTGGACCTAGAAGTGTTGTAACTGTGTGATCCTGGGGAAGTCACTTCCTGTTTTGAAAATGACAGAGTTTCATCAGTTTCTCTGACATGAATGATTGAAAAATGAACTTGGATACTCAGTGTAGCCCAGACTTACCTGATTCTGGGATTATCCCTAGAACCCAGCATCTCTTCCAAAGTCATATGCATCCGTGCAATATGGGAGGATGTGAAACTAAAAGGTGCTAGAGATGGTGCTGGCTGCACTCGCGTGTATGGACCCACACCTAGTTCCCCAACTTTTGAGCTGCATGAGGACCCAGTCATACCTCAAAGATACAACTGAGAGCCAACTTACTGAATCCTGTGTTCTCTGCTTCAAGCCCTGCAATCCCAGTTATACAGGTGATCTCTTCTTGTTATGATCTTTTTTAGGATTTGACTTTTGAAGCCTTATTTATTTATTTCTATTTAAAATCCCAGCCTCTTAAAAATACCCCAGATGTTGGCTTGTTCCCACACACCCCACATCTTGTGAGGTGCTCTCCATCTTACAGACAGAGAACACCAAGATAGAGAGAGGCTGGGCGTCCTGCGCCAGCCAAAGCTGTAACTAAGTGGGACTAGAAGGCAGGAGTCTTGACCGAGAATCAAGTGGCCAACCATGGAGCGCTGCTCTTCCCAGCTGCCATCATGGTGTAGCCTGGAGAAGTAACGGTGGGATAAGAGTGTAGTGTGCACATGCAAGTATGATTGGATACGAGTCCCCTCCTATCAATGCCTACGTTACAGAGAAAAGGAAGTGCAAGGTTGCTGACTGTCCAATAGCCAACTATGAGCAGGAAAGCCAGGTCAATCTGCAAAGGAAAACAATTACTTCAACAGTTAAGAGTTCAATAGATGACACTAATGTCACAGGCGGGACTAGCTGGGGCCAGTGGCAAGGGTGGTGAAGGAATTTACCAAGACCGTTGTAGGTAAAGAAAGGCAGATTTATTAGAGAAAGTATGAAAATATGTTGCAAGAAAGCAACAGGCAGCACGGCAGAGAAGGGGCTGCCTGCAAAGAGGCAGAGGCTGGAGGGAAGTTTTATAGGGTCGCACTGGAGGGGCTACCTGCAGAAAGAGGTCGTTGTGCCCATAGAAAGAGATCATTGTACCCAGGAGTTGTGATTAGCTGTTTCTTAGAACAATTGTTCATTGTTCTTCCCCAGCTAGGGTGCTTCTCCACCTGGGGTCCCTTCCTCTTTGTTGCTTACTTATCTTATCAGGACTCCACAACTAATTCCCCTCCAGTAAAGCCAAATCCACAGCCATTACTGCCAACCCTCATGACAAATGCAAACTGTTGACAATCAGATTGACAACAGTAAGCACTGATTATTAATGCTCTTGGAAGGGGGAGGTATAGAGTGTAACACTGTTTACACTCTATCCACCACAATTTATCTACTAACGAGAAAGAGGAAAATGATTTGTACTACTAAATTAGAAAAGACAAAGAAAAAGAAAGGAAGGAAGGGAAGGAAGGAGGAAGGAAGAAAGAGATGGAGGGAGACAGAAGAACAGGGATTAAATTGTAGTTTGATCTGGCAAATTTAGTGAGGAAATGAAGTGAACAAGATTAGATTTAACACAGATAGTCCCTGATTTACTATGGTTTGACTTACGAGTTTCAGCTTTACAGTGGTGCAAAAGCAATACGCATTCAGTAGCTCCTCCACTTACCATGAGATTACATCCAGGTAAACCCATGGTAAGTTGGAAATATTTTATATAAAAAATGCACTTTTGATTTAGCATAATGTAATCCTAGCATAAGTGTATAGGTTAATGTAAGGTAATGCACCTGGGGAGAAATAATATTCCACAGATATCTAACAGGGAAGGCTGCTGTTTAAGAAACAGCAATGTAGTTTCCTCCTTCTTTCGAAGAAGGAGTAATAGTGAGTAATTACTTAGGGTACATATGAGCCCATAACATCACCACTGCGAAAAAGGACTGATGCTGTCTTAGGCTGTATGTACAAAAGGATCTCTTAGAAAATAGAAGTGGTAATAAGTGATAAAGGAAACCCCTGAGGCCAGGCGTGATGGCTCACACTTGTAATCCAAACACTTTGAGAAGCCAAGGTGGGAGGATCACTTGAGCCCAGGAATTTGAGGCCAGCCTAGGCAACATAAGGAAACTCGCTCTCTACAAAAAAATTTAAAATTAGCCACTGTCATGATGCATGCTTGCAGTTCCAGCTATTCGAGAGGCTGAGGCAGGAGGATCACTTGAGCCAGGAGGTTGAGGCTGGAGTAAGCCAGGATGGCACCACTGTAGTCCAGCATGGGTGACAGAGTGAGACCCTGTCTCAAAATTATTAATTAATTAATTAAAAAAGAAATTGTGCCTTAATTGTTCTTGTGAGTGAACGAAGACGGCTCACCTTCCCGAAGGCGTCAGTGGCTTCCTCAGAGCCAGATGCCGCTCTCCAAGGCCACGCTTCAGTCTGGTTCCAAAGAGCATTGCTGCAAGTGGGTTGGAACGCTGGTGCCTTACCCCACATGCCCTGCCCCCTCTTGCAGATTCAGGCTTGCTCGTCCACATTCTGCTTCTGCTGGGTGTCATTCTCCTTTCCGTCCCTGCTACTCTCTCAGAATGCCTGCCCCGGGTTGGCCACAGCTTGTTCCACTTCTTTTTTTTTTTTTTTTGAGACAGAGTCTTGCTCTGTCACCCAGGCTGGTTCAGCGGTGCGATCTTGGCTCACTGCAAGCTCCACCTCCCAGGTCGAAGTGATTCTCCTGCCTCAGCCTCCCGAGGAGCTGGGACTACAGGCGCCCATCACAGCATTCCGCTAATTTTTTTTTTTTTTTTTTTTTTTTTTTAGTAGAGACCAGGTTTTACCATGTGGGCCAGGCTGGTCTCGAACCCCTGACGTCAGGTGATCTGCCCACCGTGGCCTCCCAAAGTGCTGGGATTACAGGCATGAGCCACCGCGCCCGACCTGTTCCACTGCTTTCTGTGGTTTCAGGCTGCCCCTCACTGGCCTCTTGCTGCAAATCTGCGGGCAGCTCGGCCATAACACAGACCATCGTGGGAAGCTTGGGGCTCAGGTGGCTATGGGGTCTCCGATGAACATTTTACTACAGGGCGCTAGTCCGTTTATACTTCATGTTCCTTGTTTCCTTTTTTTAATTGGTCGCAATTATTAAGAAACATTACCCTGAAAGACACACTGTGATGTGACTGTTGAGTTGAAAACAAGGACCAAATAATATTCTAAACTGAGAATCTTGCTTAACTTCTTCCAAAAGAGGTAACTCAGCCATAACAGTGAAAAATATGATCTTCTGGACTTGTTAGCAGAACAGACCACTGAGGCTTACTCTCTGATGCCTGAAGCAGTCAGGCTCCTGGAGAGTTTGGGCTAACCTGGCCCTCACCCCTCCAAACGTCATTCCCCTTCCAAAAGAGGATTTCTCAAACTCTGGGAGAGGAAAATCGCCAGAGGACTCCTCAATCCTCTGAATATTTTCATAGCTTTTACTCTGTCAGCTTTCAACAGGAGTTCTACAGGCATTTTGCGTGGGAAAGTTCTCGGTTGTGAAGGACTGTCTGGCACATTGTCGAACATCAGCATCCCTGTACTGCACACAGTAAATGCCAGTTTGTAGCCTAAGGCAGATAACAAATGCTGCCATACATTTCCAGGCACTCCCTGAGAGGAAGGTGCTGCTTATGGTTGGAAACCATTGGCGGTGCCTGGGGCCAGAGTGTGAGAGCAAACTCTCCCACGCCTTTGTGAAGCTCAGGGCTTTGGAGACAGCCTCCACCTATTTGAGGGTCCCTTCTATGATTATTGAGTTGTGGTGTATAAGCTTCCAGCGAAATGGCTAGGCTAAATACACACTCTGTAAATATTTGCTAATTAATTGTCATGTCTTGCTTATTATTATATGCTCATCGAGACCAGAAATTTCACATCCTCTATGTTGTGAAAAGCCCTAGGAAGACTTAATGCAATGCCATGCTACTGGGAAGCACTCAGGAAATATTAATTGCTATTGATGAAAGGAGCGACTACTTTAATTCAGATGCAAACAATCAAAAAGGGCTAACTCCCCTTGGCTCTGTGCCTTGACTGCATTTGGAGAGACTGATTAATATAGGCCTGCAGCTAACTAATTGTCTCTCCATCTCTGTCATGTTACCTGAACTTGGGTGCATTCAGGTCACCCAGCAGTTGTGTGGGTGGGTGAGAACATTTCTCGAGCTGTAGCCAGAGAGCCAGACGATCTGCAGCAGCGCTAGACTTGTAAGAATGGAAAACTTCGTAAATATCCCAAAGTAGTAGAGAAGAACCAGGCCAGGTCAGGCCAGGTCAGGCCAGGCCAAAAGATAGGGGCATCCCGAGAGGCTGGGGGGCCACAGGGTGAGGTATGTGTTGCAAATCCCAGAACCTGGGCATTAGTTAGAGCCAGGAAAGGAGTTGGAATAGGGTTGGGGCCAGTGGGATGCATCCCTTTCCCAGCCGCCAGACTCCTTGGAGCTCTAGTTCCACCTGAAAATTTGATCATTGTCTTGCTGCGTGCAGGCAGGATAAGATCCATGAAGAGCAGCAAGGATCCAAATTTCCATCATTCTCAGGAAGTCAGAATCCGGGGTCTGACTCCTTGCCCGTAGGTAAGGCATGGCAGGTTTATTTCCCAGGATGATCTCTGAAGTATCAGGAAAAAAGTCCAGTGCAGGACTAAAGCTTTAAAGAGAGTGAAAGCCACTGCCAGTTTTAAAACAAAAAAGAAACTGATTGTCATGAGCAGTCACGGGTTTATGGGTTTATTGATTTCTGCTGAAGATCTGGGTGACCTGGGTTCATTTGCAGATTTGAAGACGATACTCTCATTTTGTCCTACTTTTATACAAGAGATAATAACATTTGCAAATGGCTTTGACTCACCTGATCTGAATATCCTCAAATATCTGGCAAGATGAAATCATGCCTTTTTCATCTAAAGAAAAAGTAGAGGGAGTGAAGGATTGTGTTTTAAGTACAGAGTTTACCTAAAAACCAATCACCTCCCCTTCAACTTATTTCCCCCAGGTCCAAATGGCAATTCCTTTTTAATTAGCCTGGGGTGTTAAAGAAGGCTGTATTTTCTTCTTCTTTCCCAGGTGGTCAGGATTCAGTGCAGTAAATTTTGGCCGTTCCCCCGTCCTGGAGCAGAGTGACAAGAACCCAAGACAGGAGATTCGAATGACTTTGCTAGAGGTCACTTTGGGGAAAATGTTTCAAAGGCAACCCTCCCAGCAGTGAAAGCTAACGCTAGTCTTCTGTGCAACAGGTAGGCGTGGGAATATGCGAATGTGTGTGGCATGCGAATTCTTGGGAAATGACATGTCAAGGAGACCTTGTCACTACATGGAGTAGAATGAGGGTACCTGCCCCCAGAGGACTGTCCCTACTTTCTATCCCCTTAAGCCAGTAGGTTCTCTAGGTCGCCTCCTGAGAGTGTCACCAAGGTGTGCGTGAAATAAGAGGATTGTTCCCATATTTGTAGAAAAAGGAAAATGTTCTGGGCTCAGTGGTTCATGCCTCTAATCTCAGCACTTTGGGAGGCCGAGGCGGGTGGATCACCTGAGGTCAGGAGTTCGAAACCAGCCTGACCAACATGATGAAACCCCATCTCTACTAAAAATACAAAAATTAGCCGGTGTGGTGGCATGTGCCTGTAATCTCAGCTACTCGTGAGGCTGAGATAGGAGAATCACTTGAACCTGGGAGAATCACTTGAACCTGGGAGAATCACTTGAACCCGGGAGGTGGAGGTTGCGGTGAGCCGAGACTGCGCCATTGCACTCCAGCCTGGGCAACAAAAGTGAAACTCCGTCTGAAAACAAAAACAAAAACAAAAACAGAAAAAGGAAAATGTATAATGTCTTTAATTCCATTTGTATGTAAACCTAGATCACAGGCATCATTCACAGTCCAGTCTAGATTTAGGTTTTTCTAATTATTTCCTTTGAATTAAGTAAACTTGGTTTGGAATTTTATCTTTATGCCACTTAGTAGTTATGAAAACTTGGGAAAAGTTTATAAACACTCAAATTCTCCATGTTCTCATTGATAAGTGGGGGTATTAAAACCTCCCTCATAGTGCCAGGAGGGCATAAAGTATTTTGTCAGAAAGCACCTGGCCAACATCTTGCTGCATAGTAGGGGCTTGAATTGGCAGCAAGGGTTACTCTTTCTTCCCAAGCCACAGCTTCTTGCAGAGATGTGGCCATTGTCCCTGAGGCAGCACAGGGCCAGAGGGAAGGAGAAACTGCCGGACATGCTGCCCATCGGAGGCCTTCTCAGGAGCTTATAACAAAGATCTGTCATGGGACAGGGACACTGAAGAGAGTAGGCTTTCTTTTTTCTTTCTTTTTTTTTTTTTAATTTGAGATGGAGTCTCACTGTCTTGCCCAGGCTGGAGTGCAGTGGCACAATCTCAGCTCACTGCAACCTCTGCCTCCTGGGTTCAAGCGATTCTTCTGCCTCAGCCACCCAAGTAGCTGGAATTGCAGGCATCTACCACCACAGCTGGCTAATTTTTGTATTTTTGGTAGAGATGGCGGGGGGGGTTCATCATTTGGCCAGGCTGGTCTTGAACTCCTGGCCTCAAGTGATCTGCCTGCCCCAGCCTCCCAAAGTGCTGGGATTATAGGCATGAGCCACCGTGCCCAGCCTTCTTTTTTTTTCCTTAACTTTTATTTTAGGTTCAGGGGTAGATGTGCAGGTTTGTTATATAGATAAACTTGAGTCACAAGGGTTTGTTTTACCAATCATTTTGTTACCCAGGTGCTAAGCCTAGTGCCCAGTAGTTATTTTTCCTGCTCCTCTCCCTCCTCCCACCCTCCACACTCCAGGAGGCCCCAATGTCTGTTGTTTCCCTCTTTGCATCCATGTGTTCTCACCATTTAGCTCCCACTTCTATGTGAGAACATGTGGTATTTGGTTTTCTGTGCCTGTGTTAGTTTCCTAAAGATAATGGCCTCCAGCTCATCTATGTCCTCCGAAGGATAAGATCTCATTCTTTTTTATAGCTGCATCGTATTCACAATAGCAAAGACAGGAAATCAGCCTAAATGTCCATCAGCGGTAGACTGGATAAAGAAAATGTGGCACATATACACCGTGGAAAGTAGGCTTTCTGTGGTGCCACAGATCACTGGAATCTGTATATGCCCCTGGAACAGAAGCACAGCAGGCCATGGCAGTGTCATAGGATCCTTAAGGTATCGTTTTTCTAGCCAGAAACCTCTGAGGCCAGTGACACCTTTGCCCAAGTTTTGTTTAGGCCTCCTGGGCTTATTCCACCCACTTGGCCAAGCAGGCTTTGCTCAGCCAAGCTACCAGCCAGGATCACATGCCTGCCAAAGGTAAGCCAGGCACAGAGTGGTGAGGGGTGTGTGAGCGAGCAAGCGCAAGGTCCGGCCACTGCACATAGCCAGGCATGCCAGCTGCTGCAGTGGGGCAGGCAGCAAGAGGCACCAGCACAGATGCTGGCTCTATGAAAGGCTGCGGCTGGATCAGATGTAACATGAGTGGCTTCCATTGAGGGCACTCGCATCTGGACAACGGGAATGCAGTGGCACCTGGAAGCTTAGAGATTCCAGGAACCACAGAGCCCCAAAGAGGTGTCACTGCCCTGGCTTGGGGAGCCCCTAGGTCTGGGCTCCCTGAAGGGCTGCAGCCCTTCTCTCCTTCTCATCACCTGCAACATGGTGAGAAGTGGGCAGGGGGGTATGTTTCAGCCTGTTTTTGTTACAGCTCTTTCAGTTCCACCATTCAGCAGGTCCCAAGTTCTTGTCCCACGTCCAGGAAGAATGAGGTATGCAGACAACTGGAGGGTGAGCAAGGTGGAGAGGATTTTCACTGAGCAACAGAACAGCTCTCAGGAGACCTGAAGTGGGTAGCTTATTTCTGCAGGCAGGTTGCCCTGATGAGTGTCCAGATCTCAGTGGAGAGGAGACTCTGCAGTGGGTAGCTCCTTTACACAGGCAGGTTGTCTCAATGAGTGTCCACCTCTCAACAGAGAGGAGACCCACAGTGGGCAGCTCCTTTATGCAGGCAGGTTGTCCCAATGAGTGTCCAGCTCTCAACAGAGAGGAGACCCACAGTGGGTAGCTCCTTTACACAGGCAGGTCATTCCAATGAGCATCCAGCTCTCAGCAGAGAGGAGACCCGCACTGGGTAGCCCCTTTCTGTAGGCAGGTCATCCAGACTAGTGTCCAGCTCTCAGTGGAGAGGAGACCCATGGTGGGTAGCCCATTTCCACAGGCAGATCATCCCAATGAGTGTGTGAGCCTAGCTGAGTCTGGGGTTTTTATATGCTCAGAATGGAGGAAGTGTGTGCTGATTGGTCCATGGGTGGCCACAGGCAGGCCTGGAAAAGGCACCATCTGATTGGACAAATGGTCACCGATGAAGTTCTCACTCTGGGCCACTAACTTCACCTGGAACTGGCAGCCCAGCCCCCAGGCTTCAGGCCATTCCTGGCTTGAAGAAGAGGTTTCACCAGGGACCTACCCCTTCCTACCTAGGAATCTGTCTGCTTCCTGCAGCCATCAACATGCCATTGCAGCACCCAGGCTGTCTGTCACAATGGGTGCCTGCAGGTCCACACTGAGCTGCCCTCAGTGCCCCAGCCCCCTCCCATGCTCATTGGTGCCCAAAGTCTGGAGGTGACTGAGATGGCAGGGGGCTAGTGTGTCAGTGCCACTCTGAGTGCGTGCACACCCAGCTGGGTTGCGACAGTGCCGAGGCTCGGCCACAACTTTGCTCACCCCAGAGCAGGTGCCAGAAGTGGGGAAAGGCCCGGGAGTGGGAGCAGGCACTTTCAAGCCTGCAGGGGCAGGGGGCTTCCTAGGCCACTGAGAGAGCAGGGATGCCGGGGTCTGAGCTGCTGCTGGGTGGCTATGGCTGTGCCCGGGAGCATGTGCTCCTGCCCTGCCAACTTAGGAGTGGGGCCCTCACCTGCCCTAGCTCCTGGTGGCTCCACAGAGCATGCAGCACCTGCCATGCCCTTCAACACCTGCTACAGCCGATGTCCTCGCAGTGGCTGCTCCAGATGGGACATTGTCACCATCAGCAGCACCCCAGTAAGTCTGGTCAGGAGCCATGTCAAAGAGAAAATGAAGGAAGTATGAGAAAATGACCTTCAATACCGTAGGTGCTATGGTGTACCACAATATTATAACTGATGGTTTTCCCTTTCCCCATGTGCCCCATCCCCTGGGTTAAAGGTAGGGATGTGCATACTCACAGCTGAATCCCCAGTGCTTATCATGTACATGGCACTTGACAAGAGTAAGAGTGGGGGACCCAAGGAAGAGATCTGAAGCAACCAAATGGCTTTCTGTTTGTCTTTCATGATGAAATTCCAGAATGGTTTCCCTAAGGAATGAAACGTGACCAATAAACTCCCAGAATCTCAAAAAACACCAGTAAAAAGCCACCTTCCCTGCTGTCCTCAGCATTTGACACATACGTGGCCAGTGTGTGTCCTCACAAGCCTTTCCTTTGCCCTCCATCCTCTGATTCTGCTGGAGGAAGTACCAAGTGCTTTGGAGCCATGGCTTCATAACCAGGGTCCAGTTGCTCCCTCTCCACCAACAAAGAATCTTAATCTTTCTTTTTTTTTTCTGTGTTGTACATTTTTTATTGGTATGGATAACTTATTAAAGTAACAAATCTGAAAACACATTTTGCTTTTGCTGGTGGTGGAAAGAAAGTGCTATGTTGGCCGGGCGCGGTGGCTCACGCCTGTAATCCCAGCACTTTGGGAGGCCGAGGCGGGCGGATCACGAGGTCAGGAGATCGAGACCATCCCGGCTAAAACGGTGAAACCCCGTCTCTACTAAAAATACAAAAAATTAGCCGGGCGTAGTGGCGGGCGCCTGTAGTCCCAGCTACTTGGGAGGCTGAGGCAGGAGAATGGCGTGAACCCGGGAGGCGGAGCTTGCAGTGAGCCGAGATCCCGCCACTGCACTCCAGCCTGGGCGACAGAGCGAGACTCTGTCTCAAAAAAAAAAAAAAAAAAAAAAAAAAAAGAAAGTGCTATGTTAGGCCGGGTGTGGTGGCTCATGCCTATAATCCTAGCAGTTTGGGAGGCGGAGTCATATGGATCATGAGGTGAGGAGTTTGAGACCAGCCTGGCCAAGATGGTGGAACCCCGTCTCTGCTAAAAATACAAAAATTAGTCAGCCATGGTGATGGGTGCCTGTAATCCCAGCTACCCGGGAGGCTGAGGCAGGAGAATTGCTTGAACCTGGGAGGTGGAGGTTGCAGTGAGCCAAGATCGCACCACTGCACTCTAGCCTGGGCGACAGAGCAAGACTCCATCTCAAAAAAAAAATAAAAAAATTAAAAAAAAAAAGTGCTGTGTTAGAGAGGATCTAAGAGAAACCAGAAGTCATTTGCAAAAAATAGGCATATGATATAGTCTGGTAACGTAACAGCCAGAGGTACTGTTTTATCCATTTCAGTGTGCATGTTTGTACAAGCATCAGAAACCAATGACACAGATCCTAAAGCAAAGTCACAACAGGCTTATTCTGAAACATGCTGGATTACCACCACAGATTACGCAGGACACAGAGGCTGTGCTGGGGCAGGTTTTTTGTGTCTTCTGTATGGAGTTTCTGCCAGATGGGGGCTAATCATGCAATAGCTTGAGTTTTTCTTAATGTGATAAACACCCAGCATTGCTAGCACCAGAAAGTGTGTGTTCACTGTTGTGTAAGACAGTTAAACAACAGAAAGTTCCTTCATTTTAATCTGGTTATATGCCCGAATCTCTAATCAAGAAATAATTCAGCTATAGGAGCCAATTAAATTACTATAAAACATGCCTTCATCTGTAAAACATTTATTTTCCCCTCAAATGTAAAATTTAAAGTAAAATGTCGCTGTTTTTGATAGGCAGCTCCACCACCAGTCTCTGATATTGTATATCGTTCAGTGTGGGCATGGCTTTTTGTTCTGGAGGTCTCAGAAGGGATGGGCCAAAGACAATTCCAGGGTTCTCCGCATTCATAAGATTCTCGTTTTCATGGAGCGTCATTCTCTTTAGACGCGCCATCAGGGATCAGAGGGTTTCACAGCGAGCAGGTGCCAGTAGTTTCAATGCTTCATGAAGGGTTTCCAATTACTCACTAGGATCCGTAGTTTTGGCAGATTCTATAAACTTACGGTAGATATCCTGCGCAATTAGTGAAACTGGCAAATCCCTGAAGTGCAGTTTCGGAGTTCCAGTGATAATGTTGGTATCTTCATATGTGTTCACAGAAATAGCTGCTTTCTCACCATCTGTCAAAAGCTGTCTTGACATCAGTTAAGTCACTAAATCCTGATACATGGTATAGTCCTTCAGAACTGGAACTTTCAGACTCAATCTCCCTGTTGCACATGTCTGCCACCCTTGGCTGCTTAGCAGTGTGTGCTTTTGACAAGCATTGTAAGGTCACAGCTGGACACGTTGGCATGCCTCAAGCCTGGCTTCCAGTCATTTGGGACCATGTTGGGTCACTGCTTGTGAACACTGAAATCAATCCACACAGTTCACTCCCTGAGCAATGAGACCATACATGAGGATGGCACGGTATTCATGCCAGCGTGGGCCTCTCGATGCATGGACCTTGAAATTGTGAACCTTTTCATATTTTGGAATTTGCTTGTTTTCTTTCAGAGTTGCTCTCCTAACGAGTGATGTCACCCTTTTCTCCGACACCTCATCCTGGCCTATAGAATCTCACCACGTGTCTTTTTCAGGACTGGCATATATTTTTTGCAAACAGACTCTCTGTTTAAGGTTGTGCATCCTATGTGCTCATAAACTGGGTTTATCATCATCTTGGCAATGTATTCTGCTGCCTTGTTTCAATATAGAGAGTAATCAAGCCATCAGTTACCAGATTGTGGATGGACACACAGTGTTTCTTCCCAGCAAAGTGATTTCCATCGCACTAGAACCTGAAGTTTCTTGTTTGACTTCCCAATCTGAAAGCTAAAGTGTAGGGCCCTGCCTTTTGCTGCCTCTCCCCATGATGTATCTCCCTCAGCCACACTCAAGAGCTGGTCAGCTGCTTCTCCAGAGATCATGCCGTGAAACTCTCTTCCATGATACTTTGGGCTGTTTTCTCCCTTGAAAGTACAGATAATCCTTCGAGGATTAGGGTCTTCCTGTTGTAGTTGATATAAGTAAGATTTCCAAATAGGAAATCGATTTTCATCTGTATCAAACAGGGTCAGGGCCGATCTTTTTTTTTTTCCCCATAGACTCAAGAACATGGATAGCATCACAGCATTATTTGCAAAAAGACTCTACTAGAAAACAAGACTATTGCCCCAAATTTTTTCCGTTTTTGTTTTTTAAATATTGAGTTGGTCTTGAACTCCTGGCCTCAAGCAATCCTCCTCCTTTAGCCTTCCAAAGTGCTAGGATTATAGGCCTGAGCCACTGCACCCAGCCATAGCCAGGTATTTTTTTTTAAATGATTGCCCAACTTATTTTGTTATTTACTTATTTATTTAGGATGTAAGCAACAAACATTTATTTTGCGCAGTTTTGGAGGCTGGGCACCAGCAGACTGGTGTCTGGTGAGAGTATCCTCCTGGTTTGCAGATGGCCATCTTCTCACCACATCCTCACACAGCCTCCGTGAAGCCTATTTGCTCCTTCTGGAAGCTTCCCAGGGGTCTGATGAGAAAATCACTAGCATGTGTGCTATCGTCATCTTCTCTTCCTCTACCTTTTTGAGCAATTCAACAAATTCCTTGAAGGATTCAGTGATGTTAATATCATCATCAAGTCAGAGTATCTCCAATGAAATCAAACTGAAATGACCGCAGCATCTGGGAACATTTCTGACCTGCAGAAGAGTAATGCTCACCAGCTCATTATAAAGGATATTACAAAGGATCCAGATGAAGAGATGCATGGGGTGAGTATGGGGGAAGGGGCGGAGAGCTTCCATGCCACCCTCCAGGGACCTCCACATGTTCAACTATTGGGAAGCTCTCCCAACTTATTTTGAATATATTTTTGTTTTTTTGAGATGGAGTCTCTCTCTGTCACCCAGGCTGGAGTGCAGTGGCACGATCTTGGCTCACTACAACCTCCACCTCCCAGGTTCATGCCATTCTCCTGCCCCGGCCTCCTGAGTAGCTGGGACTAAAGGCACCCACCACCATGCCCAGCTAATTTTTTGTATTTTTAGTAGAGATGGGATTTCACCATGTTAGCCAAGATGGTCTCGATCTTCTGACCTCATGATACGCCCACCTCAGCCTCCTAAAGTGCTGGGATTACAGGCATGAGCCACCGCCTGAATAATTCTTTATGATAGTGCATGTATACCTGAAGGAACCATTGGATAGGCAGTTGTTAATGTTTGAAAAACAGAAGCTTACACATAGCTTACAAAAAATAGCTATGTGTAAGAGCATGTGGGGGAGTCCTCACTGGAACTGTGGTCTTCTGCAGTCCACAGTGCAGAAGCAGGGCAGGCCCAACAGAAATGTATTTGCTAGGGTCTGGGGAGCTTCCCAGAAAGGGGCTCAGCCTGGGTTTCTGCTGGAGAGCTCCATGTGCAAAGGCTGGGGAGCTTCCCAGAGACACTCATCCGGAGAGAACAAGAAACTGGCCCCAAAGAGGCCCTGAATGCCGGGGAGGGTGGAGCTCTTACTCCAGCCAGTTCCTGGCCCAGGCTACTGCACACACATGAGCCTAGAGAGAGAGAGAGAAGGTCAGAGTGAAAACCAGAAAGCTCTGCCTCCATACGCTCTATCAACTACTGGGGCTGGGCAATAGCACCTTAGGACCCACGCCTGTTGGGAACAGGCCCCCCAAATCTGGCCATAAACTGGCCCCAAAACTGGCCATAAACGAAATCTCTGCAGCACTGTGGCATGTTCGTGATGGCCATGACACCCACGCTGAAGATTGTGGGTTTACTGGAATGAGGGCAAGGAACACCTGGCCCACCCAGGGCAGAAATGGGCTTAAAGGTGTTCCTAAACCACAAACAATAGCATCAGCGATCTGTGCCTTAAGGACATGTTCCTGCTGCAGATAACTAGCCAGAGCCCATCCCTTTATTTTGGCCCATGCCTTTGTTTCCCGTAAGGAATACTTTCAGCTAATCTATAATCTATAGAAACAATGCTTATCACTGACTTGCTGTCAATAAATATGTGGGTAAATCTCTGCTCGAGGCTCTCAGCTCTCAAGGCTGCGAGATCCCTGATTTCCCACCCCGCACCCTATATTTCTGTGTGTGTGTCTTTAATTCCTCTAGCGCCACTGGGTTAGGGTCTCCACGACTGAGCTTAAGGGAGGAGACCACCCCTCATATTGTCTTATGCCCAATTTTTGCCTCCAAAGATAAAAGAAGTAAAAACTAAAAGGCAGAAGTGAAATCCACAAGCAGACAGCCCCGCGCCACACCCTGGGCCTGGTAGTTAAAGATCGAGCCCTGACCTAATCGGTTATGTTATCTATAGATTACAGACATTGTATAGAAAAGCACTGTGAAAATCCCTGTCCTGTTCTGTTCTAATTACCAGTGCATGCAGCCCCCAGTCACGTACCCCCTGCTTGCTCAATCGATCACGACCCTCTCACACGGACCTCATTAGAGTTGTGAGCCCTTAAAAGGGACAGGAATTGCTCACTTGGGGAGCTCGGTTGTTGGAGACTTGAGTCTTGCCGAAGCTCCTGGCCGAATAAAGCCCTTCCTTCTTTAACTTGGTGTCTGAGGGTTTTGTCTGCGGCTTGTCCTGCTACAAGCTGGTCTTGGCACACTCCCCTTGGAGGAGTGTGGAGTTCACTGCTCCACAGGTTTGGAACCATGAGAACTCAGGGCATCAGTGACATCCCTACAGTTGTGCCCTGGGGACATCAAGATGAGGCATGGTGCTTGGCAACACAGTGGCAGCTCTAGCAGGAAGTCCTAGAGCTGGCTGGGCATAGCGGGGACTCCTCTGTGTTAGCAGAGTTAGCAGCTCTGCTGACAAGCGTGCACTCTTGTGTTAGCAGGTAGAGGCAAGAGCCTTTGAATACCAAGTAATTATTCTTTACATTACCTCCTCCAGACATGGGAGGCCTAGGAAAACTCGGGTTCCATCACCTGCTGCCAATCATCTATGCCTTGGAAATAATGTTATCAGTAGTGGTTAGGTTTCCAAATGAGAAAAGAAAGAAGGAAGGGAGGGAGGGAGGGAGAGAAGAAGGAAGGAAGGAAGGGCTGCTTTCTCCCATAATCAATTATATATTTGTTAAACACTATACACAAATAGTTCTTTTTGTTTCTAAACCCATAAAATATATTTTGCAACCAGATAACTGGCCTGCAGTGCCTTCACCCAATCAGCCAAGCTGTTCCCCCTAATCTGAGGGGTGAATGCAGAGCTTACTTAGGGCTGTGCCCATTACCCAGTCCCTGAAATGCACCTTTACGGCCTGGGAGAGGAGGGAGGGGGTGTGGAGTGAAGAGTCCCAGCACCAAATGACGGGCACAAGGAGCAGTCAGGCAGGTACGAACTAGCTAAGGTCTATTGGGCATCTTTAGTAGGTCTCATTTGATCCTCCAAATATTCTCATCTAGAATGAGAAGAGGCTCAGAGAAGGTAAGCAAGTTGCAAAAGTCACACAGGTAGTATCAGAGGTCACCAGCCTGGAGGAAGAGGAAGGGCAGGAGCAGCTGAGGCATCTGGCAGTGGGCAGGGACACCCCGGGAGATGAGATCGCAGAGGGGGGTGGCAGAGAGGTGGGGAGTGGGGGATGGGGCAGCACCGCAGGGGCCGGGCGGGGTGGGGGTGGAAGGGGGACAGGCACGTGGGGACCCCCACAGAGCCACTGCGCTGGGGGCGGGTAAGGAAGAGGGCGTGGGGGAAGCCTGGGCACCGGGCAGAGGTGGACAGTGGGGAGGGGGAGGAGCGGGGGAGCAGAGGCGAGGAGGAGGGACCCCGGTGGGGAGCGCAGGAGTTCCTGCTGTGGTCTTTGCAGAGAGGCCAGAATAAGAGATAAGAAAGTCAAGGTGGATGGAAAAGAAGGAAAACGGATCATTCCCGGCAACGTGGGTGAGCCGGGCGGGGCGGGGAGCCGGGGTCGGGGGAGCGGGGCCTTTATGTGAAGTGGAGTCAGTCAGGCACAGAAAGACGGGCCCCGCGTGCTCTCACTTCTGTGGAAGCTGAAAAAGTGGGCCCCAGAGGGTCCACTTGGAGGGCAGAATAGCGCAACAGCAATAACACAAAAACAAAAACAAAAAGGCTGAGTTTCATTCACATTGGAAGGACGTGTGAATCGTGTGTCCCCAGACAAGCCTTGTCCCTGCTAATAAACGTGGTCAAATATTCCACTTTTATTACCTTTGAAGAAAATTACCTGCTGAATGTTTCAAAGCCTGGAGTCTCCAGGCCAATACCAATTATTGTAATTGTCCTTAAAGGATTAATTGCTTGAGTGTTTTAGTTTTTATTTTATAGAGAGGATTTCTTCTCCCGACCCCCGCCTTACAGACTATTCAATACGGGATACCAATATCCTAAGGACTACACGTTCCAGGAATTCCCTGCGGGGTTCTCAGGACCTGCCGCTAGTGTTAAAAAGATCATTAAGAGCAGAACATCTCTTCCTTCCCTGGAGCTCCTGCTAATTTGTGTTTAAAGACCTAGACTCTAGCAGAGTTCATCTTTACAGCGAGGTAATATATTATTTACGTGGACTCCAGACACCAAAACATCTATAAATTCACACATAGTTAACCTTCTTCTCCTCCTTCCTTTCTTTCCTTATTAAGCAAATTCAAGACCTGGTCTGTTACCCGATATAAAGATCTTTCAACAGCTTCACCCACAATTTCTTTAAGAGGAAAATAGAAAACAAGGGACTTGGCGATTTTTCATTTAATGTGAAGCATTATTGGCATTTTGTCTGTTGGAGTTATATGCAAATTGCAGAAGAGGAATTGGATTCCAAGGGGTAAAATCTTCCAGAATGTAACAAGGTATTCTGAAGGATTTCCAGGGATTAAAGAGTGAGCACATGAACAAAACCAGTCTAAAGGGCAAAAATGATACTGTTAACAGTATGTGAGTTCATTAACATGAATTGACAAATTGCATATCGCTAGGAATTCCTAAGCAAGGGTTTCCAACCAAGGAATAAAACTCTGCACCTGCTGTGGCTTTTTCTGGACCTCCTGCAACAGCTCAGGGACTCCCAGGCCAGCTTGCCTGAGCCTTCAGATGTCTGGGGCCCCTCAAGGTTTCGCCCCAGGCTTAATCCAGCTGAGGCTACATGATCCCTTGACTCTCAGGGACAGGAAGCAAGTGAATCTCTTAATTACACAGCAGTGAGAAACTGAGACTGGGTGTAACTGGGGAGGTCTGTTGGGATCAAACCAGTTTAAATCAAACTAGCTAGAGGAGTCAACACGAGCACTTGTATGTGAATGTTTAGAGCATTGTTAGTCATAAAAGCCAAAAAGTATTAATAACTCAAATGTCCACCAGTTGATGAATGGATAAAGCGGGTGTGGTATATTCATACGATGAAATAGTATTCAGCACCAAAAATAAATGAAGTGCTGATGTGTATTACAAGATGAATGAACACAAATTAACACTATCAGGAATGAAAGCAGAGTTACGGTTGCTACAGATCCTACATTAAAAGAATAATAAGGGAATGTTGTGAAAAGCTTTATGCCAACAAATGTAACAATTTATTATTTTTTTTTTAATTTTAAGATAGAGTCTCACTTTGTAGCCCAGGCTGGAATGCAGTGGCACAATCTCATCTCACTGCAACCTCCACCTCCCAGGTTCAAGTGATTCTCGTGCCTCAGCCTTCCGAAAAGCTGGGATTACAGGTGCCCGCAACCACACCTTGCTTTTTTTTTTTTTTTTTTTTTGTATTTTTAGTAGAGACGGGGTTTCACCATGTTGGTCAGGCTGGTCTCGAACTCCTGGCCTCAAGTGATCCACCCACCTCAGCCTCCCAAAGTGCTGGGATTACAGGCGTGAGCCACTGCACCTGGCCCAAATGTAACTATTTAGATGAAATTGAATAAACTCCTTGAATAACATAAAAACTGGCACAGGATGAAACAGATAATCAGAATAGCCTTATGTCTACTAAGGAAATTGAATTTATCAAAAACTTCACAAAGAAAACTCCAGATCCCGCCAGCTGTGGTGGCTCATACGTGTAGTCCCAGCACTTTGGGAGGCCAGGCGAGAGGATTACTTGAGCCCAGGAGTTTGAGACCAGCCTGGGCAATATAGTAAGACTTAATCTCTACTAAAAATAAAAAAATTAGCCTGGTGTGGTGGCGTGTGCCTGTGGTCTCAGCTACTTGGAGGCTGAGTCAGGAAAATCACTTGAGCCCAGAAGCTTGAGGCTGCAGCAAGCCTTGATTGCACCATGTGCTCCAGTCTGGGTGATAGAGTGAGACCCTGTCTCAAAAAAAAAAAAAAAAAAGAAAAAAGAAAAGAAAAAAAAGACAACTTCAGGTTTATATTATTTCACCGGTGAATTGTATCAAATACATAAGAAAAAAAACCCCCAAAACCTCTTTTTGAAAAATAGAGAAGGAAACACTTCCAACTCATTTTATGAGGCCAGCATAGCCCTAATATCCAAATTAGACAAAACATAAGCAAAAAAATTAGAAGCCAATATCCCTCATGAATATAGACACAAAATCCTCAACAGAATATTAGTGAATCAAATCCAGCAATATATATAGAAGGTAAATATCATGACCAAGTAGGTTTTATCCCAGCAGTGCAAAGTGGATTTAACGTTCAACAATCAGTGTAATTTATCACATTCACAGAATAAAAGAGAAACACCACATGATTATTTCAATAGATGCAGAAAGAGTATTTGGAAAAAATTCAATATTCATTTATGATTTTAGAAAATGCAAACAAACAAAAAACTACCAGCCAGATAGGAGAAAAGGAAACTCTCTCATTCTGATCAAGGGCATCTATAAAAAACCCAGAGCTAACCTCATATTTAATGGTGAAATACTGAATGCCTCTCCCTAAGATCAGGGACAAAGGAGGATGCCCAATGTCTCCATTTCTACTTGAGGTCTAGCACTTGCAATAAGGCAAGAAAAGAAAAAAAAGGCATAAGGAGCAGAAAGCAAAAAAGTAAGATAACCTCTGTTTGCAGATGTAAGTAAATTGTGGCTGTTATTTGGGATGCGGAATTGAAGATAGTCCGTGTGAATGCAAAGTCAGCCTGTGAGAACCCTCTGCCGAGGGTGTCTGAACTGGAGCCTAGCTCAGAACTTGAAAGCTCCATAAACCACTCTGCATGGAGTTCCTGCTATCACAGAGGTGCTGCACTTATGTGGGCTGAGGTTTGGGGCACTTATGGAATCCACAGTGTTTGTCCCCTTCATGGTCTACAGAATCTCATGACAGGCACCATGCAGGTCTCCCTGTGCTGTGGAAGCACTGGCACTAAATCAGCTTCCGGGCGGTTATTCTAGCCTTTCAGCTTCGTAGGCCTAGATAATGTTTTAAGTTTTGCCTCAAACAGTCATATGCATTTGCAAGTAGTTAAAAGGGGAAATTGTCTTTTATATGTATCCACACATTTTGAGTGTTTTTCATTCCTTCCTGGAAATCTGAGTTTCCATGAGATGTAATTTTCTTTTTTGCCCGAAGAACTGACTTCAGCGTTTCTTGTAGTACAAGTCTACTGGCAGTGACTTCTCTTGGGTTTCTTTGATTTGAAGATGTATTTATTTTGCTTTCATTCTGGAGTGATATTTTTAACTAATACAGAGTTCTGGGTTGAATGGTTTTTGTTCAGCACTTTGAAGACTGTACTGCTGACTGCTGGCCTCCCATTGTTTCTGACGAGCAGTCAGTGATTACTTGAATCATCATTTTCCCAGATGTCACTTTGTCTTCTTTCAAGGTAATAAGGTTTGGATCCGTGTCCCTCCCCAAATCTCATGTTCAATTTTAATCCCCAGTGTTGGAGATGGGGCCTGGTGGGAGGTGACTGGATCATGGGAGCGTAGTTTCCATGGATGGTTTAGCACCATCCTCTCTTGGTACTATATGATGAGTGAGTTCTTATGAAATCTGGTTGTTTACAAGTGTGTGGCAGCTCTCCCCTCTCTCCCTCCTGCTCTGACCATGTGAAGCACCAGTTCCCCCTTCGCCTTCTGCCATAACTGTAAGTTTCTTGAGGCCTCCCCAGAGGCCAAGCAGATGCCAGAATCATGCTTCCTGTACAGCCTGCAGACGCAAGGGCCAATTAAACCTCTTTTTTAAAAAATAAATTACCCAGTCTCAGGTGTTTTTTCATAGCAATTCAAGAACAGCCTAATACACAAGTATTTCTTTCTCTCTCTTATTTTTAGAGATAAGGTGTCTCACTCTGTTGCCCAGGCTGGAGTACAGTGGTGGGATCATAGCTCCCTGCAGGCTCCAACTCCTGGGCTCAAGTGATCCTCCCACCTCAGCTTCCCAAGCAGCTGGTGTGTGCCACCATGCTTAGCCAATTTAAAAAAATTTTTGGTAGAGACAGGGTCTTGCTGTGTTGCCCAGGCTGGTCTTGAACTTCTGGCCTCAAGCAATTCCCCCACCTTGGCCTCCCAAAGTGTTAGGATTATGGGTGTGAGCCACCATCCCAAACAAGGGTCTCTTTACCTCTGGTTTTCAGCATTTGATTATGTGATTCCTTGGCATGGAAAATATTTATTGTGGTTGAGGTTCTTGGATTTCCTCGAATCTGGAAGTTCATACTTTTACCAATTTTCAGCCATCTTTCTTCAAATTGTATTTGACCCATTCTGGAATCTTAACTACATGTATGTTTGACCTTTTGATAGAGTCCCATATGTTTCTGAGGCTCTCTCTCTTTTAAATCCATTTTCTGCCTTTTCTTTACATTAATTAATTTCTATTAATCTATTTCTGCTGATCACTGACCTGTTCCTTTGTCATCTATATTCTGCTTTAAGCCCATCCAATGGATTTTTTGTTTGTTTCAGATATTACACTTTTCTTTTCTTTGGTTTCAAGTCTTACACTTCTCTGCTGTTTAATATATTATATATTTTCTTTTGTTTTACATATTATGTTTCCTAAAAAAATAATTTCAGCTTGGTTCCTACAATGATTAATTTTATGTATCAACTTCCCTGGACCACAGTGTCCAAATGTTTGGTCATACATTATTGCAGGTGTTTCTGTAAGGATATGTTTGGATGAGATTTACATTTAAATCAGTGGATTTTGAATAAAGCATATTTTTCTCTGTACCAGTGGAAGACCTGAACAGAACAAAAAGCTGACCTCACCTGGCAGGAGGAAATTTTCCAGCAGAGCTCAAGCCTTCTTTCCCCTCAGGCCATATAGCCTGTAAATCTTTACATTTGCTTAATTTCTGCCTTTCTCTATGAGCTCATTTTGCTTCTAGATGGGTCCCGGGTTCTTTCTTTTTGTGATCCCCTTGTCAGCCCTTCTGTACTTGTAGACCTGAGGCAATCAACGCCCATCCTTCCGTGGAGCATGCCCAGCGTGGGGAAGTGTAGCTGTGGAGGAGGGCCCCACCCCTCCCGGACGTCACCTGCAGTACTGGGAGGAGAGTGAGGCCAGGGATATGGCTACAGTACCAACACCCGCACTCCACCCCATCCCAAACACCTGCACGACCAGCGCCTGCAAGCACGGAAGAGCCAGCATTTACCCCCAGCCGCATAACTTTCAGAATCCCCCGAAGTGCTTTCTGATATGGGTGGTGGCTTCCCTTTCATCATTAGTGACAGAAGGGAAACCATCAGAAATATTGTATTAATAAAGATATCTTTCTGAGCCTAGTACTGAAAACATCCATCACAAAGAAAATTAGAACAAAAAATTGCAATGCGCTATAAAACATTGCTCTTTTTGGGTCTGTGAGCTCATTTTTCTTTTGAATGGATTCTGTTTCATTTTTCTCATCATATTGGAGTCATTGCTAACTGAAGAGCCGCTAAAAACTTACATATTCCCACTCCACCCTTTCCCTCATTTTCTCTGGCTATATTTTTCTTTCTGATTCTTCTCCATGGGATTTTTAGCTGCCTCTCTTCAGCGGCCTCAACACCATCGGTTTTCCTCCACCTGGTCTTTTATCACATCTCTCTTATTTCTGAAATGTTCACTGCTCAAATGTCTCACACTTCTTAGAGTCTCCGAAAACATTGATAGCCAATAGCTCTTCCCTGCCTCGCTCCCTCTCACCTTTGCTGGATGGAGCTTGGAACAGCTTTCTTGTTTGGAGCTGAAGATAGAATTGAGAGCTCCTGATGCCTGATTTGTTTTCTTTCTACTCGACCAATCCATTTACCTGGACAATTTTACATTTCAGTTCTCAAAAGCTAAGGATGGCCAGAACTTTTTAAATTTTTAAAATCAATTATTTATTTTGAGACTGGGTCTTGCTCTGTTGCCAGGCTGGAATGCAGTGGTGTGATCTCAGCTCACTGCAGCCTTGACCTCCTGGGCTCAAGCAATCCTCCCACCTTAGCCTCCTGAGTAGCTGGGACTACAGGTGGGCACCACTGGGCCCAGCTAATTTTTGTATTTTTTGTAGAGGTGGAGTTTCACTATGTTGCCCATGCTGGTCTTGAACTCCTGAGCTCAATCCATCTCCCTGCTTTGGCCTCCTGAAGTAGAGGAATTACAGGTGTGAGCCACCATGCCCGGCCTAGAACTTTTAAAGTAGAAGACTTCTTTGTCAGAGATAGCCTTTTCTTTTTCTCTAAGAGACATTCACCAGGAAATACCATTTTTTTAATTTATAATTTTTGTGGGTACATAATAGGTGTACATATTTATGGGGTACATGAGACACTAATTTTTTAAGGACATGTGAGCAACAGTTTAGTAGGGAAGACAATCCCGCCTCTTTTCATGGGTTTCACGTGCCTGCTTTCTCCTTCACTTCTGCCAATTAGAGGGGGAGCTTCCATCCCTCTTTGATTACGAGAAAATGCCAATTAACAAAAAGGATCAATCCTTTCTAAATCCCCCAAAATAGTGAAAAAGTGTGCAACTTTATTCTACTCCAAACACCTTTTCACAGTTTCATGGGTTAATGGATCTTCTTATTGAATTATCGAGCCAAAGCTTTAAACAAAAACATCAAAGCATCCTTTACCTTATTCTTCCCTAGCCTCAAGACAGGCCAGCCTCACAGCCCACCTCCTCGTCAGAACCCTAACACCACCTGACTTGCTCCCAGTGCACACTCATCAAAACTCACCCAGCTGCAGTGGCCTCTCAGTGCTCTTCCGCCTGACACACCAAGCAGGCTTCCCCGTGCGGTGATGTCTCGCCCTCAACTGGATGCTGTCAGTTTTTCTACAGTTCACTCACTCCAGTTCTTTCATCGTATTTTGATGCTCTGCTGAGAGAATCCAAAGTTGGGCAGACGCTTTGGTTTACAAGCCTTAGTTTACAAAATCAAAAGTGTAAGTGTTTTCTAAATCCTCAGCAATCTCTCATAATATCTGAAAAGCACGTTATTTTACTTCTGATACATTTTGGTGGTTGCACGGGTTAATGGATTCTCTTATTGAACCGCAGGTTGAGTATCCCTTGTCTGAAAGGCTTGGGGGTGGGGAAGAAGTGTTTTGGTTTTTGGATTTTTTTGTATTTTGGATATTTGCATATACATAATGAGATATCCTGGGGATGGGACCCAAGTCTAAACACAGAATTTGTTTCTGTTTCATATGTACCTTATAGACATAGCCCGAAGGTAATTTAATACAATAGTTTTAGTAATTTTATGCATGAAACAAAGTTTTGACTGTGGTGGTTTTTTTTGTTTTCTGTTTTTTTTTTTTTTGAGACAGAGTCTCGCTCTGTCATCCAGGCTGGAGTGCAGTGGCGTGATCTTGGCTCACTGTAACCTCCGCCTCCTGGGTTAAAGCAATTCTCCTGCCTCAGCCTCCCAAGTAGCTGGGGTTACAGGCATGTGCCACCATGCCTGGCTAATTTTTGTATTTTTAGTAGAGATGGGGTTATCGCCCTGTTGGCCAGGCTGGTCTTGAACTCCTGACCTCAGGTGATCTGCCCACCTCGGCCTCCCAAAGTGCTGGGATTACAGGCGTGAGCCACCGTGCCTGGTCAGTTTTGACTGTGTTTTAACTGCAACCTGTCAGTCTCACTTGAGGTTAGTTGTGGAATTTTCTACTTGCGGCATCGTATCGGTGCTCAAATAGCATTGAAACTTGCAAAAATAGCAGAAGCTCCTCTTGACAGGTGTCAACGTGGGAGTTTAGCAGCTGTCCGGTGAAGTGGAGCTGTGTAGATGACCAACCTGGAAAATTCAACTCTCAATTCTGTTTCTCCTTAGTTGTACCCCAGGCTGGCTGATGTCGAGTAAAGCAGGTTGGGGATCGAAGTGACCTGGATTACTGTGATTGTGAGATGTAACTTTTGAAGTGTGAGTGTACTTAATGCTGTCTAGTATCTGTGTTTCTTCCTGGAAGGTTGAGAATCTAATTTTGGTCATTGCGTAATGTTCTTATTTATTCACACTATAAATTTTAGGATGCTTTGCCTTGACACCTAATTATCTTTAAAAGGTAGTTATTTCCAACATTTCTCTTTTCTTTATTCTGTTTTGGGGCTCCTGATAAGTAGGTATTACTCTCTGAATGCTTATGAGTGCCTTGGAAGCTGTACCTGTAATAAGACAGTGGTTTTATAGGCCTTACTTTATTTCTTTAAAACATAATTTCTTGGCTGGGCACAGTGGCTCATGCCTGTAATCCCAGCACTTTGGGAGGCTGAGGCCAGTGGATCATCTGAGGTCAGGAGTTTGAGACCAGCCTGGCCAACATGGTGAAACCCGGTATCTACTGAAAATACAAAAATTAGCCGGGCGTGATGGTGGGCACCTGTAATCCCAGCTACTTGGGAGGTTGAGGAAGGAGAATTGCTTGAACCCAGGAGAAGGAGGTTGCAGTGAGCCACGATCATGTCACTGCACTCCAGCCTGGGCGACAAGAGCAAAACTCCATCTCAAACAAACAAACACCAAAAACAAAACCAGAATTTCTTACGCTACAGCTTCCTTAGGCAGAGTGTCAGCCTTGGCAAATCTGATGCCACCACAGTGCTAACAGTTCCTTTTTTTTTTTTTTTTTTTTTTTTCCTGAGACGGAGTCTCGCTGCCCAGGCTGGAGTGCAGTGGTGTGATCTCGGCTCACTGCGAGCTCCGCCTCCCAGGTTCATGCCATTCTCCTGCCTCAGCCTCCCAAGTAGCTGGGACTACAGGCGCCTGCCACCACTCCTGGCTAATTTTTTTGTGTTTTTAGTAGAGACGGGGTTTCACCATGTTAGCCAGGATGGTCTCGATCTCCTGACCTTGTGATCCGCCTGCCTCGGCCTCCCAAGCTAACAGCTACCTTTGAGGTTGTCCTTTGTTCTGGTTATTTATCTCTGTGCAAACCCTCACCCCGAAACCTAGTGGCTTAAAACAGCAGTATATGTTTATCTCTCAGGTTCAGTGGCCTGCCTGGGTGCAGGTGATTCTCCTTGGGGTCTCTTGTGCAGCTGCCATCAGATATTGGCTGGGGCTGGGGTCACCTGACGGCTTGCCCGGGCTAATTAAGGAGGGGTCATGAATGGGTAGGAGCGACAGAGTCCACGGTGCGGGGAGTTGTTAAATAAGACCCCAGGGCCACTGAATTGCTTCCCCACCCAGGTCAGTGAGTATTTTAGATCAGACAAGCACTTCTGAATTGTCTAAAAGTATCCTCCAGACCTAACAGAAACCAATTCACTGAATAAATTGCCCGAACCAACTCACAGAACCAGCAGATGTTTCGGGTTTCCTCTGTGGGAGCACTGCTCACCGCCCTGCTTCTGGGAGATGCGGCCTTTGAGAGATGGGAGCCTGTGGCCTCCAGGTTCGCCTAGCTAGCTCACCCAGCTACCTTCCCCCGGGCCTTACCCTCCAAGCTGGGTATAAAGGCGGGACTGACCTGGGGTGAGGCAGGAATCACCAGGCCTGGGCCTCGCCTCCCCTCCCCTCCCGTCCTCTCCCTCTCCTCATCGCGCACACTTTCCCTGCAAATGCCTGCCATTCTGATTCAGCCTTTGGCATTCAGTGTGGAAGACTCGATGCTAGAAGGCTGTCTGCAACCCCTAGCTGTGTTAAGGGCTGTGGCATCCTGAATTTCTCCCGTCCCACTGCAGTGATGACACTGTCATTAATACTGTCTATTCACGTCTCAGTGTTACCAACATGACCTCAAACACCAAGCCAGGGCCTGTATCTGTCTTGTTCACAGTTGTATCCACAGTGCTTAAAACAATTTCTAGCATACATTTCGGACCCAGTAAAAACGTGTTGGGTGAATGATGTCACCCTCTAAACCCTGTAAGTGTGCATCATTTCTCCTCTTTTCAGATGGGAGCTTGAGGTTCTGGAAGGCGCACTTGCTCGAGGCTGTGCAGCTGGGAAGTCCTAGCTGTATACCAGGTCCTCTGACTTCTTGCTTCATGCTGGGGCATTACTTCCTTGTGCTTAGGGAGGCAATTCCAACTGCTGGCCCTCACAAATCAATTAGCAAGCCTTTTTTTTTCTTTTTTTTTTTGAGACAGGGTCTCACTCTGTTGCCCCGGCTGGAATGCAATGGCCCAATCACAGCTCCCTGCAGCCTCAACCTCCTGGGCTCAAGTGATCCTCCCACCTTAGCCTCCCAAGTAGGTTGAACTACAGGCACACGTCTCCACGCCTGGCTAATTTTTGTATCTTTTGTAGAGACAGGATCTTGCCACGTTGCCCAGGCTGGTCTCGAACTCCTGGGCTCGAGCAACCTACCCACCTCGGCCTCCCAAAGTGCTGGGATTACAGGCGTGAGTCACTGTGCCTGGTCTTAGCGAGCTTTTAAAGAGGACTTTGCTCTCATCTGGGGGTACTATAGGGCAGATTTCAGCTCCAAACTGCACTGGTGCTATCAGCCTCCTACATCTTGGTATCTGTTCTGACCTTTAGTGACAGACAGCAAAGACTATGGATATTTACTCTGGGTTTGATCTGAGAGAAGGTGACAGCAGAGATTGGTTTTAAACCATTTTAGGAGCTGGCTGGCTGTCGTCAGCTTGCTGGTCGTGTAACTGTATTGCTACCGTACATCTGCCTGGAGAGTTTAACATTGGGAACGTTTTTAAAGTCTAAAAATAAAAGTCCATAAACAAATCAAGCTACAATAGTTCGCACACGATTGAATCTTTTCTGAATTCCAATAATGTGTAGCCAACGCTGACAACAAGCACTGGGGTCGTGGTTTGATTTGTCCCCGCTCTGCACCCCGAGTACCTGTGCCTGGCTGTCAGCACTGCCCTTGTAAACCACCTGCCCAGGATGGGTGTATCTTTGAGTTGATTTGCTCCAGGCTCGGGATGCTGTGTGGTTCTTGCGCAGACAAAGAACCAAATCTTCCCTGTCAGAGCAAGAATGCAAACACCCCAAACCATCCGTGAAAACCTCACAAAATCACAAGGAAAATCCAATAATACAGGAACTGTGTTGAAATGAATCAAACACCTGAGACACTGTTCTTCCAGCGTGGCTCAGGATTTATCAGGTCTGCTGAGAACAGCCTCTATATTTTCTCACTGGGCCCTATCACTAAGGCCTTCCTGCATGGAAAGAGCAAAGCTCTACTATAATTAAATCAAAGAGTGATATTATTCTCCCGTGGAAGTGTAAGAATTCAGGAAGGGCTGCGGTAAGCCCTTCTGTGCTTTGGGAGGATGATTCCCACTGGCGGCAGCCCTGGGGGTCACCATCAAACTTCCTGTGCAGTATTGTTTCTTCATGGGGTCTCAGGAGGTCTGGCTCTTTCTCAGCTTGTCACTGAGCTAGAGAGGGGCTGGAAAGGGGTGGCCAGAGATAAAAATAAACAGAAAGAGGAGAAAGAGGAAGCAGGAAGAAGAGGAAGAGAAAGAGGATGGATGGTATTGTGAGAAAGATGAAAGCCCTCATCGTCCCCAGGCTTTGATTCCTCTGCTAATCCACTGTCCCCAGGGGACTACCCAACCTGAGCACGCACACAGTTCCTTTCCTTGGTGTCTCTTAGTACAAAGGAGACAAGTTGGCATTTTCAAAAGGGCATTGACAAAGAAAAGCAAAGAGGAAATAGTTACAGAAAAATGTTGGTAGCATACAAAAGTCAGATTTCCAGAGACAGAGGTCTGATCCTACCACGGGGAAATTCTCGCTCCATGGCACAGTGCAGCCTCACAGGCGCAGGGGCCGGCCTCGTGCAGCGGGTGACAGGTAGGTGACAGGGCCATCTCAGGTCAGTCCTCCATCTGTCTCCTCCTTGATTCCAAGGAAAGCCCCACCCCCTAGTGCTCTTCCCCTCAGTTCTGCTTTCCCACGTGAGGGGTCACCCTGAGGACTGATGCAATGAACTTGTTCACCTTTTCGTGGGACCTACCAACGCCCCCTCCTGGGAATGGCTTTCCAGGTCTGCAGGTCCCCTAGTATAACAGTAACTGAAATACAACAATTTATGATCTTCGTAGAACTATAAACACACGTTATATCCTCAGATACTAGGCTTCACACAGATTAGGAGCTCAAAAAATATTAGTTGTATGAATGAATGGCACTTTCTTTCTCATACTGATTTACGGGGCCACATGATGGATATGCCTGTAGCCATGGATCCATCCACCTGGTGTGGGATTTGCCAACTTTCCCAGGTTCTCCCAGAGTGGATCACTATTTAAACCCTTTGCCGCCGGGTGCAGTGGCTCAGGCGTGTAATCCCAGCCCTTTGAGAGGCCGAGGTGGGTGGATCACCTGAGGTCAGGAGTTCGAGGCCAGCCTGACCAACATGGAGAAATTTGTCTCTACTAAAAATACAAAATTAGCCGGCCGTGGTGGCGCATGACTGTAATCCCAGCTACTCAGGAGGCTGAGGCAGGAGAATCGATTGAACCTGGGAGGCGGAGGTTGCGATGAGCCGAGATTACGACGCCATTGCACTCTAGCCTGGGCAACAAGAGCGAAACTCCGTCTCAAAACAACAGCAACAACCCTTTATCCTTTTCATTCCATTTTTCCACTCACCCAAAGCCTTCCACATGAATGCACTTTGTGCAGAAAGTAAAGAACAGCTATGCATTCGTGAGAAGAGGTCCAGGGGGCAGCAGAGGCCTCTGCAAACTCTCAGTTGCAGGGGTGGGTAGTACTCAGCAGGAGCAGCACGGGAAGCAGTCCCTGCGTGGGTGGGAGGAAACGTGACGGCTGGATGCCATGGAGCATAGTGAAGTCAGGGAGGTTTAGACAAGAAAGGCTACAAGGGACCAATTTCAGCTTCTGAACAATTTGCTGCAGGTGTGACATTTAAGCATATCTTCGGGAAATTAAGCAATTAGCATTTTGAAATCATACACAAGTCTTCACTTGATTTGAAAATCATACACAAGCGAAGACTTACGTATGATTTCAGAATGTGAATTGCATTTTGAAACGCAATTAGGGTTGCTAAGTGTCTTCTTACAAATGCTCAGGACAATAGAAAAATAACCTTACCTAGTTGAATAATGAGTTGCTATTACACCGCAATGAGAATGTTGGCTTTTGGGATTGCCAGAAAGACGGGACAACGTGAGTTCGCAGGTTACCTAAAGACCTGGGGCACAGGTGCTTCCATAGTGGGTGGGGGGGGCGGGTACACATTAACACAAAGTTCCTGGAGGAACAACCAGCTAAGAAAAAGAAAAAGCATTATTATTTTTTTTTTTTTGTAGAGTCGGGGTCTCACCACCTTGCCCAGGCTGGTCTCAAACTCCTGAGCTCGAGTGATCCTCCTGCCTCAGCCTCCCGAAGCACTGGGATTACAGGCGTGAGCCAATGTGCCCCACCTGCAAGAGCCTTTTTAAAAGTGCACTGGCCAGGCACAGTGGCTCATGCCTGTAATCCCAGCGCTTTGGGAGGCTGAGGCAGGAGGATTGCTTGAGGCCAGGAGTTTGAGGCAGGCCCAGGCAACATAGCCAGGCTCCATTTCGACAAAAAATTTAAAAAATAAAAATTAGCTGACATGGTGGCACATGCTTGTAGACCCACCTACTCTGGAGGCTGAGATGGGAGGATTGCTTGAGCCCAGGAGCTGAGGTTATGGTGCATTGTGATGGAAACTCTGTCTCTAAAGAAAAAAAAGTACATTTCCTTTTAACCAAAATGCTCTGTATTTCCCCATGGAAACACTCATCACACTTTAGCGCCTTGTGTAATACCACTGGACTCAAAACCTCGAGGAGGGACCATGTCCGTCTTTGGGATCATTGTTCTGTCTCCAGTGTTCATTCCAGCTGTGCGTTAGAAGACAACACATGTGTTAAAGGGTTACTGAATGCATCCCTCTTCTAGGATGAATACATCCCAGGAAACAATTGGCTAAGTGTGCAGAAATGTCAGTCAAAGGTCATTTGACTTCATGGCTTCTAAAAAGTCTAAAAATGAGAGACTGGTTACATGAATTATGAGAATTTATAGAATAGAATACTATGCAACCATTTAAAATAAAGCTCCATATTTAATGACTTGGAAAGATATTCACAATATAGAGCTATAACACACTAAAGCCACCTATGCAACTGCACACAACTGCATTTTTAGAAAGTAAAAAAGCTGTGTAGTAGAAAATGAGGTATTTTTATTTCCTTCTCTAGGTTTCTGTATTATCTGATTTAAAAAAAAATAGACATATATTTCTTAAAAAATTCATCTTATAGTATAAAACCCAATAAAATCACTTCTATTTTGAAAAAAATATTGTAATTGTTTGTGCCATCTGGCCATTCTTCAGATATGAGGCAATTACGTGTTACACTAGTGAAAGGTGGAAAAATGGCTTCAATTAGACAAACGGGAAACTAGCACCTCATTAATTGAAGAAATTAAAAAGAAGGAACTGTGCCTACTGGAGCTCTCTTCTTTTTATCAAACAGAAAAACTGAAAAGGCATTTACTTAGTCCATGTTGTGCTGCTATAACAAATTACCTAAGACTGGATAATTATAGTAAAAACAGAAATGTATTTCTCACAGTTCTGGAGACTGGGAAGTCCAAGACAAATCTGGTGAGAGTCCAGTCTCTGCTTCCAAGATGGCGCCTTCATGCTGCCTCCTCCAGAGGGGAGGAAGGCTGTGTCCTCACAGAAGGCAGAAGGGCAAGAGAGTTGAACTTCCTCCATCAAGCCCTTTTATAAGAGCACCTAATCTCATTCATGATGGCAGAGCCCTCATGTCTCAATCACCTCCCAAATGCCATACCTGTCAATACTGTCGCATTGGGGATTGCATTTCAGCATAAGTTTTGGAGGGGACAGAACATTCAAACTATAGCAACTTTTTTTTTTTTTTACATAGTCTTGCTCTGTCTCCCAGGCTGGAGTGCAATGGTGCAATCTCAGCTTACTGCAACCCCCACCTCCCGGGCTCAAGCGTTTCTCCTGCTTTGGCCTCCTGAGTAGCTGAGATTACAGGCGCCCACCACCATGTCTGGCTAATTTTTGTATTTTTAGTAGAGATGGGGTTTCACCATGTTGGCCAGGCTGGCCTCGAACTCCTGACCTCAGGTGATCCGCCTACTTTGGGCTCCCAAAGTGCTGGGATTACAGGCGTGAGTCACTGCTCCAGGCCTATAGCAACATTTTAAAAAATAGCCAAGAAAAGAAAAGTGCATCAGGAGCTGCGTGCATCTGTTTGGACAGCCACCATGAAATACCACAGACGGGTGCCTTAAATGACAGAAATGTATCTTCTCACGGTTCTGGAGGCTGAGAATCCCAGATCAAGGCCCTGTCAGGGTTGATTTCCGGTGAGGCCTCTTTCCCTGGCTTACAGACATCTGCCTTCTCACTGTACCCTCCCACGGCCACTCCTCTGTGCTTGCAGCGAGACAGGTCTCTGGTCTCTCTTCCTTTTCTTACACAGTCACCAGCCTTACTAGATTAGAACCTCATTCTTATCACCTCATTTAACCTTAATGATAATACTTCTTAAAGGCCCACTCTCCAAGTCATGTTGGGGGTTAGGGCTTCAACATATGAATTCTGGAGGAACACAATTTAGTCTATAACGGGAGACGGAGGTGTTGATTTGGTGCCCAGTAGAGACTCAGAACAGCTAATCTGGAGATGATGACTCACAAGCACTTCTTTTCTTCTTTTTCTGATACTGACACAAAACTATGCATGATTGGGATCTGGGGTCAGCTTCCTGGATGCTCCTAACGTCCTCCAGCCCCTGGAATGTCCTTTTCCTGCCATCTTCGTGTGACTTGCTGGAGGCTCTCCAGCATGCTCTAGATACAGAAGGTTCAAGGTCTCACCAAGCCTTCTGGAGACTTACCCAGATTTGGGGGTGGGGGATACAGCCTTATGTTCCCACAATGATCTCTTGTTACAAATTCCTGCTTTTCGTGCATCTTGGTGGCCTGTGTTCCTTGGTGGCCTGAGTTCCTTGGTGGCCTGTGTTCCTCGGTGGCCTGAGTTCCTTGGTGGCCTCAATTCCTTGGTGGCCTGAGTTCCTTGGTGGCCTGTGTTCCTTGGTGGCCTGAGTTCCTTGGTGGCCTGCATTCCTTGGTGGCCTCAATTCCTCTCTCTTCATTTCCCAAGGCACTAACAGCACAAGGATTTGATGAAAGTTTAGGGCTCAAGAGGAGTCCTACGTGCTGCTCGGATTAGGCAATGACTTGCAACTAACTACCAGCTGTTCCTGCCCAGGGCCTTCTCATTCTGGCAGCGCCCCCTGCTATGTTTTCTGAGGCCTGCACTCCATTTCTAGCCCCTTCTGTTCCTCTTCTCATCTTCTAGGCCCACAGAGTCTTTTCCCTCTAGAACTGCCAGAACACCCAAGTTCTCATTACTTTACTGAACTGAGCAATTTAATTCCCTCATCTCCCACTCTCCTCTGCCTAATCCCAAGTCACCCAGACTGGACAGGGCCTTCATCTTTCCTGACCAAAAGGCCCATAAATGTTTTCTTAAGCCTATGTGCCACCTACTTTTTTTTTTTTTTTGGAGACAGGGTCTCGCTCTGTCACCCAGGTGGGAGTACAGTGGTGCAATCTTGGCTTACTGCAGCCCACACTTTCTGGACTCAGGTTATCCTCCCACCTCAGTCTCCCACGTAGCTGGGACTACAGGCACACACCACCACACCCAACTATTTTTTTTTTTTTTTTGTAGAGACCACATTTCGTCATGTTGCCCAGGCTGGTCTGGGATGCCTGAGCTCAAGCGATCTGCCTTCCTCGGCCTCCCAAAGTGCTGGGATTACAGGTGTGAGTCAACACGACTGGCCGCCTGCTACATTGAACAATGCCTTTTCCCCTAGAATGTGAAAATTCTGTAAGAATTTCCCTTTTGAAATAGTAATCTCTCCTCATTAAAGGTGCACATATATCAGACTTTGGAGGCATCTAAGTTGCTGATACTCGCAACCCTTCTGTATTTCTGTACACACATGCCTATGTCTATACATACAAAATTAGTTCTTTAAATAAATAAAAATGGGTACGTTCTTTAAGAATCTGTTCCCATTTCTGTTGTACAAGCTTTAGAGGTATGGAAGCAAAACAAGAACATATGGAAATGGTATTCTGGGGTTTAGCACAGACATTTTGTAAGAAATTTCAAAGCATCGATGTCTCAAAGCATATTTGCAAAGTGGGGACTAGAACATGGAAACCAAGAGTTTCCATTTTGGTCGCGTTGCAGCTGTGCCAGGTCTTCAGAAAGCTCAACCCGAGACCTCCAGCCCTGCCGTTCCTTGCAGATGGTCCACTGGTCCAGGCTTCTTGCTCGGCTGGGCTTTTTCTCATTACACTCTTGTGGAGAGGGCACCCCTGGGGCCAGAAGAAAGATGATGTCCTCTACAATGGCCCCAGGATGCTTATTATGATTCCTCCTCAGCTCAGAGCAAGCCATGAATAATTTAGGGCGGCATTTCAACCCCTCGTCTCCACTGGCTGTTCAACAAATCCTTTTTCTCCCTCTTTCTGCCTTTGATTGCCCTGGGAATGTTTAATAAAGCATCTGGCATTGAGTTTGTGCCTCAGCGTTCAACAAGCGCGACTGACATGACCTCAGCACATGCGTGTGCATTGACTGGAGGCAGCATAAATACCGTCTTGAATTCATGACCTGGAAGCATCATGGGCTTAGTGTGGGTACCCACGCTCTGGAGGGACATTTGTAGCAACAGCAAGAAGGCCAGATAATGGCTCCATTTAACAGCCATTCAGGACCATAAATATATTTCCTCGAATAAATCTGCTGATTACCCGCGCGCTGACTTGACAGCTCAGCCAAGTGGTTTGCCCTAAATGTTGCAAAAGGCCCTGCCACGAATCCATCCGTGTGGAGGACCCGGATAAAGAAAGACAATTGGTGGGTCCTTTTCGGAAATGATTGTACCACATGAGAAAAGAGATGGGGACAAAAAATCTCACAGGAGCAAGCATTTAATATCTGGCCAGTTGCCTCTACAAAATCATAACTACTGCTTCAGGAAAAATTGGCCACAATTCACATCCCAGACATGTGTTACGACAAATATTTTTGAGAAGACCAAAAAAACAAAAACAAAAAAATCCCCTGTGTTTTCTTTCAGATACATGATAAGGATGAGGGTGGACAATCGAATGCCGGTTTGTTACACCTTTAGGGGGTCAGGTTGTTTAAGATCCTTCAGGGTCTTCCCTTGGCTTTTGGGATAAAGTTTAAATTTCTTCCCATGGCAGAAGAGACACTTCCCGGTTCGACTGCATCCTCTTTGCCACAGAGAGTCTTTGTGATCTGTTCTAACCTTAGAGAACCACCGGCAAACGACTCGTTACCTGGAGTTTTCTCCCCTTTCCCATCCCCATCTCTCCTCACCTGGTGAAGCCTAATTTACCATTAGGAATTCAATCGATCGGTCATTCCCTCTGCAAAATCTCTGTTGAGTCCCTTCTCCTACCCCAGCCTGATTGGATGTCCGTCCACCTTGCTCCTCCAGACCCCGACGGCCAGCATGGGTTGTCTTGTGTGGTTTTCTTGCCCATCCTCCAGCTGGGAGAAGGGGCCACGTCCCTGCGCTGGATCATAGCAGGCGTTTGATGGCCATCTCTCCAACAAGAGACAGCATGCAGTGGACTCCTATGGTGTGCCAAGCCCTTCACCTGCCTTATCTCCTAGTCCTCCCAACCAGCCTTAGGGGGTGGGGACTAGTAATAGCCACAGTTTTCAGGTGAGGGAGCTAGGCATAGAAAGCTTCAGCAACCTCCCCAAGGTCAGGCATGTGGCCAGTAAGTGCTGGGGCCAGGCCTGCACCCGAGCACCTGCACTCCTGGGCTGAGTGAATAAACGCACGAGTCCAGGCATGCCAGGGAGACATCTTTCCTGTTATTTCCTGAGAGTGGAGGGTGGAGAGGAGCCCGCAGGGTTCTTGGTCACACACACCGGAGAGCAGGTGAGTCTGATGCTTGCGTTTGGTGCCGGCGGGGCAGGCCGGGGCGGGGCGGGAGAGTAGGGGGGAGAGGCTGCTCCTCCCCTTCCATGTCTTCTTGCTTCATGGACGTCTTGTCAGCTCCTTGCTGTAGGGGTAACAGTCACAGATTAGAGGAGTAGAAGTAGACTATTCATTGTCTTCAACTGTAAACAATACGCCCTACTTGTCCTTATTACTGCTACTCAAACATCAACATCTTAGAAAAAATGCCTCCTCCCTCCAGATCTTCTTCAGACTGAAACCCTATCGCAGGGGCCTCCCGCTTGCACGGGGTCTCAGCCACAAATCATCAGAGGCAGCGGCTCCACAGCTGCCCCCTTCCGGGCTCTGACGACCCATCCCTTAGAGCCAGGTGGGGAGGGAGGGAGAGGTGATCAAGAGGAATGGCGGGAACCAACCCCGGAGGGGACTGAGCTGGCGGTCAGGCTCCAGCAGAACTTGCCTTTGGTTGTCCAGAGAGAGCATGGCTGCTGGACGCCCAGGCAGGCTGCAAACCGTGCCCGTTAGACGTGTCTAGTGCTGCAGCGTGGAACGGGGCTTGGGGCTGAGTGCGCCCTACGTTTGCCTGTGGAAGATGAGCAGGAAGGGAGAAGGGAAGGCAGGGAGAAAGGAGGGAGGGAGGAAGGAAAGAAGGGAGAGAGAGGGGGAGGAAAGAAGGGAGGGAGGCAGAAAGGAGAAGGGAAGGAAGAAAGAAAAAGGGAGGGAAGAAAGAAAGGAGGGAGGGAAGGAAGGAAGAAGGGAAGGAAGAAAGAAGGAAAGGGACGATGTTGGAGGAAACCCAGACTCGGAGGATAGGCAGACTGAAGTTTTGAAGAGGTGTGGCTTAGGCCTGAGGGAAGAAGAGCCACCGGCCATGGCTAACTCAAGGTGGGCTCACATCTGAGGGTAGGCGTCATGTTTAGAATGGTGAGTTTCATTTTCAACTTTTTTTTCAACATCTCCTCTTTCCCATAGTTTGATTTTGTAAGGCCTTAGATGCATGTTAATTTTCCTGTCTGCAGGGCTTGGATTTGATGGACGGACTAGTTGCCCCACTGGGATCCTGAACGGCCCTCTCAGTGGCCCAGGGGCTCAGAGGCAGACCCCTTGACCTTAGTCCCAACTTGTGTCTACTCACTCAGCATCTCGTGGTTCAGAACTGCTTGGTTGCCGCTTGAAACATGAAGCTAGTTTACAACAGTTATGTTTTAATTTTAGGCATAATTGCTTTTTGAATAGAAGAGAATGATTCTGACATTACAGCATAGGTTCCAGAGTTAGTTCACTGTAATTCAGTTCCCACAATTTTACCACGAAGGCCTCCTAATGAGATTAAATCTAAGCATTACACAGTTGCCCATTTATTATTTTTCCTTGGCATGCCCAGATAGATGGTGATGACTAACCTGAACTCTGATTATTTTACCACAATAAGGTCAGCTCATTGAGGGCTCATGGCTGAGACCCAGAAAATATCATAACTCACTCAAGATAAGGTCTATGTCATGGAGTAAATCACAAACTCTATAGTTAGAACAACCCTCCCATGTACACTGATGTTCACTTTCAGCCGTGTTCTTAATCAGCTCTTGCACACAATGCGTTCTCTATTTGAAGGGTTTGCTGCTTTAATCTCAGACAATAACGGCCATTCACTTACTCTTGCCCGCACCTGCCTTCTCGATACTACAATTCCTTCACTGGAATCGCCCTCTCATTGACCTAAATCATTCATTACAAAGTATTTCAGACAAGCTCTCGATAACCCTGGAGTAGAGGTGGCACCTGTCTTTCTTTCATTTACAATACCTTTCCACTCCAGAAAGCTCCAGTCACCACTCAGAAAGATTTCTTTTCTCCTATGTTTACAATAAGCAGCTTTGCCTTTAGTAACAAAACCTGAGACCACCAGATCTTTGGGTCTACTTATTTATCCAACAAGGTTGATGAGAGCTGACGCGAGGAAGCAGGTATTCTACATTCCCAGTGGGAGTGAAAGGGGATAGAACATTTCTGGAGAGCAATTTTATAGTATGTAGCAAAAGCTTCAGAATAAAATCATCAATAAAATATTAACATTAAGTAATTAGCCATTACTATTAACTAATAATATTAAATAAATTATTAATACTTCTAAATTATTTATCCAAATAAGTGTATTTCAAGAAATTTCTTTTTTATGCTTAAAAATGCACATGTACAGTATGCTTAAAAACACACCCAGGAATGTTCAGAGTGTCTCCCTCTGTGGTAAGTTTACAGATGACTTTTCTTTGTTTTATTTCTACTTTCTACATGTAAAAAAGGATGGTGCTGTATTACTTTTGTAATATAAAAAAGCAAACAACAGCCACCAAAAAAGAGGGAGGGGAAAGAAAAAGGAAAGGGAGAGTGAGAAGGAAAAAGGAAAAAAAAGGCTGAATGACTGATACCTGACGTAAAAAAATAAATACATAAGTATGAAGGTCCTCGAACGTGGCCTATTTGTATATGCCGTAATTTGACCCGTGCCTCTCCCCTGATAACATGGAGGGAAACGGCACTTACGTTTCGTGCTTTCAGAGCCCGTAAGCAATCTAACTGAGTTCTGTGGATCTTTGGCCCTTGATTTCTGTCCCATCACAACAAAGAAAACAGAGCACATGCTGGCTTTGACAGAACTGATTTAATTATATTTGCTTACATGAGCCAGTCAGGGCTTGTGAAACACCATGCCTTCAGGGGTTGAAATACACCTGGCCTTTGATCACGGCAGAGTGAAAACTTCTCCTCACACTCATGTCTGCATCCTAGGAAGAAGGTTCTGATGCTTCTGCATCCTAGGAAGAAGGTTCTGATGCTGGGGTTGATGGGAGTCCCTAAGGGTTCCTGGCACTGCCCTAACCTGCTCACTCGTGGTCTCAAAGAAATTCTACTCCTTAAATAATTTCTTCTAAGCAAGACCGGATCTTCTACTCCCTTTGGCGTTCCTTCAAAACTTGTCAACATATCTGCAGGCACATAGTCTTCGTGTAGGCGTTCTAGACTAATGAAATGTTTCTGCTTCTCATTTCTTCCACCTTGGGGATTGCTGAGGTAATATTCTAACTATAACCTGCAAGAAGATCGGGGGAAGATTTTCATACACCTGCGTGGCTTTGGAAACTGGGGAAGCTGGGGCACCTCATGAACTAAAGAAACAGAAACAAACATGAGGGCTCCTAAAGCTGGAGTGTCTGAGCCATAGGAAAGAGGGTGGGGTATCGAGCTGTGGCGGGAACTTGCAATCTCCTGTGATCTGTTTTATCGACATGGCAGCCTGCAGTGGTCCACACGCACCAGCAGGGATCCTCCTCTCCCAAGGTGTGCTTTATATGTGTGGCTGTGTGAAAATTATTGAAAACCATGTTTTTGTTTTGTTTTGTTTTGTTTTTGAGACAGTCTTGTTCTGTCACCCAGGCTGAAGTGCGATGGCATGATCTCAGCTCACTGCAACCTCTGCCTCCCGGATTCAGGCAATTCTCCTGCCTCAGCCTCCCAAGTATCTGGGATTACAGGCACCCACCACGCCTGGCTAATTTTTGTATTTTTAGTAGAGGCGGAGTTTCACCATGTTGGCAAGAATGGTCTTGAATTCCTGACCTCAGGTGATCCACCTGCCTTGGCTTCCCAAAGCGCTGGGATTACAGGCATGAGCCACCGCTCCTAGCCCATCTCTCTTTTTTTTTTTTTCTGTTTGACGAGGTCTCACTCTGTCAGCCAGGCTGGAGTGCAGTGGCACAATCATGGCTTACTGCAGCCTTGACCTCCTGGGCTCAAGTGACTCTGCTGCCTCAGCCTCCTGAGTAACTGGGACTACAGGTATGTGCCACCACACCCAGCTAACTTTTAAAAAGTTTTTGTAGAGATAGGGTTTTGCCATGTTTCCCAGGCTGGTCTGGAACTCCTGGGCTCAAGCAATCTGCTCACCTCGACCTCCCAAAATGCTGGGATTACAGGTGTGAGCCACTGCATCGGGCCAAAAACCGTCTCTTAATGGATACACTTATTTCAATACCCATTAGAAGAGGAAGGCATTTAGAAGTTATTTCAGTCTTTAAATGCTTATTTTTCCACCACCATGTATAAATAGAAAGAGAAAAAAAGCTAGAAATCGTCGTCTGCCTGAGCAGAAATGCCATGTACCTCACTGGCTGCAAGTACTTGTGCTGTAGGTTGAAAGGTGACCCCTACAAAATATGTCCACTTGGAACTGTGAATGTGACCTTATTTGGAAAAAGGGTCTTTGCAAATGTAATTAAGTTACAGATCTTGAGATGAGATCATCCTGGATTATCTGGCGAGTCCCAAGCCCAGTGACAAGTGTCCTTATACAAATATGGGAAGACATAGGCAGAAGACAGAACACTCAAGAAGGCCACATGAATGAAGTCAGAGGCAGAGACTGGGGTGACACAACTGCCACTAGAAGCTGGATGAGGCAAGGCAAGGAGTGCCCCAGAGCCCGCAGAGGGAACATAGCCCCACCACTACTTCGATGTGGGGCTCCTGGGCCCTAGAACTGTAAGAGAGTAAATTCCCATTGTTGTAAGCCACAGAAGATCTCTCTTTTTTTTGAGATGGAGTGTTTGCTCTGTCACCAGGCTGGAGTGCAATGGCACGATCTTGGCTCACTGCAACCTCTGCCTCCCGGGTTCAAACAATTCTTCTTCCTCAGCCTCCTGAGTAGCTGGGATTACAGGCACACACAACCACACCTGGATAATTTTTGTATTTTTAGTAGAGATGAGGTTTCACCACGTTGGCCAGGCTGGTCTTGAACTCTTGACCTCATGTGATCCACCCGCCTCAGCCTCCCAAAGTGCTGGGATTACAGGCATGAGCCACTGGGCCTGGCCCACAGCAGACTTCTTACAGCAGATTTAGGACATGAGTACGCCTTGTCTTTATTCATTATCCATCCTTGTCAGCCCTCTGGTCACCTGGTAGGGTTGGAAACAGCAAATTGATACGTGCCTATCACTCTAGAGAGCCCTTTTTCATTAAAAAAAAGGTAGCTGTTTTGGGAATGCACGTCCTGAAATGCATTTCAGTTCCGCAAATTTACCTGTTCAACGAGTTTTCTCTTTTAAATTTCTGAATCTCAGTTTCTTTCTCACATTTCCTCTCTGTGTACTTCCCACATTTCTGTGGCACCCTGACTTTTGACCCCTGGAGAACTCCCTAAACAGCAGAGGTGACGGGAGGGGACAGGCAGTGTGCTTCCATCTGCCCAGCTACCCAGGAGCGCTGCTTTTACTCACAATCCTATGACTGGCCTCCTTGTCCATATTTTACCCTTCTCCTAAAACCCAAGTGAGCAGATCACTTGAGGTCACGAGTTCAAGACCAGCCTAACCAACATGGTGAAACCTCATCTCTACTAAAAATACAAAAATTAGCCAGGTGTGATGGCGTATGCCTGTAATCCCAGCTACTCAGGAGGCTGAGGCAGGAGAATTGCTTGAATCCGGGAAGCAGAGGTTGCAGTGAGCTCTTTCAAGCGCAAGTTACAGAGACTTAGCATGAATTACTGTAATAAAAAAAAAACAGGCAATGGCTGGGTGTAGGAGCTGATGCCTGTAATCCCAGCACTTTGGGAGGCTGAGGCGGGAGAATCACTTGAGCTCAGGAGTTTGAGACCCACCCGGGCAACATAGCCCGACCTCGTCTCTACAAAAAGAAAAACAAAGGACATGAATTGACACATAACTGGGCAGGGCCAGACTGGTGCTACCTGTAGAATGGACTAGATCCATGACTGAAACACACCGTCAAGTCTCCCCTCCCTCTTGTCTCTCATACTCTGGCTTGCCTCCTCATCTGCGTTACCTCTCCCCCATCAGGCTGAGGTTGAATGGCCATCTCTGCTCTTTCTGTCTTCTTTGTCGAAACGACAAGCATGCAAAACCCTGCTGAACCGTGCGAGATAAATAGGAAATCCATCCCGGTGGTGATACTGGAAGTGTCACCTCCAAATCCATAGGAATCAGCATGGAGAATTGCTAAGCTTCTTAGGAGAGGGACCCCAGCTCCCTTTGTCTTCTCTCTGAGTCTGCACAGGGCTGTCTTCCCATAAGGACACACTCATGTGCTCCAGCGTGCGCTCATTGTAACTGATTCCATCTGCAATGACCTTATTTCCAAATAAGGTCACCATCCGAGGAAGTGGCATGACGGACTTTAACAGAGCTTTCTGAGGCGACACCGTTCACTCCGGAACAGAGACTGAGATGCAGCTGCCTAAGAAACGCTCTGGGCTGGAATGTAAGTGAAGAAAGTGGCTTGGAGTGCTGCCACTGGGTTAACTAAGGAGAGGGCTGAAATGACCCGTTTCAGGGGACCCATGGGACACAAGCCTGATGGGCACAAGTTCCTGAGGGAAATGGAGAAGAGAAATTGGGAATTGCAAATACAGAAAAGTTGTTTTAGGAGTTGCTGTGAAGAGAGGGAGAAAGATAGGGTAGTGGCTGGAACAAGACGTGGCGCCAAGAGAGGGTGTGTTGTTTCGGGGAGGACCCTTAGCCCATGCTGATGGGTGAGAGCCAGAACAGAGCGGAGAGTGGAGGATGCCTGAGAGAAGGGGGAGGATTGCTGGAGGGGAGAGGATCTGTGCTCAAGGAAGGGGTGGTTTAGAAATGGCAGCCACAGGCTGGGCGCGGTGGCTCACGCCTGTAATCCCAGTACTTTGGGAGGCTGAGACGGGCAGATCATGAGGTCAGGAGTTCAAGACCAGCCTGACCAACGTGGTGAAACCCCCTGTCTACTAAAAATACAAAAATAAAATTAGCCGGGTGTGGTGGTGCGCACCTGTAATCCCAGCTACTCAGGAGGCTGAGACAGGAGAATCCCTTGAACCCGGGAGGCGGAGGTTGCAGTGAACTGAGATCATGCCATTGCACTCCAGCCTGGGTGACAGAGCGAGACTTCGTCTCAAAAAAAAAAAAAAAAAGAAAAGAAAAGAAAAGAAAAGAAAAGAAAAGAAAAGAAAAGAAAAGAAAAGAAAAGAAAAGAAATGCAGTATTCAGGCCTCCTCTGAGCCGTTCAAGTGCATTTAAACTGTTCAGGCTTGTGCTGAGCCGCACAGGCGGGAAATCCTTGGGTGAAATACACTGACTCACTGATGAATATGTGTAGTTTTGTTCCTGGAAATACTTGTTTCTCTGGGTTATTTCACTGTGTTGGGATAATTTTGCATGCTGTTCTATCTGGATCTGCCAGACTTCATCTGGACAACAGATGCATCAGCTACACTAAGGCCCGATCCGAGACTTCTGATGCATAAAGCATGCAACTTCGCGCACGGATGTACTTTCCATTTGAAGTACTGCTAGAGATTTGTGCCCTCAAACACGGGAATTTTGGTAAGTTCTATTTCACACCATTTCCATAAAAAAGAAATATGTTCCATTTACTATGATGTACTATGCATTCTGAAGGATATATGAAACGGGCGAGACCTTCCATCTCGACGAGGTGTTAATGAGAACAGAATCTACTGCTTACAGTTTTATGTATCTGAGGTTGGAAGATTTTCCACAGGCCAGCATCTGGTTCTGCACACTTCAAACCTTGTGTCTGTCACTCTGTAACCAGAAAGGGGTCCCGATCCAGACCCCAAGAGAAGGTTCTTGCACTTCGCACAAGAAAGAATTCTGGGTGCATCCACAGAGTAAAGTGAAAGCAAGTTTATTAAGAAAGTAAAGGAATAAGAATGGCTACTCCACGGACAGGGCAGCGGCTTGGCTGCCCACTGATTACACTTATAGTTATTTCTTGATTATATGCCAGATAAGGGGTTGATTATTCATGAATTTTCTGGGAAAAGGATGGGCTATTCCCGGAATTGAGGGTCCCTCCCCCTTAGACCATATAGGGCAACTTCCTCACGTTGCCACGGCATCTCTAAACTGTCCTGACGCTGGTGGAAATGTGAGTCAGCATGCCAATGCATTATAATCAGCATATAATGGCAGTGAGGACAACCAGAGGTCACTGTTGTCACCATCTTGGTTTGGTGGGTTCTGACCAGCTTCTTTAACACGTGCTGTTTCATCAGCAAGGTCTTTGTGACCTATATCTTGTGCCAACCTCTTATCTCATCTGTGACTAAGAATGCCTAACCTCCTGGGAATGCAGGAGGTCTCAGCCTCATTTTACCCACTGCCTATTCAAGATGGAGTCACTGTGGTTCGATTGCCTCTGACAACACTGCTTTTGGAGTTCTGGGGCCAGCCCCCATGGCCACATTCACCTTGCCATTGTGCCACAGCCAGCGTCGTCAGGCAGGCTGTGATGCCGGGCACATCAGCAAGGTAGGGAGTGGGAGGGTGACCAGCAACCTGATGCATGGGAATAACTGTCAACCACAGAGACGTTGCCCCTAACCTCAATTAAATGTAGCCCCATTCGATTTCTCCTGAGTCAAATCCCCCAAAAGCAGATGCTCCAACGCTGGCCCCCATGAGGGGAAGGAGGGTGAGGGGAAAGACAGGGAGGGAAGAGAGAGTAGCCTTGACTGATTGCAAAGTATCCTACTCGCAAATTTTAAGAAAAACATGACCAATTTGTGACCAAATTACTAGGCCCCTCCCAGGATCTGGAACGGACTCCTGCGGGTGCAGGGCCCTGGAGCGCACTTACATTAGCATCACCAAGTCCGCCTCTGGTGCAAAGAGGTGGTTTCCTGCCATAAGAAAATGGGCGCAGGCGTCCAGCAAGACCGTGGACTCCCATAGGTTTCTGGCCCTCTACCTCCAGACCGACCCCGCAGAGAAGTGTGGATTAGAGGAACTAACAAAAATAGCACGTTCTGTTTTTTCCCATTTCTCAAGGCGCTGTGGAATAATTATTGCTTGTCCCCATCCACCACAGAAATCTGCAGCAGCAGTCCAGGCCATTGGGGCCAGTGTCTGGGACACCGATATTGGGGCAGGACAGGGTCAGGAGAGGAAAGGGACGGAGGTGGAGGAAAGCAGATGGGCTCCACCACTGTGCTGGGTGTTGTACCACTCCTGCACCCTCTTCAGCTCCATGGGGAGACTGTCTCCTCCCTGTCACTTATTTCCAAGAGCCTAAAAGCTAGACAAGAGGAAAGGCGCTGTCTGGTGGAATGGCAGCTGTATTAGGGTCCTCTGGAGAAACAGAACCCCAGGCTCTCTGTGCATAGAGAAGAGGCGATCTACTGTTTGGCTCATGGGTTATGAGAAGGAGGCTGAGAAGTGCCATGATCTGCTCTCTGCCGGCTCAAGATCCAGGAATGCTGGTGATGCAATTCAGTCTGAGGCTGAAGCCCTGAGAACCCCAACCCCTGGGGCCTGGGGGCTGGGGTTGGAGGAAGGGCTCTAATACAAGCCCCAGAGTCCAAAGGCCCTAGAACCGGGAGCTCTGATGTCCAAGGACAGAAGAAGATGGATGTCTCAGTTCAAGGGGAAAGAGAGAGAAAGGGAGAATTCAGCCTTCTTCTGCTTTTGTATTCTATTCGGGCCCTCAGGAGATGGCATGATGCTCATCCACATTGGAGAGGGAGGTCTTCTTTACTCAGTCCACCGAGGCAAATGCCAGTCTCTGCTGGAGACACCCTCACAGACACGCCCAGAAATAATGTTTCACCAGCTGTCTGGGTATCCCTCAGCACAGCCAAGTTGACGTATAAAATTAACCATCACAGCAGCAGACAGGGGTGGTCAGTCAGGAGCTCTACGGTCCCCGTGTCTCCCCGCCCTGTAGCTCATCCCTCCCTGCTCCTTAGCTTCCCAAGAGGCACCTCCACTAGGATCTGGCCTTCAGCCCAAATGGGCACTCCCTGACAGAGTGGCCAGTGCCCCCGGGAAACATGAGCTTAGAGACCAAAGTAACTAGGCACCCTGCGGTACATCATCATAAAAGAAAAGCCAAAAAGTGGAACAACATATACCATCTAAAGCAGAATTATTGGAACAGGCTGACTAGGACTTTAAAATATTTATTATTTAGGGCTGGGCGCAGTGGCTCATGCGTGTAATCCCAGCACTTTGGGATGCCGAGGTGGGCGGATCACAAGGTCAGGAGATCGAGACTATCCTGGCTTACATGGTGAAACCCCGTCTCTACTAAAAATACAAAAAAATTAGCCAGGCGTGGTGGCGGGTGCCTGTAGTCCCAGCTACTCGGGGGGGCTGAGGCAGGAGAAGGGCTTGAACCTGGGAGGCGGAGCTTGCAGTTAGCCGAGATGGTGCCACTGCACTCCAGCCTGGATGACAGAGCAAGGTTCTGTCCCAAAAAAAAAAAAAAAAAAAAAAAGTATGTGTGTATATATATCATTTATTTTAATAGAAAAGGAAGATATTGATCATATAAAACAGGAACAATAAGTCATTATTTATTATTATTTACTTTATTTTATTTTTGAGATGGAGTCTTACTCCATTGCCTAGGCTGGAGTGCAGTGGCGCTACCTCGGCTCACTGCAACCTTTACCTACTGGGTTCAAGTGGTTCTCCTACCTCAGCCTCGGAGTAGCTGGGATTACAGGTGTCCACCATCACACCCAGCTTTAAGCCATTATTTTTAAAGAACTAAGGGCCGGGCGTGGTGGCTCATGCCTGTAATCCCAGCACTTTGGGAGGCTGGGGTGGGGAGGGGATCACAAGGTCAGGAGATCGAGACCATCCTGGCTAACATGGTGAAAACCCATCTCTACTAAAAATACAAAAAATTAGCTGGGCATGGTGGTGGGCACCTGTAGTCCCAGCTACGTGGGAGGCTGAGGCAGGAGAATGGCGTGAACATGGGAGGCAGAGGTTGCAGTGAGCCGAGATCGCGCCACTGCACTCCAGCCCGGGCGACAGAGCAAGACTCTGTCTCAAAAAAAAAAAAAAGAACTAAATAGAACTATGAAGTGTGAACGCATCTAGTTGAAATAAAGGGCTCAGTAGATGCAGTTTAAGGGTTTGATGTCAGTCAAGGTGCAGTGGCGGGCACTGTGGGAAGGAGTTTCCACACAGCAGCAGCAGGCAGCGGGACTGGACTCCTCCCCTGCTATGGGTGGCAGCCACCAGGCAGGTGGCCCCTGCTATCATAACACCTCGGAATCTTCACAGGAGCCAGAAATCTGCTCATCTGGCTTTTGTTGTTGCTGTTGTTTTATTTGTTTTAATGTGAATTCTCCACAATTTTAAATGTTGGCTCGATTATTAAAGAAAAAACTGGACAAAGCAAACAAGGCACGTCTGAGGGCCAGCACCACGGGTGGACTGCTGGTTTGCAAACTCCTCTGCACACCATTCTGTTGGGACGTTCTGTTGAGCCCAGTTGATTCATGATGTCTGAGCTGCTTAGAGTCCACATGATAATTCTTTTTCACAGTGAGGATCAATTACAGCATGAATTAAACCAAATGTGGCATTAGCTACCCAGCTAACACACAATAGACTACCACTGTTTAACACCTTATGTGTGACAGAGCCTTCCATGCCTTCTTTCATCTAATCCCACAACAACCCCCCAAGAGATCTGTCGCCATTTACTGTGAGCGGAGGCTCAGAGAGACTGAAATCAGAGCTGCACAGCTGTGTGCGGTGACACTGGGTCCTGCACGAGGGACAGACATGCTGAGACACAATGGCCTCTGCCCTGGAGGTGACAGCAGGACCTGGCACTCCCACCCTCTGTGTCCCCAGTGAATCAAACACATATTACAGTTTTTCTCTCAGGTCTCAGGTGTGAATCCAGATGGTTTGAAATGCTCACTTCCTAACCTGTAAAAAAATTGTAAAAGTCATTAAGAAATTTCTTAATGCATAAAACTTCACTTGCATATCATTATTGCTGGAAGTAAATTCCAAGAAAGTGGGCCCTGCCCATGAATATCAAGGAGGACATTTTGAACTGCCTGTACTGGAAATGCTGATGCAAGGGGGCTTGTGAAATCAGCAAATCTACGTTCCCAGAGCAGGAGGCCAGGAGGCCGGGCAGCCTTCGGGGTGGCTGGCTCCATGGGGTGCAGTTTCGTCAGGAACCCACTTCTCTCCACCTCTCCACTCTGCCGTCACCAGGGCTGACCTCCTCCTTGGAAGCAGGATGGCTGGGGCAGTTCTGTGTATCACATCCAGGCCAAGAAAGGGGCCATCTCTTCTCAGGGATCCTTCTAGACCTGATGAGACATTTCCTTGAAGCCCTGGGCGTTCTCATTTCCTGTTGGACAGAACTGGGTCCCAGTCCATTCTGGAACCCATCACCAGGAGGCGGGGAGTAGGCTTCTCTCAGGCTAGATGGGCCCAGCCTGACTGGGGTGAGGTTAGTTGGCCTCCCCGGGGACACATATTCAGGGAGTGTGGATCACAATGAGGTTGGGGTGGGGATGGAGATCTTTCAGGGAGGCCTCAAGGGGCGATGGGCCCTGGGCGGGTAACACACATGTCCCCGCACGTGTTGTGTGTACTCTGCATGAGTTCTGCGATGGCCATGACTGATGTTATTTCAGTATTGCACATGGCGTGGTCTGGTGCAGTGGCTCCCACCTGTAATCCCGCACTTTGCAAGGCCTACTCAGGAGGATCGTCTGAGGTGAGGAGTTTGAGACCAGCCTGGGCAACATAGCAAGACTCCATCTCAAAAAAAAAAAAAAAAAAAAAGAAAAGAAAAGAAAAAAAAAAGAAAACATTAGCTAGGCGTGGTGGTGCATACCTGTAGTCCCAGCTGCTTGGGAGGCTGAGGCGGGAGAATGGCTTGAGCCCGAAGTTTGAGGGCTTCCAGGAGAGGCTGCAGTGAGCTGTGATTGTGTCACTGCACTCCAGCCTGGGTGACAGAGTGAGACTGTCTCAAACTAAAAAAAAAAAAAGTATTATGCTTGGCATCCTGTCTCAACTGCAGATGCTGAAGGACTTTTCAGTGTAGTGGACCCTGGGGATTGGCAAAACAAACAACGTGTGTGGAAAGAGGGCAAAGTGAATAGTGATTTAAGGTGAAAACTGTTTTAAAAAAATAAAAATATAAAATGCTCACTTCACAAATGCAAATTCTGCAGAGGATACACTCTAGCGAAATGGGTCTATTCCTCCTCCTCCCCAGCCAGCCCCTGCCCGAGGCTGGGGACTCACAGGCTGTGTCCCAGACCTTGCCCTCACGGTCTGGTCCACCTGCCAATGCGCAGCACAGGACTCAGCATGGCCGGGGAACCACATGTTGCCTGGAGAGAGGCACAGACACAGTGGGAGAACTGGAGGAGGGGACAGAATGAAGCTGGGTCTGATTTCTCACATAGAAAATGGGGTTTGTGGCCAGGCGCAGTGGCTCACGCCTGTAAAACCCAGCACTTTGGGAGGCTGAGGTGGGTGGGTCACCTGAGGTCAGGAGTTCAAGACCAGCCTGGCCAACATGGCGAAATCCTGTTTCTACTAAAAATACAAAAAAAAAAAAAAAATAGCCAGGTGTGGTGGTGCACACCTGTAATCCCAGCTACTCAGGAGGCTGACAGGAGAATTGCTTGAACCTGGGAGGTGAAGGTTGCAGTGACCTGAGATCGTGCCACTGCACTCCAGCCTGGGCAACAGAGGGAGACTCTGCCTCAAAAAGAAAAAAAAAGAAAAAAAGAAAATGGGTTTGTGCCTGTTATGTAACCTTGAAGGGCTGAGAAAGCAGCCACACTCCCAAACCTCTGCTGGAGAAGGTTCTATTTGACTGTGGTCAGCTGTGGCCCCAAATCTGTGAACAACGGGCTGGGGCCAGAGAAAGTGGCATTCCGTGTAGAAATGCTACCGCGTTAGTGATTCAAGGAGGAACAATGGCCCGGAGATGTCTCCATCCTCAAGACGCTGGAGGGGTGACTGGGTGGCTCCAGTGGTGGGGAGAGTGTGGAGGGGAGAGAGGAGGGGGCCGTCAGGACACGTGGGCTGGGGGTCAGGGGGCTGTAGTCAGCCGTGTCCCGCAAAGCAGAAGTCCCCTGCTAGGTAGAGTCAGGACCAGGGCCGACTGGCACGGACCCCTCCAGGGGCGCCAAGAGCTTAAAACAAACAAGGCTGGAAGCAGCACAGCTGCGCTGCCGGCCCTGCAGGAGGGAGGGAGGGAGCCCAGGGCCTGGGTGAGGGTTGCGCGCGGCCCCTCCCAGGGGAGGAAGAGAGGAATAAAAGCCACGTGCGAGGCCACCACCAGGGAGGGGGGCGGGGGAAGAGGGTGGTGGCCGTGGGAGAAGCGGGGCGTAGCCACGAGAGCAGGGTGGGCCCCGGGGCCGGGCCGCGTGGGGTTCTCCGTCCTCCGGGTGCAGCCAGACCTGGCGGTGCAGCGGCAGCACCAGTGAGAGGCGAAGGGGGCCTGTGAGGCAAGGGGGACTTCCAGGCCCTGAGCATCTCAAGAAAACAGCCATGAAGCCCCACACCCAGGTGCCAGGTGCAGAGGCCAAGGGGTCCTGGGGACAGGAGCGGCTGATCTCCCTCAGGGTAGAGCAGCAGCGCGCCCAGGGACAGAACCGCCTGCCCTGCCGCGGGAGGGGGACAGGGACCCACCCTGGCCTGGGGCCCACAGAGTCCAGAGGACCAGGAGCTCGCCCCTGCTCCCAGCAGGAGGAAGGGAGCGGAGGAACACCCCTCCTGGGGACTTGAAGCTGGAATTGACTGAGTACTTACTGGATAGAGACCGGTTTAAACTGAGAGAGACTGTTCAAACTGGAGCAAAGTGAAAAGCTGTTACCCAGATAATGTAAGTTCTGTTCCTTGGGGGGCCCTGAAGAAGACTGGGTCAATTATGAAAATAGAGACAAAGCCATATTTCCTTGGCACACTTTGGTTATCTGCTATTAATACCGACATGCGGGTCGGGCGCGGTGGCTCATGCCTGTAATCCCAGCACTTTGGGAAGCTGAGGCGGGCAGATCACTTGAGGTCATGAGTTCGAGGCCAGCCTGGCCAACATGGTGAAACCGTGTCTCTCCGAAAAATACAAAAATTATACGGGTGTGGTGGCGGATGCCTGTAATCGCAGCTACTTGGGAGGCTGAGGCAGGAGAATCACTTGAACCCGGGAGGCGGAGGTTTCAGTGAGCCCATTGTGCCACTGCACTGGGCAACAGAGTGAGACTATCTCAAAAAAAAAAAAAAAAAAAGCTGTGAATGCCCAACAAGTTAGTTTTTTTACAAAAAAAAAACTATATATAGTGTATATTTTCCATACCTTACCTCTATTTTTTTAAGTAAACAATATATTGTGAATATTCATTGAAGCCAACACTTAAAGATCCATCACCTTTTAAAACTGTTCCAGAGACTTCCATACTACAATTTTAATTTCTTCAGTCCTCTATGGATGGAGGTTTAGATGAGGCTTATGTTTTCCCTTTTACAAAGTAATTCTGCGGTGAACATCCTTGAATAGTGATCTTTGTAAGAATGTCTTCAGAATCAATTTCTAGAAGTGGAAATTGTGGGAAGAAATGTATATGTATATTAAATTCTGAGAGGTACTTGGGACATCTTTTGATACTGGTGGAGGCTCTGGGAAGTTATTAAGAGAAGTGATAATGGAGGGTCAGGCCCCCGGCTGCTGTGGGGAAAAGAAGTATTCTCCATTATTCAAAATGTTCCTCTCCAAGAATTGGAGCATTGTAAGTTAAAAGTCTAATGAGTTGTAAGTGGCATATTTACAGAGTTTATACATTTCTAAATCCCGAACTGGATTTATAATATGATAGCAATATAGGAGTTTTAAGTTAAATTACATTTTATATTAAATTAAATTTCCTCCAAAACCCCGCACAGAATGTTTCCATAGGGCCAAGCCTGGCAAGAGTCTTTGGCGTATAATCAATCAAAGAAAAAATAGACAAGTTGGACATCATCAAAACCAAAATTTTTGTGCTTCAAAGGACACCATGAAAACAGTGAAAAGAAACTAACTGGTAGAAAATGTTTGCAAATCACATCTCTGATACAGAGGTTGCATTTAAAATATGTATAAATAATTATTCCAACTCAATAATAAAAAGACAACCGAATTTAAAAATGGGCAAAGGATCTGAATAGATATTTCCCCAGAGAAGATGCACAAATGGCCAACAGGCATATGAAAAAGTCCTCAACATCATGCATCCTCAGGGAAATGCAAATCAAAACTGCCGTGAGACTGCACAGTGACGAGGACCGCTAGAATAAAGAAGACAGATAATAACAAGTATTAGTGAGGATGGGAGAAATGGGAACCGCATACACTCTGGTGGGAATGCAAAGTGGTGCAGTCACTTTGGAAAACAATTCAGTGGTTCCTCCAAAGGCTAAACATAGAGCTCCGATATGACCCAGAACTTCCACCCTTAGACATACACCCAAGAGAAATGAAAACATACGTCCACCCACAAACTTGTACATAAAGGTTCATAGCAGCATTCTTAATAATAGCCAAAAAGTGGACACAATCCAAATGATCAGCAACTGATGAGTGGATTAATACAATGCGGTCTCCTCGTATAACACAATATTATTTTGCCATAACGAGGAATGGAGTAGTGTTACAGGCTGCAACCTGGATGAACTTTGAAGACATTACGCTAAGTGAAAGAAGTACAAAGACCACATATTGTACCATTCCATTTATATGCAATGTCCAGAACAGGAAAATCTATAGAAACAGAAAGTGGATTCATGGTAGCCTAGATGTGGGGGTAATGGGAGGAGGATGAGGGAGTGAGGGCTGAAGGGTCTGGGTTTCTTTGAGGGGTGACGGAGATGTTTTAAAATTGGTTGTGGTGATGATTGCACAGCTCTGGGATATGCTAAAAGCCATGGAATCGAACACTTCAAATGGATGAATTGTATGATATGTGAATTAGAGCTCAATAAAGCTGTTCCCAAATAGTCTTTCTTTCTCTCCTTTTTTTTTTTTTTTTTTTTTTGAGACAGAGTCTTGCTCTGTCACCCAGGCTGGAGTGCAGTAGTGCGATCTCAGCTCACTGCAACCTCTGCCTCCTGAGTTCAAGCGATTCTCCTGCCTCAGCCTTCCAGTAGCTGGGATTACGGGTGTGTGCCACCACGCCCAGCTAATTTTTGTATTTTTAGTAGAGACAGGGTTTCACCATGTTGGCCAGGCTGGTCTTGAACTGCTGACCTCAGGTGATCCACCTGCCTCGGCCTCCTAAAGTGCTGGGATTATAGGCGTGAGCCCCGGTGCCCGGCCCAAATAATCTTTTGATTGGGACCTAATCATAATAAAATTGGGAGAGGAGAATTGGTGGTCCCTGTTTCCAGAAGCTCCCAATTTGCACCAGGATTGTTGCTGATGAGCTTCTCAGCTGTCAGACCTTAAATATCCCTGATATGAGGTTGTTGCTCATTCACTTCCTCCAGCATAACTCCTTTCCATTCCACACAGCAAATGCCAGCCCAGACGGACCAATTGTCCCAGAGAAGGTAGGGGACATCTTAGCCTTCTAATTCAAATGGAAAATTTCCTGCTCCCCTGTTGTCAATTCCTGCCCGGCACTACGTGCAGCGGAGATGAGAAAAGCCACTTCCTTTGCATTCATCTGGACTGCTGTGCTTGGAGAACAGAGGAGCATGCATTCTGGCTGAGGGAGGTGTGCAAATATGACGTGCAAGTCAGAGACAAAGTGACCTGGCAAACGAATGCTCTGACAGCGCATCCCCGGCCATGTCCCAGGGATCCCATCCTTTGGGTTGTTGTCCTTCTAAAGAGACATCTGCTTTTGAAAACTGTGCTTTGTGGCCGGGCGCGGTGGCTCACGTCTGTAATCCCAGCACTTTGGGAGGCCGAGGCGGGCGGATCACGAGGTCAGGAGATCGACACCACGGTGAAACCCCGTCTCTACTAAAAATACAAAAAAAATTAGCTGGGCGCGGTGGCGGGTGCCTGTAGTCCCAGCTACTCGGGAGGCTGAGGCAGGAGAATGGCGAGAACCCGGGAGGCGGAGCTTGCAGTGAGCTGAGATCGCGCCACTGCACTCCAGCCTGGGCGACAGAGCGAGACTCCGTCTCAAAAAAAAAAGGAAAACTGTGCTTTGTAAATGATGAACTTGAGCAACGCAAAGAAAGGACCTAGTGAACATTTAAATTCAACTTATTTCCTTTTAGGCTATCTTGTTATGTTTGTAGAACACTTAAGCATTTACAAAAATATAGTTCCATGCAGCATGCGTGTGCTGCTTTACATTGTATCATTGCTTAAATATTCCAACGTTAATGCGTCAAAATGGTCCTTTCCTTGTCATTTTCTTTACTTTTTTTTTTTTTTTTTTTTTTTTTTGAGACAGAGTTTTGCTCTTGTTGTCCAGGCTGGAGTGCAATGGTGTGATCTAAGCTAACTGCAACCTCCACTTCCTGGGTTCAAGCAATTCTCCTGCCTCAGCCTCTCGAGTAGCTGGGATTTCAGGCGCCCGCCACCATGCCCGGCTAATTTCTGTATTTTTAGTAGAGAGGGGGTTTCACCATATCTCTGCTCCTGACCTCAGGTGATCCACCCACCTCGGCCTCCCAAAGTGCTGGGATTACAGGGTGAGCCACCGCACTTGGCCCTGTCCTTGTCATTTTCAATGGCCATAAAGTATTTCATGGCACTCCATAATTTGTTTAGCTCTTTCCTCTATTGTTTGTCTGGTTTGTTTCCAGTTTTATACCGTGTGCAGTTGCAGCTGCTGTGTATTTATTTGTACATATTAGCTTTTTTCTTTGAAATTATTTTCTTGTAGTGTATTCCCAAAAGTGGGATTATTGGGCCAAACAGTTCCATAGCTCTTGTTACATTATTGTCTGATCTTTCTCAAGAAAGAAAGAAAGAAAGGAACACCATAAGAAGCCATCACATATGGGCATGCTTATTTCCTGAAAGTCCTGCCAGTATTGTGCTTTATTCTTTAAAAAAAAAAAAAATTGTGCTACCTTAATAGACAGGAGATTGTTTTAAGTGACATTTCTGTCATTTCTGTCATTGCTGGGGGTTTGAAATACACCAACTTGGCATGGGCCCAGATGTCCACAGGTCTGTGTCGGGATCCCAGCCCGAAATCATGCAGCCAGCCACACCCGGAGGAGAATAAAGGGTCAACTAAGAGGCAAGCCAGCCAGTGCCCGGCTGCGGTTTCCCAACACCACGAGACTCACTGCAGGGAGCCCTGGGCCTCACGTGTGTGGGACACCCCAGATGCTCTGTGAATGTGGACTCCACATATTTGGTCCCTGGGGGGACACTGCAAGAATTGTTTCTATTAGTCTGGGGGTACAAACAGTAAGATCCTCCTTACCTTCTGGAAGGAGGTTGAGGGTGGTAGGCCCAGCTTGGATTACATGGAAGAGTGGGTTAGAATGGGGCTTTGTTTGTCTTATGGGGGTACTCTGGGAAGCTACGCAGGGACTGGGAGCTTGGCTCTGCCCCTCCTTCTCCCACTCAGGATGTGCGCTGAGGCTAAGCCCCTCGTACTGCCTCCAGCAACATCTCCCCTACAGCAATGACCTCTCGCCCAGACACAGGCGAGCTGCCTGAGTCCCAGGAGGTCTGTGCGGAGGGAGGTTTTAAGCCACAGGGTTCCCAGCTGGGTGCCCCCAGACAGGAAGTGGCCTCAGTTCCATGAACGTTTTTGATGGCGGAGATTCTCAGGGTCAGCAGAAGATGATCCTGTCTGGAGAGCTGTAGATCCACTGTTGGGGGTTCTCACCTCCCAGCCTTCAGACCTGCTGTTTCTCTGTGGGGTTCTCGCCTCCCAGCCTTCAGACCTGCTGTTTCTCTGTGGGGTTCTCGCCTCCCAGCCTTCAGACCTGCTGTTTCTCTGTGGGGTTCTCGCCTCCCAGCCTTCAGACCTGCTGTTTCTCTGTGGGGTTCTCGCCTCCCAGCCTTCAGACCTGCTGTTTCTCTGTGGGGTTCTCGCCTCCCAGCCTTCAGACCTGCTGTTTCTCTGTGGGGTTCTCGCCTCCCAGCCTTCAGACCTGCTGTTTCTCTGTGGGGTTCTCGCCTCCCAGCCTTCAGACCTGCTGTTTCTCTGTGGGGTTCTCGCCTCCCAGCCTTCAGACCTGCTGTTTCTCTGTGGGGTTCTCGCCTCCCAGCCTTCAGACCTGCTGTTTCTCTGTGGGGTTCTCGCCTCCCAGCCTTCAGACCTGCTGTTTCTCTGTGGGGTTCTCGCCTCCCAGCCTTCAGACCTGCTGTTTCTCTGTGGGGTTCTCGCCTCCCAGCCTTCAGACCTGCTGTTTCTCTGTGGGGTTCTCGCCTCCCAGCCTTCAGACCTGCTGTTTCTCTGTGGGGTTCTCGCCTCCCAGCCTTCAGACCTGCTGTTTCTCTGTGGGGTTCTCGCCTCCCAGCCTTCAGACCTGCTGTTTCTCTGTGGGGTTCTCGCCTCCCAGCCTTCAGACCTGCTGTTCCTCTGACTGGGTGCCTCCTCCATCTCATTCTTCTTGTTAAATCCTCTAATTTAAACATCAGCTTTTGCAGGAAGCTCACTCCTGACCTCCCCTTCTGGGTTAGGAGCTGCCTTCTGGGCTCCCATAGCACCCTGCCCTTCCTCTTCTTCACGCCTGTCATACTGGATCATGGTGGCTGGAACCACATTTGACCCATCTCGGTATCTGCCTTAGTACAGTACCCAGGGCATGGCTCGGTTTGTTGAGAGAATGGATGAATATGTCACAGGATGAAAGGGTGAATTAATTAACCCTTATATTTACAGTGGCCACCAGGGCCTATGGTTTGTCACAATCCTGAGTTGAACCAGATCTTTGTGAAATCTCTGAGACACATGAGCCATCCGGCTCTCTTTACTCCAGAACCACACCGTGGAGATGGCTGAGACTGACTCCCAAGTGGGGGAGAAGGGAGGTGCTCTGGGACCTGGCAGGCAACCAGCTCTATGGTTATCTTTTGGCTTTAGTAAAATTAAAATAATTTCTTCCTAACATACGTCAGGCTCTAGTTTTTTCCAGCAACCTCAGCATCCCCTTATGGAATGAGGCTAGAAAATTAAAAATAAACAAAAACGATAAATCAAAACTTTGTTGTGAGGAAGCAAATTTTCTTTTTTACTATGTCGGTCTAAAAAGCCCTTACAAAATATTCATGTATCACAATGCATTTTAGGTCCCCGAGTCCTCTCATCACCACGCTTCATTCAGTTTAATTCACACACAGTGATGAGCAGTTCCTAGATTCTGGACACATGGGGAGCCAAAGGTGGGGTTTCTTGGGTTAGGGGTGGGTGCAGAAATTCTAACCTGAGACAATCGCAGGAAATGCAAAAAACGAACAAAAAGTGAGCTGAGCTGGGAACTGTGCTGAAAGCTAAGTCTAAGAGCAAGAAGGGTAAGACAGTGGGTGGCCCAGGCCAAAGCTGTCAAGTATTTAGTTAGCAGCAGAAGAGAGGAAGAGGTGTGGGCACTGCCAGGCAGTGGGAAGCTGCACTGTCAAAGCCTTGTTTTGGCAGTGGTCACTGCAAAATGGTCTCAGAAAAGCCAACTATGTCAGGAATGGAAAGAACTTTCCAGAAAGGAAGAGAATATGGTCATTTCCTTCAAGAACTTCCTCCAACAGGAAGCAGGGACAGCAGACATATAATCAGCCATGAGTCATAGTACCAAGAATGAACTGGTAAGAACAGATGTGATTTTCCCGTCCATAACCACTTAACTTTTTACAATGATGACACATACATTGACAATATCTTTCTATTTAATAATTTAGACAAGATGCATATTAGTCTTCACTTAAGCAAGAGTTTACTTATCATGCCTTTGATATCAAAGATGGTTGCAAAAATCACTTTTAATTTTCAAAATTTTAAAGTTGCACATACTCTGTGGAGAAGAGGTAAATCAATAAACTAAAAATTCTTGCAACAATGTTGTTTTGCAGAATTTATAATTGTTTTAGCCAATTTCAGATTATTTAGAGGAATAGGTTAGGTGAGATAGAAATTATAAATTAATAGTAAAAGTAGAATCTCTTGATTCTACTATTTTCTTTTTCCCTTAAGTTGCAGCCACTTACAATTAAAATATAAGTTTTGTCAGTATATCACAACATCAAAGAAAATGGCAACTACCTATTTCTCAGGCAACTAGATATTCTATTTACTGTAATTATAATTTTCTAAAATACAAAGTTCTTCATTCTGGGAATCATAGATGCCTGGATAGCTGCAAGATTTTAATTTTATATTTTTATTTTAGTTTTTTTTAAATTAGCAATTCTAAGAATATAATGAGAAAACTTACAATGGTAATTTATATTTAATATTTTCATAAAAAGACTTTAAGTTTCTTAAGTCAGTGTTTTCTCAAACTGGGGTTCATGAGCATATTATGAAAGCCTAAAAACTATTTCTCTGTAAATTCTTCAAGTTCGAGAAACACTAACACATATTCTTATCATTCAAAGTCCATTCTTGTTTGTTTTTTTTGAGTTTCAAAACTAATGACACATTAAAGCTGTATCTCATATTTTGTAATATCTGCATGGCATTAAATTAACTCTCTGGTTGTTAAAGATTTACTTCTATGTTTATTTCTTAAAGCACTTTTGTTTTTCCACAGCAGGTCTTAAAATTGGCCAAGAAGGTGTTTTTTCTTTTCTTTGCCACAGGATCATGGTTTTTTCCATTGTTATTAAAGATTCAGGTAGGAGTTGCATGAATCCCACAAGTGAAATAAAATCTATTTATCTTTTCCTTATTATAAAGATTTATTTATCTTTTCCTGTTTGTCTTGCAGTTGCCTCACCTGAGCCACAATAGATGCGGTAGAAACGGGACACCTCAGAGATTTGATTTTGTCACGCTCTGAAATTCATAGTAAATCTCATCATGCCACTCCAATCTCTACCCCCAAATCCCTGTCCAAAGTCCACAATCCTTGGTGTGACATGACTCATTCATTCATTTAACATTTCCTGAGTATCTAATGTGTGCAGACTTGCTCTGATGGGCTCTGGATTCACAGAAGTGAAAGGACAGACGCAATTCCTGCCCACAGGCGAGAAGGACAGTGACACAAATGTGTCAATGATCGCATTTGGGATTGTTGAGGTCATGGAATCCAGAGTGACTGAGGAGCTGTGGCAGGAGGAGCTGACTGAGTTAGGACCAGGGGTTTGTGAGGCTGGAGTCCGTGAATGCGAAGAAAGGACTTCTTGGGAATAGGAAATGGTGGGGAGGAGGAATTACATTTTCTACTAACTTCAAACTGAAATTTAGCATTTTCTTTAATTAGGAATGTGGGCAATAAACCATGTGGTCTAGGAGCACCGGTATTTTGACACCAGTGGAAACTACAGATATTTTCATATTACATGGCAGTTGTTGACAATACCTTGAAATATTTACACATTTCACCACTGAGACACCATGGTACTTGGAGCCCCTTTGCTAGATCTTGTTATTTAATGTGTTAATAGATGACATCTATTACTATTTTTTTAATGTTGTGATTACTGTATTTCAATGTCATTGGTTGCCTTTGTCATCCTGTGTATTTAATTTATGCATTTAAAAACATGACTCTGAAAAGAGACTCATAAACCTCACAGAGTTGCACAAGGGGTTGATGGCCCAAAAAAGAAAGAGAAGCCCTGAGCCCAGCCCTTGCCTTGTGGCTGCCACTGGCCCCCAGCCTGGGAATCTGCTGTGGCCTCTGGGCCTCGCACATGCTGTTCCTTACCCCTGTGTTGTCCGTTCCCTCCTCTCTGCGTGGCATTAAATTCTGATGGCTCCCATCATGCTTTGCATGGACATGAAAAATTACCAACTTTGGGAAGCCTCCCTGGTGGTGCCGCACAGGCTACGTGTCCTAGCCAAGTGCTCAGTATCTTCTCCCACTCCCTCCTCCCTCACCTCACGCTTGTCACACGGTATTGCAGTTGCCTCTTTCCTCGTCTGCCTTCTTGAACGTTCTGTGAGTTACTTGACAGAGAGGACCCCTCTTCTCCATCCCTGATCCCCTGTGTGTGATGTGCTTATTACAGGAATTCAACACAAGGATACGTAATGCAGGAAGAATAGATGGATGGACAGATGGATGGATGGACGGATGGATGGATGGGTGGACAGATGAGCAGATGGATGGATGGATGGATGGACGGACGGATGGATGAGCAGATGGATGGATGGGAGGACAGATGGATAGATGAATAGGTGGATGGATGGATGGATGATGGATGGATGAAAAGATTCAGATACAGGTGCAAAGTATTTCACATATACAATCTCTTTATTCAGTGTTTCTCCTCTTAGAAATTATATTTTTCTTCCAGCGAAGGTTGGTGGGAATCTTTGTGCTGATAATACCCACAGCTCTTCTCCCATAGCAGGATTTGAGGGAAACTTGGCAAGAAACACTGCCTCTGAATCCAGCCTCCCTGCCGCAGCCCCAGGTCGAGCAGGTGGACCGGAACCACGGTCACTGACCAGGGTATCTGATCCTCTCAGTCTGAAGGAAAGTGAGAACTCAGCACAAACGCCATGGACGGTACAGTGTGGGAGGGAGCAGCCTAGAGAGAGAAGCACGAAGCACTCGCTCATGTCGGAGGAGGAGGAAGAGCGATCCATGGGCAGGCAAGCCTTTTCCATGGCACAAAAAAGAATTTTAGAAGCATCCAGTTGCATAAAGACAGGAAAAGGGCATCTGTTTCAGCCAGTGTACCACAACAAACCACCCACTCGCAGATGAAATGCACTTTCACAGCTGCCTCTGAAAATGGGTTTGAAAAACCAAATCCAAAATAAAAATAGGGACTCTCATTTATTGAGAGCTTACTATGTGTTGTGAGACTTTCCTATGCTATCCCCAGTCTCACCACGTGAATGCTGGCACAGTTACTATCACTATTTTACAGACTAGGTGACAGGCTCAGAGAAGTTAAGTCACCCGAGGGAGGCCACATAGATTTAAGTAGCAGAGTCAGAATTTGAACCCAGGTCTTTCTAATCTCAGAGCCAAGTCTTCCATTTGCATTAAATTAATCTTTAATTTATGGAAAAGTTTCATCCTCTTGAGGGAGAAATCCGTGTAATAACTCTGAAATAAGACCATTTTTATGAGTATTAGGTGGGGACTTTCAAAGGCTCTTTTACCTCAACTGGGTAAAATAGTATCCTCTTTGGGGGAGTTTGACCTGCGGGCTCTGCAGTTGGGTGGGAAGTCTGTTGATTTTGGGAGCAGCCTCTGAGCTGGAAACAGGAGTATTACAGACAACAAGGATTTTATGAAAGAGAAGGCCATGACACAAAGTCTCACTGCAATCCCATGATTTCCTTTGCAGGGGAATTTGAGAGAGAGACCTCCTTCAGACCCGGTTAGCGCACTGTTTTCAAAAAACCTGAATGGAACAACCTGTTGAGAGAGCAAAGAGCGCTTGTGTTTGTGGCACACGGGAGCCTGGCGGCCGCAGGTGCATGTCAACAGGAGACCCACGGCAGGCCTCCCCTCCACGGCCCCTCCCACACCCCAGACTTAGACATGCTGGTACTGGACATCCTGAGCTGCTTCAAGTTGGAACGTCACATCCTCCAGAGTTCCAGGCGGCACTAAAGTCTCTGGGACATGGTCAGCTGTTTAGATGGGTTCCCAGGAAGGCTCACTGTTCTGGAAAGGTCTGTAAGCCTGTGACCTGAGCTCCTTGAGGTTCAGGGGGCAGGTCTGACTGAAGCAGAGTTTTCCCTTCCCCGGCTCAGGAGGGATTTCCCACTTCTCCCTGGTGAGTGTCTGAGGGTAGTGACTCTGCCAGGCTGGGGGCCGCAGGTCCCGGAAGCCCAGGGCATGGATGCTTGTGGGTATTCAATTGATGTCTTTCCCATAGTTGGTTTCATTTAGGCATTGTATACGTATTTTCTGCCAAACTCTGTTACACTTCAAGCTCCATGAAAGCAGGGACCATGACTACTTTGTTAACTGTATAACCAGGGCCTGGCCCTGAGGCTGGCACTAGATGCCCAACAAAGGCTTGTTGAATGAGTGGCCAACACCTTACCTTTTCTACAGTTGGTCTTTCTGGTTAAAGAGAAAGAATGAAAGTGATGGGATTGACACTGTGTTCTATGGAAATGCTGCTCCCTGGAGTTGTGCAACATAAGTGCTCCAGATAGAAGGGCACACAGCAAAGCTGACTCAGGCGATGGTGCAAGTTCAATTTTTAACTTTTGTGCCCAGAAAGTCCTCATGTCTCAACTCCTGGCTGGGCCTGGGATGGTCCCAAAGTCTTCAGGCTGATGTTTCTTTAAGGTCGTCCTAGGAAGCAGGACCAGAGTCCTCCTGTTCATGAAGTCCAGGGCTCCCTGCGATGGTCCCCAGATTGGGTACATCCATGGCCCTGCCTGTGCTCCTGCTATATCTACCCAGGGCCAGGCGCTTCCATCTCTCACCTTCCCCTCTCTGCCAGCTCTCAGCATGCCTTCCAGGACATGGCTTGTGTTTGGCTAATGTTTGCATGGAGTTCAGTCTCTCTCCTGGAGAAAAGGGCAGATATTCTGATGGCTGGGGCACCAGCTGGGGCTGTGGATTCCAGCAGCGCAGCAGAGGGGAAGAAGCCCTGGAATCTGAGTCTGGAGGCCGGGTCAGAGTCTCGACACTGATCGTCAGCTCACTAGAAAATGAAGGCACTGTGATGCCTGAGGTGTTGGCTGCCTCTAGGGTTCCATGAGTCTCAGACACCCACCTCTTCAAGAGTAGGTGCCAAGGCTGTCACGGATTTGCAATGATTTTCCCATGTGTTAACTGGAAACTTAAAGGAAACATTAGCCATGAGGGTTGGGAGCTTAGATTAATATTTAGAAAGGATTTACAAATAAAAGAACCCAGTTAATCCCAAAATAGAAGTCTTTTCATTTCTATTTGCGTAGTGGGTGGAGATGGAGTCCCTGGCTAGGACATTTCCCATAACCTTCCCTGTCAAGCCCCTCTGCTGTAGCAGTTTCTAACTTTACAGCCACAAAGCCAGCATGTGCTTCCCACAGCTTCAGCCCCGACTGCCGGAGGATGCATTCAGGGTTCTGACTCTGGCCCGAGGAGGAGGCACAGTGCTTGCCAAGTGAGTGCCGACTTTTGCAAGCAAAGCCTCAGGACAAAATGGAGAGGCAACCATGACAATGGTGTCAGATCACTCTATACAGCATAAAAGATTAAGGGCTAGACTTTGGTGTGAGACAGGCTTCAATCCTTGAACCATTGTTTGGCCAACTAATTGGCTTACTTAAGCCTCAGATTCCTTATCTGTTAAATGAAGATAAAAATGGTGTCTACATCAGACAGTTCTTGTGAGAATACAGTAACACAGCTAAAGCTCTTAACCTAACGCCCAGCAAGCAGTAAGTGCTTAATAAATACTGGCTATTATTATTATGCTTTTGCTACGGTTTGAATGTGTCCCCTAAAGTTCATATGTTGGAAACATAATCTTCGGTGCAAGTGTTTAGAGGTGGGGCCTTATAAGAGGTGATTAGGTCAAAAGGGCTCTGTACTCAGGGAGGACTTAATGCTTTTGTCTTGGGAGTGAGTTATCTTGAGAGTGGGTGGTTATAAAAGCGAGTTTGGGTCCCTCTTGCCCGCTCACCCTCATCCTCTCTTGCCCTTCTGCCTTGAGCCATGGCACGACACAGCACAGAGGCCCTCACCAGATGCCAGTGCCATGGTCTTGGACTTCCCAGCCTCCAGAACTGTGAGCCAAATATGTTTCTTTTTCTTTCTTTTTTTTTCAGGTCAGATGGGTAATGTGCTGACATTGTAACAAGGTTTGAGGGTGGTACATCTCACATATGTGTGTGAGCACCCAATCATCATGCTCACGAACTACAGAAGGATCAAGCCAAATACATTTCCGATAAATTACCTAGTCTTAAGTATTCCGTTACAGTAGCACAGAACAGACTGAGACGCGTTATTCTGGCCTATGTCCCTTGGTTGTTGCATGACAGGATGTTCCCTTCACTACTGAGAGCCGATGTCTCCTTGTCTCCTGTTACTTCTTAGGCATTAGTACCTTGAAAGTTTGCCATAAAATCTCAGTTAGGGCCTCAGAAGACAGACACATGAGATAACTAGGCTTTAGAAACACTCCACCCCCACACACTCAGCTATGAAAACGGTTTGTTTCCTGCTGCTGGAAATCCACACATTCCTCCTTGCCAGTGTACACACAAGCAGAGATCAAGGGAATATTGACTAGGGTTCCCCTACTTCCTCTCTTAAATGCCACCACCCGAATCGGACTGAGGGCACCCCTGGAGTCACTCACAGCAGAGTAATTACGTGGAGGTGACATCCTGCTTATGTCTTCAGACCCCCACCCTCTGGACTGGGAGCTGCAGGGCAGCAGCAATGAGGCCTTCTGGAGGGGTCTGCACACACCCCTCTGGATCTGTCCTGGTGATGTCCTGCTGGGCTGAACCCCTCCCACCACCTGCTATCATTCCATTCACCCCCTGAATGTCCTGGGCAAAACGTGTCAGGCCACAGGGAGGAACTTTCTGCTGGTGGTTCCCTAAAGATCCTCTGATGTAGGAAGCCACTGCCTGCAAGTTTAAAGTCCCAGTTTTCAGATAAGTATGAGTTTATACTTGTTTATATATTTTTTCCTTAGAGTCTCTGGTTGGCTTTCTTTTTTTCCTCCAATGGGCAAGAACTTGGACTTTTTTTTTTCTCTTTTCTTTCCCCAAACCCTTTGATGAAAGCTTCAGGAGCATTCAACTAATAGATTGGCTGGTAATGATAAAATTAAATGATCAATTCAAGTAACCAGTAAGTGCTATAAATCCAAAAGCAGTATATATTTTTAATCACCAACATCCTAAATGTTTGTAGGCCAAGCTGGTGGTGTTTGGAGGACTGGAACAGAAAGACATAAGGGACCACTCTATATTGCAGACAAGTCACTTGAGCGAAATAGCAAAAATCAAGAGGTAGGCACCACAGGAGGGGGGTTGGTAAAATCCAGACCAGCCTGCCCTTCTGCCTCCTCCATGGCCTAAAGGCTGAGCATCCGCAGTGTGGCTGGGCTTGGCTGAGGATTCTGAGGGGTCTTAGACCTGTGCTCCGGGTAGTAAAGCCTGATAGCCCAGTTCTCAAACTCACAAGCCTCAGTGTGTGCGAGAAGAGCTGGAGGAGCTTGCTGACCTGCAGAGTCCTGCCCCCAGCTCCCGGGACCCTCCCCGGGATGTGCAATGTCTGTGCTTGTCATGGGGATGTGCAGGACCTGTCTCACACCGGCTCCAGAGAGCTGTCAATTTTTCAGGAATTCTGGGAGTGAGTTGGTAAACACAGCCATCACTGAAAATTGAATTATATAAACTTATGATATGACAAGCAAATGAACACTCCAAACATATCCCTTCCTCATTATTTTACTATTATCTATGTTCTTGAGGTTATCTATAGCTATTGTATCTAGATAGCCTCATGTAATATATTGACGTTTCAGTCAACGACAGACTGTGTATATGGCAGTGCATTAAGATTATAATACTGCACTTCCACTGCATCTTTTTTCTTTTCTTTTCTTTTCTTTTTTTTTTTTTTTTTTTTGAGACACAGTCTCACTCTGTTGCCCAGGCTGGAGTGTAGTGGTGCAATCTCAGCTCATTGCAACCTCTGCCTCCCAGGTTCAAGTGATTCTCCTGCCTCAGCCTTCCGAGTAGCTGAGATTACAGGCATGTGCCACCACACCTGGCTAAAATTTTTGTATTTTTAGTAGAGATGGGGTCTCACCATGTTGGCCAGGCTGATCTTGAACTCCTGACCTCAGGTGATCCGCCCACCTCAGCCTCCCAAAGTGCTGGGATTACAGGTGTGAGCCACCGCACCTGGCCTTCACTGCATCTTTTCTATGTTTAGATACGCAAATCCTTATTGTGTTAAGACTGCCTGCAGTCCTCAGTATAGTAACCTGCTGTATAGGTTTGCAGCCTAGGAGCAATAGGCCATACCATACAGCCTCGGGGTGGAGGAGGCTAGAGCATCTAGGTTTGTGTAAGCCCACTCTGTGATGTTTGCACAATGACAAAAATTGCCTAATGACTCATTTCTCAGCATGTGTCCTCATTGCCATAAATAGTCACCATTATATGACTGTATTATCTCTTCCTAACTCACTGCATACTCAGTGATTCCACATTGGTAGCCTGGAATTGGCCATGGTGAGAGTATTTACACCATGGAAATTGGCAGAGGTTGTAATCCAGGGCTACCAACCTGAGAGTTGCTGTTGAACATTTACCAGCACACTGCAGGCATGGGGGTGGGGAACCCGAACGTTGAGCTGGATAAGCTCCTCAGGTGGTTTCAGTGCAGAAGCTCTGCTTGGAACAACACTGTGCAGAATAGTCTCAGAGGTCTAGCCCCAGGTACTTCTGTGCTCTGAGTGTATTAGTCCATTTTCACACTGCTGATAAAGACATACCTGAGACTGAGCAATTTACAAAAGAAAGAGGTTTAATGGACTTACAGCTCCACGTGGCTGGGGAAGCCTCACAACCATGGCAGAAGGCAAGGTGAAGCAAGTCACATCTTACATGGATGGCAGCAGGCAAAGAGAGTGAGAGCTTGTGCAGGGAAACTCCCCCTTATAGAACCATAAGATCTCGTAAGATTTATTCACGACCATGAGAACAGCACGGGAAAGACCTGCCCCCATGATTCAATTACCTCCCACCAGGCCCCTCCCTCAACACGTGGGAATTCAAGATGAGATCCGGGTGGGGACACAGCCAAACCATATCACTGGGAAAGGAACTGAGGTGCTGCCTCCATGGCTCTGTAAATGACCCCATGACCTCGGGCAAGTTACTTGCCCATTGTGCTTAGCCCTATCGTCTGTAAAATAGTGATGTACCTAGTATCTACCCCCATTGTGTGATTGTGAGGGTTCAATGAGATAATCCATGTTAAAGTCTCAGAACAGTGCCCGGTATGTAGAAGGCTCTTGATAACTATTACCTATTATTATGATCTGACAAAAGAAAGTTAATTTTGTCCAGCAGATCATCTTTTTTTCTTTTATATCATTCTTTTTCTTATGATCGTCCTGCACAGTCTTTGTAGAAAATTTAGAAAATAAAAATCAAAACAAGGAAAAGAAAAAGCATCCATTTCTAGCACCCTGTGAATATTTTGGGGGGCCTTCAGCCTTCTAGTCTTTTTCCCGCACCTAAGAGATGTCATTCTTGATGCCCGTCTGGAAGGGGATGCTCTTGTTTGCTAACTCGTGAGGCTTCAGCAATATTTCCTCTCCCACTCTAGGTGGATGGTGAGTTCATTTCTTCTATTTAAGTTCATTATTCATGTTCAGACGCTCCAGGACAGCTGGTTTTGTCACCACGATGAAAGGGCACTGGCAATGGGAATGGCATCTATAGTGTTGGCATTCTATATTTACTTTCATTATCATTTAGAAGGATCCTTCTAATCAATTTAATAGACAAATATTTGCTGAACACATAGTAGATACAAGGTATTGTGCTGTGGGGGTTGTGAGGGTAACAGCGTGTCTTCTCCTTAATAACAAGCTTAATAGCATTAATAGTGTGAATTACTATTTAGAAGGATTAGAAATATTAACAAAATGGGAGGCTGAGACACAAGAATCACTTGAACCCAGCAGACGGAGGTGGCAGTGAGCTGAGATCTGCACTCCAGCCTGGGCAACAAGAGCAAAACTCTGTCTCCAAGAAAAAAAAAAAAAAGAAAGAAAAATCAAGAAAAAATAAACTATAGATTTTCTTTTAATCAGATAAAACTATGTTTAGCAAGAGGAACCCCTCATCTTCACCTATTTATCAAAGTGCCAGGGAGGCCCGCGCCTGCTAGGAGGAAGGGCGGCTCTTCCTGGCCTCCTCTCTGGATTCTGCTGCCTTCAGATTCAGCAGATAATCTTCCTGCAAGATCCCAAACTAAGCCTCCTTCTTCATTTTGTGCTCAACCTGTGGACCCAGAGTAACCTTGCTCATTGCCAGAGAAGACCCCAGCGAGCTGGGCCTGGGGAGAGATGTGTATTGATCTCCAATGCTTAAGGGATTTTTAAAGGGTAATTTTGACAATGGAGGATTTGGCTTCTCCACTGACTTCAGAATCCAAAGCTTTTACTGGACCTCTCTGGCCTCTGCTTTCGTCCTTCCTCAACCCTGTCTTGCAGGACCCAGGGTCCATGGCTCCTGTTGCCAGCTGATGAGGTGGGGGCTGCTTACAGCAGCAATCTGGCTACCATTTGGCTTGAGGTGGCCTTGTCTGTGTGGTTTTTGTACCCTATATGACGAAAGAGGCTGAGCTCCCTGCTGGCAGCCCGCCATGTGGGTGACCCATCTTGGAAAGGGACCCTCCAGCCCCCAGTTGAGCTGACGCTGCCTGGAGCAGAGACAAGTGGTCCCTGCTGAGTCCCAGGCTGCACATTCATGAGCAAAATACATAGAAATTGCCAGCTGGGTACGGTGGCTCATGCCTATAATCCCAGCACTTTGGGAGGCCGAGGCAGCCGGATCACCTGAGGTCAGGGGTTCAGGGACTCCTGTTCAGCACCCAGTGCCTGCTCAGCAGGAGGGGCTCACAACTTTTTTTTTTTTTTTTTTCAGACAGAGTCTCGTTCTGTCGCCCAGGCTGGAGTGCAGTGGCGCATCTTGGCTCACTGCAACCTCTGCCTCCCCGGTTCAGGCGATTCTCCTGCCTCAGCCTCCTGAGTAGCTGGGATTACAGGCGCCCGCCACCATGCCTGGCTAATTTTTGTATTTTTAGTAGAAACGGGGTTTCACCATGTTGGTCAGGCTGGTCTCAAACTCCTGACCTTGTGATCCGCCTGCCTCGACCTCCAAAAGTCTTGGGGTTACAGGCATGAGCCACCGCGCCCAGCCCACAACATATTTTTTTAATGCTGACAGAATAAATGAATTGGGAAGGTGCTCAGAGGTTATGCAGGTCCAACACCCACCACAGCAGAAATCCCCTCCGTGATAACCTTGGCAGGTGATAACCTTTGGCTTAGATGCCTGCAGCAGGGAGAGCTCACTACGTCACGGAGCAGCCTATTCCATTAGGTTTTTAAAAAGCGTTTCACTGTGATATTAAGAATCATCTCCCTATGATCTTTCCCACTTGCTCTCCAGGCCTTCACCACCCCGACTGCCTCCTGGAAGAGAGCTCAAGCTTGCCATATCCTGTGCACTGGTGATGAGGCCCCAGACAGGTCTCCGGCCCTCTGGATCCAGGTACCTTTAAGCACCCTGGAATGACTTATTTCAGGATGGTGGGGGCACCAATACATCCTCAGGAATTCTGAAAATTTGTAAAAATTAAGGAAGAGTTCATCTGGTGCATAGTTTTTTCTTTTTAAACTTAAGATGATAGGAAAAGCTGAAGAAAGTACCACCTCAAATCTACATCTTATGCAATCTTATCCAAAGTAATTTGGATACATCGGGATCCATGTTCTGTCTCTCCGATCTCCTATTTAGAGACACAATAGAAGATAATTTCTGATCCTGGGCTACACTCCACTGTTGCAACGTGATGGGCAGTGGTTCTACTTCTCCAGGTTAGAACCTCTCAGGGGAGTGGCTCCACCTTTAGGGACTTTTCTGTCCTGTGGGCCCATCTGATTTTATCTCCTCTGAGCAGGTGCAGGATGCCCAGGGGCCATGTGGAGAGGAGACGGTGCAGCCCTGGGAATCTGGGGCAGGTGACCTCTTGTCCTGGCCTGTGAGGCCGGTCCTGTGTTCTCTGAGGGGTCAACCCTCTGCGTAAGTATGCTCTCAAGGTGTGGCCTCAACCAAAAAAATAAACAAGATGAAGCCTCGAAGTTCAGCTCCATTGTGGCTATTGTGTTTGTACCAGAGACTTTTGTCTGGGAGCTGGCAGGAGTCTTGAAGCCTGGTGTTGCTCTGCGTAAGCTGCTGAAATGACAAGGGGACAGCTCAGCTCTGGACAAAAAACACCTCCCTGGACGCTAAGATATCATGCTTTACCCCCAAGTCCTTAACGAGGATGGAGAAAACCACAGAGTGAATGCTGGAACTGCCCGGGACGTTCCCTTCCGCACTCAGTAGCCCCCAGCATCAGCCTCAGTCCTTTTCATTTTAATCAGTCCCGTAAGCCAGCCTCTACCTTTCAAAGGAATCCGAGGAACCTTCCTGCCAACTCTGAGCTCCTGCGACACTCGAGGATGTGGGCCAGGCTCTTGTGTAGGTTAAGGAAGTCTGAGAAGAATAGAGATTATAGGAAACAGTCTACCTTTCTTTACAAGACCTTGTTTTGCATCCCTGAAATTTCAGATTCAGCTCTTACAATGAAGTCCTGTTGTAGAAAGAGCTGGCCTTTTATCACCACTTAAAATCTAATTAATCCATACTGAAGCACAAAGATTTCTGTTGTATTTTAGGGTGAGGGGTCATAGAGCCCTCTTTGTTCATCCTTAGACTTATAATCATCAAGCATTGGGGATATAATTTTACCAAATTGGAAGGTAACAGATCAAGTCCTTATCAGAAAGCCCAACTCATAGTTTTAACAGAGTCCTTCGTCCTTTACGTGAAACATTATATTCAAGAAGAACAAAAACGCATTTCAGAGTGCCCAAAGAGTTAATGACCACAGCTTATATTCCAGGCAGCATAGAACCAAGATTGTCACATTACCGTCAACCACAAAGGACAGCAGATCCTATAGGGGTGGCAAAGTCCTAAGACCTGTCGCAATGGCTTTAATCTTTAGAACAGCAATGCAATCTGTTGGACTTTTACTATCTCTCCTGGGATGGATTTTATCCATTATTACAACTTATTTGCCACACTGGAAGAACCTCAACCTGGACTTAAATGAAATGGAAAACTGGACCATGGGACTCTGGCAAACCTGTGTCATCCAAGAGGAAGTGGGGATGCAATGCAAGGACTTTGACTCCTTCCTGGCTTTGCCTGCTGAACTCAGGGTCTCCAGGATCTTAATGTTTCTGTCAAATGGGCTGGGATTTCTGGGCCTGCTGGTCTCTGGGTTTGGCCTGGACTGTTTGAGAATTGGAGAGAGTCAGAGAGATCTCAAGAGGCGACTGCTCATTCTGGGAGGAATTCTGTCCTGGGCCTCGGGAATCACAGCCCTGGTTCCCGTCTCTTGGGTTGCCCACAAGACGGTTCAGGAGTTCTGGGATGAGAACGTCCCAGACTTTGTCCCCAGGTGGGAGTTTGGGGAGGCCCTGTTTCTGGGCTGGTTTGCTGGACTTTCTCTTCTGCTAGGAGGGTGTCTGCTCAACTGCGCAGCCTGCTCCAGCCACGCTCCCCTAGCTTTGGGCCACTATGCAGTGGCGCAAATGCAAACTCAGTGTCCCTACCTGGAAGATGGGACAGCAGATCCTCAAGTGTAAGACTCCGACAAGGCCAGAGATGTATCCTGTATCAACTGTGATGACAAAGACCTCTTTGTTTTGTAGCTAAACCTGTGATGCTCACGTTTTCTCATTCACTATTTTTCTACAGTAGGTAGACCCACTTCCCTCTAAAATCTGAATAATGAAGGAAAAATCTTTTATCTAAAAGAAAATGATTATGGTAAGCATTATACAGGTAGAAGTGAAACAAGCTTCATTGATCTGGTTATTGAAATTAATGTGGTGGCTGTCCAATACAGTCAGTTTCAAGCTTTAATGTGTAAATTTCATATTAGAAAGCTTTTTTCTGTTTTTCTTTTTTTTGTTGTTGCTGTTGGTAGTCAGAAATGATCTTTAGTTTCTGTTTCCTAAAGAAAAAAACTAACAATCTGAAAATTTTAAGTGTTCTACTTTAGCAAAACCACATGCTAAGCCAACCTCAAAGTGTTATTTCCACAACAATGACCTTTTTCTTCTTTGAACAGAAGTGGTTTGTTTTTAGGATATTACCAGGCACTCAGTGCGGCAAGATTTTATGAGGCTGAAGAGTTTTCAGTACCTTGTGATCCTCTCAGATTTAAAATGGTGGCCAATCTCTTCTCTCATCCTTTCCCTCAAAACCTTCGTATTAAAAAAAGAAAAACAATTCCAAAGACATTTTTCTTGATATCCTGATATTGTCAGGTCATTTGAATAAAACCTTTCCTTTGTTCAATGAAAAATCGCTAACATGGGGATATCTACTTTAGTGGTGAATAAACAGAAATGCTGACTCCAACCTGCAGAGTCCAAATGCTGAACTTTCCTCGGCACAGAAAGCATATATAAGAAAAAAAAGTGTTTATGCACACAAGCGTGAATTTGACAGAAAGGCATGCAGATAAATAAACTAGATCTGTAGTTCAGTATTGCTTCATATGCCATGTGGTATATGTAGCCTGAGGAATTTCTGAAACGCAGGAGTGAGTTAAGGTGTAGAGAGATTTCTGATAAGATTGATTTATTTGGTTAAGAAATACTTTTCTTAAACCTATTTTTAAAAAATAACACTCAGTATTACCATAACATGCACATTTGAAATGTGAGAACTATAAGAGATGAAAATCTGACAGGTGCAGTTAGTGAAACACAAAGCAGGAGGAGTTGAACCAAAACCATCAGTTAAACATTTTGCATTTAGACTTAATTCTTTGTTAGAAAGGTTGGGAATAACATGAAAGCCATTTTAACCTTGACAATGAAAGGAGATTATCACTTAATTATATTTCAGTGACAAACTGCTTTCTGTCAAATCCAGCCCACAGGACACAAACACAATCTTGGCCACACCTTGGCATTACTGGTTGGCGGCATTATTTCCCTATCCTTTTGTGAAACCCATTCAACATGGAATCAAACAATAGCAACTCTGGCAAGAATCCTCCTATATACACAATGAAGAAATATTTCTGAGTTTCATAAGTTATAACACAAGTGTCACACTTCTTTTCACAGCAACCGAAGGGCAGGAGTTAGTTTGGCTAAAGCTCTCAGGACATTATAATGGCTTTAGTATTTAGAACTGTAGCTCAACTAGCTGGAGTTTCATTATCTTTGCTGGGATGGGTTTTATCCTGTCTTACAAACTACCTGCCACACTGGAAGAACCTCAACCTGGACTTAAATGAAATGGAAAACTGGACCATGGGACTCTGGCAAACCTGTGTCATCCAAGAGGAAGTGGGGATGCAATGCAAGGACTTTGACTCCTTCCTGGCTTTGCCTGCTGAACTCAGGGTCTCCAGGATCTTAATGTTTCTGTCAAATGGGCTGGGATTTCTGGGCCTGCTGGTCTCTGGGTTTGGCCTGGACTGTTTGAGAATTGGAGAGAGTCAGAGAGATCTCAAGAGGCGACTGCTGATCCTGGGAGGAATTCTGTCCTGGGCCTCGGGAGTCACAGCCCTGGTTCCCGTCTCTTGGGTTGCCCACAAGACGGTTCAGGAGTTCTGGGATGAGAACGTCCCAGACTTTGTCCCCAGGTGGGAGTTTGGGGAGGCCCTGTTTCTGGGCTGGTTTGCTGGACTTTCTCTTCTGCTAGGAGGGTGTCTGCTCCACTGTGCAGCCTGCTCCAGCCACGCTCCCCTAGCTTCGGGCCACTACGCAGTGGCACAAACACAAGATCATCATCAAGAACTGGAGACGAGAAACACCAACCTGAAACACTAAGCCAGAAAGGACAAGCGTCTGCTGTTCAGGAGACGCTTGCTCAACACTGGATTTGGTAGGATGTCCCGCTCTAGTCATCTCACTGTGCTTTTGATTTTTGAAAATGCATCTTTTCCTGTGGCTATTAAACTATAGTTTCTTTCCAAGACTGGTAAACCATTTTTATCTTCTAGTCTGAGACCAAAATCAATCAAGACTGAATAGTAATGACACCCATTACTGTGGATGAGTTTTCTCAATTTTAAAATAGCGATTGCACAGAAGTGGTAAATAAAACATTAATCTCTATGTATCTTTGAAGGTATTATTCATATGGAGCGGAATCATTTGGCAAATCATTTACTTATTTCAGGTGTTTAAGATAACCTAGTATAATAAGCCTGAGGTCTTGTTGCATATTTATTTAAAATGCATGACGTCTTATTATATAAAATAATTACTAGCTCTTTAGAAGCTTCAGAGGTGAAAGGTGTAGACACATCATCTCCTTCTGAATCAGAGACCTCAGTGTCTCTATGGAACCTTTTTCAAAAGGCAGCCACATTCAGTCACGCCTTCTATACTGTCAGAGGCAGGAGGGCGATCTTGGGTTTTGGATGATTCAAGTAGACTCTGCCACACAAACGTGCTTCTGCATCCTGTGTTCTGTATTTCACGGGCAGCGTTTCTGGCTTCCCAGGCACTGAGCAGCCTGTGGGGGGCACGGCAGGGCAGGACTGGGGTGTGTGGGTAGATAACCTCCTGGGACGGCTGCCTCTCTGTGGAGCACACTGCCAGCCCAGGCGCAGCGACCACAGAGCACATATTCTGGAGCCCTTCATTTTATTTGCTCAATGAAAATACTTCGTCCTTTTTTATCAGCAATACATATAGTTCCAACAAGAACTATTCATCACAAACTGCCAGCCTGGGGATTTCTTCATGAAATATTTTGTATTTGCTTGGTACATGGTTCAAGGAAACTCTTGTGTTTGTGCCAATCAGGGAAATAAACTGAACAATAAACGACACTGAAATAGAGTATTAGGCAATATGTAGCTTTGTTTTTGCTTTTTTTTTTAAAAAAAACCACTGAATTTTTTTCCACCCACAAACACATGGAAAGTGCAGAAACCAGTTAATCTATGTGATGTATTTGCATACGTTTACAAACAAGACAAATTAAAACAGAAACATGTTCAGAATTTAACCTGATTAAATATTAAGTTCAGTCCTGAGCTTTTGATATTTAAGACAATATAGATAAAGCAATAGCAAAAAATTTTAATTTATTTGATTTGCATGCTACAGAGATTTAGCTAAACTTTGTTCATTTGGCTAGCAATATTCTTTTTGTACCTGTAACACTTAAGATTCTGATATACAAAATTGTAATAATATACTGATAATTCAAACTTGAGAACTAAATATTACATTCTTTTTACCCTGTGCGAATAAATTCTACCTTTTAAAAATAGTATTTATAATATTAAAATTCATATTTGTCCATATGGTTTTGTGATCAAGTTATTAAAATGTTTTGTCACTGTGAATCATTTGGGTTAGTACAAATATGACAAGATTATTAAAAGCTGCCTATAAATACATAACACTATTGCTGACTTTTAAAGTGTAGAAAAAGGATTATATTAAAATAAGTTCATCTCTCATGTTAGAAATGAGGAAATTTTGTGAAATACAACAACCAAAAGCATCTTGGTCACAACTGCTAACTACCAGCCTGAGACAGATTTTATTCTTTAATACTTGTCTGAAACTTTTTGTATTACAAAAAGTCAACAGCTAATCTGATGAAAGACTTATAAAGCTGTAAATATTCCAATATAGTCTCTTCTGTGTCAAATATTTAAAATGGCCAGAATCAAACTATATATTAAACAGAACATAAATAAGACTGTAAATAAATAAATGAAGAAAATAAAATCGTACGGAACAACTACACATAATTCTATAGACATTTTCATGGTCAAACTAAGATGCTGAAAACAGCTCACCTTCATTTACCTCTACATTAAATAAACTTCTGTCTTTCACATTTGACCTTGACAAGGGTGAACTGTATTCTTTTTCTAGTTTTCCTTAGTCATCTAATAGAATGAACTGGGCAGCCTTAAAGGACTGTACTCAGTCAATTCACTAGGCTGGTTTTTGTTCAAAGCAGTGTCTGCCATGTCCAGTTATGTCTTCAAAGAAATTTGTATGTAAGTGTTGGGACATTTAGGAAAAAGTAATTAAAGTTCTAGGCTCAGAAGTTGCTTAATTTGAACTTCAATTCCAATAACATGAACTTTCCAAAATATATATAATTGCTTTCAAGAAAATAAAAATTCTTGCTAGTGAGCTAGTGAGCATTCTAACTGAGGAACAAAACTTTTTTTTTTTTTCTTCAAGGGGTCCATTCCTTTAAGACAATTTTGGATTTCTTTAAAAAATCTATTTTATTTGCTATATTAGATGGCTAACCCAAAATTGTTTCTTGGGTTATTGAGTAATAAGTATGGTTTAAATGGCCTAAATACTACATATTTTAAAAGCCTTGATGCTGGCAGAGCTGCACTGAGGATCTGTGTTTTTAAGAAGTGCCTGGGTCGGGTAAGGTGAAATTCTAAACTGGAGGACACATTAGTCAGTTTATCTCTCTAAACTTGTTCATCCAAAATAGGCTTTTTAATAAACAATTTAGCTTATACTTCAAATTAATAATCCCCCCACACACATTCTTCCCTTTGCCTCCCAACTATTTACCATAAATTATAGATAGAACCCCCTAAAAATGAGAGCTATGAAGTAGTTTCTACTAAATGTTAGAAATCTGCTTGATAAACTCTTCTTTGTTTTTGGCAACTTTGATTCTATCAAGACATCTTTCCCCCTCTTCTTGGTTACACCAAATGAGTGCCGATGCATTTCCCTCCACCCCTCCAGCTCTCTCTGTCCTCAGAACACAGGGCCACCACTAGGCACCATCCTTAGATTTAGGGCAAAACACTAGTGCAAGCCAGAAACTCACTTTTGAACACTTAATGCAAATTCAGGCTGAGTGAGACAAACCAGCTGCTCATTTGATGAGCTTATTTGTATCTCTGCGTGGCTGGTGTTCTTTCTTCTCCCTGCCCTCAGTGTCATGAATCCCAAGATCTTTCGTGTAGCCAAGAGTAGTGCTCCTTTGTATTCTTATTCTTATTTTTATTCTTAAGAGCACTTGGTAGTTTATATCTTAGTTTTCTTTAGAAAAATATAAAAGGACAAAAAGGAAATTGTCTTAAGGAAACCAGGTGTTCCCGCACAGGTGATGGCCGTGGACGCAGCATCCATTTCGGGCGGACTTTGGAACGCTGCACTCCAGCGTGTGCTCACACTGCCTCCAAATGGAAAGCGCTCCTCTCCTCGCCAGCGCACAGATACCACGTGGCGCTGCTGCCATCGGCACAGCCTACTCACAGGAACACAAAGGAGAAGCAAAACCACCGGCTGAACCAAGTTGTTTCTCAACAGCCGGCTCAACAGTACACATGTGGGGTACTGCCTCTATTCCATTTTTACAAAATGAAGTCCACTGGCAATGCGCACATACTGGGCAACATTTGTGTACCAGGTTATCCCATCTTTCTTATATGATTTTTTCTTTTTTAAGCATATAAAAATTACACTCAAGGTACTTTACAAATTAATGTGTTGAAAATCTGATGTGAAATAAAAGTTCTTCAAGAGTTGACAGTTACGTTACCAAAAAAAACCAAACACCAAAACAAAAACACAAATCTTCAGTCTTTTACCCTCCCTAAGAAAGTGAACAGATGAAAAAATAATTTCTTAAGTCATGTAATCACACATCATCAGCTGGCAGGGATGGGATGCTTATCTTTGCTCTGGTGAAGTAGGCAATCTTCTCCCTAGAGTTGGGGTGAGAAATAAATTGACTTATATATGATGCTAAAAATACTCTGGGACCATTAAAACAGTCCCCAAGACCTGCAGTGGCAGTGATGTCTCTGCAAGCACAGGTAGAAGCTCTTTTCCTTACGCAGAACTCCATTTAAAATCAGGAGAGCCTCTGCCTGCTTAAAGGGGGGGTATCAAGGAGAACAGCAGCTCTGGATCACGGAAGTCACCTACAGACCAAGCCCGTAAGTTCCCTTCAGGGAACTTCCAACAGAAGACAGTTTTTAAACTAGTAGGGGTTTGGTCTAGGATGGGTGTTTCCGAACTAGGTAGCAGAAGACTCAAAAGGCCCAAAATCCTACCTGGAAACTTCTCAGTAACCTCACAGAAAAGCACACAATAACAGGAAAAGTCTTTACATCGATACCATGCCGGGGCAGGGACAACCTGATGAGCGACACCACGACGCAAATGAAAGGAGAAGGAGGAACTATCTGCAAGGTAGTAACTGCCCTGGTCCCGAAGCAGCGGAGAGGCTGAGACAGGGCAGAGCGGTTTTCAGGTGAGGAGAGTGCTTAAAAAAAAGACAAACAGTGCGTCTATTTCCCTACAGAACTTCACACTGTACATGGCATTTATGCCGTCAGCACGTATTTCTTGAGGGCATATTACATGCAAGGGGCATGCTGGTAGCTGAAGAATCAAGCACTGGTTCTCCCTTGCGAAAGAACAGTCCAGATGGGGGAGGAGGTGCGGGTTAGAAACCAGAGCTGAGGTGGGGATGTTCTGAAGACTAAGAAAGGATAGAGAAGAAAAGGAGGAGTGAGAACACTATGGACACTGGAACGAGCTACTGCTGTGAACAGTGTCCTTTAAATTTGTTCAATTCATAAGAGGAAAACAAGAACAAAAAATGCCACGAGTGTAGGTGTGATGTCAGCGGAGGCCTTAAGGCGCAGCTGCTAACTGGGGTGTTTAAAAATACCTGAAGTAGTTGCCGGCACCTGCATTTGAGATATTTCACAGAAAACTGTTGATTTCTAACTTCTCTTGAAAAATTAGAAGGCCAGGGACCATCGGGCTCCTGATTCCAGGTGAAACAAGCAGCTGGGGTGGTGCCGGGCAGAACGGCCCAGGCCCCACCGCTGCCTGATCTCACCACCCCAGGCCAGGCAACGGTAGCCGTGCAAATCCCACGCTTCCAGCATGTTCTGTCTCACCCTGGTCCATCTCATCATTCTCGTCACTTCCCTGGTGATATAATATGCTTCGTATCTTAAGGGAAGCTGGGAATGTTCGTGGATTCTTTGCTTCAGGTTTCGGCAACAACTGCGAGTTGTGTGACTTTCCACGCTAGACAATGCTGCTTATTCTCTAAGTGACCACAGCACCAGGGACATGGATGGGCTCCCCTCACCTGCAGTTCTAAAACCCAAGTAGTGGTAGTCCCTGAAAGTCACAAATGTGATTCTTTAGCAGAAAAGAGGGTGGAAAAACCTCTCTACTGCAGGGTGTTGCAGAAAAATGAAAGAGCTGTGAGCCCACTAAGGCACACTGCTGCTGCCACACGGTCCGTGGCCCTGCCCTCCCGCTTGGTACCAGACCTCAGCCTGCCATAGCTGTCCCTGCTCCACCACGTGACCTAGCTTCCCCACACTTCAAAAACACTCGCTTCTTCTGGGCTTCTCCCCTTTATGCCTAAACACTTTCCAAAGACTCGTCTATACAAAACCTCAACCAAAACCAAATAAAAACGCAATAGGAACAAACCTTTTTGCTGAGCTCCCTCCGTCGGGGCTGAAACCATCTAGTGTGCTCACCAGGGATCCCGGATGTACTTTTCAGTTCTCTCCATCAATCTCCTCTTCCCACCCTCTTGCCCCAGGCTCCTGGTTCTCCTCTGACCTCTCCAGCCATTCTTTCTAGCATCTCTTTTGGGGCGAGCCCTTCAGTGATTGGTGCCCACCAGCCTCCTTTCCCAGTCACCTCACATTTTCTGGGATGTCTGGCCCATTTCCACAGATGAGACCAATGCATTGAAGATGAGCACTCCCATTTTTTAATCTCCATCCTGACCCCTAACCCTGGCTTTAGATTTTTATTTCCACTTGTCTACTGGTCATGGTTATCTCACTAGCCTGCTGGCATTGCCTGGTGTGCCATGGCAGAGGTCAGCATCCTCCCCACACCCCTGCTCCCCAGCATTCTCCATCTCGAGCGCTGGCACCACAGGGCAGCCACTGCCCCCCACAAACCTCCCATGAACCTAACTGGCCACCCTTACCCGCTTCTCCCCAGCCCACTCTCCACAATGCCTCTGATATCTGCCCTACATAAAACCCATCCCCATCATTTGGTTTTGTGCACGGAGAGCCCTGCTGGCCGCCCGTCAGAGACCACGGGTGGAAGCCTTCTGCACAGCTTCCAAGGCCTGTGCAACTTGAGCCCAGTTCTCCTGGGCAGGCTCACCAGCTGGCAACTCCCCATGCGCCAGAGCTTGGCACTGACTTCTAAGGTCTGTGCCTCTGTCCATGCTGTTCTTCCCGCCTCAATGTCCCACTCAAAACTGCCACCCCTAGGTGCCTAAGGAGCTTGCAGCCATCCTTCCATGATGGGTTCTCTTATAATCTCCTCTGCTGGTGCCCGCAGCCCCAGCACCTGCCCCATACTGACTGAGGCTCCTCCCACATCTCTCACAGGTCCCTACCTATCCCTTTAGTTAGCTCCTTCCACATGCACTGCAATGACCTGGTTACCCGCCTATCCCTGCCACAGCCTAGAGCCCCCCAGAAGAGCAGAACGAATGCACATGTTCTTAGCCTCCACATCTCAGAGCCTGACAAGGTGTAAGGTTTCTGGGGCTGCCCAAGGAATGTCTGTAAAATGAGCGAACAAAATCCCAAAGATGTCTGAGTTTTCTGTACCTTTGTATCCTGTGTCAAGATAGCCCAGTGAGATGTGCTAACAGCTACTAAGAGCTGGGGACACCCTGGGTTCTTGTGGGGAGTTAGGCTTTCATCAGCCTTTAACTCTGCCAGTCACATTTATCACCTCAGGTGCAAATGGAAAATTATATATTCAAGGTAGAGAACAGAGGACTTCTGTCTCGGATCCTCATATTAACTTTCACTGCACTGAGGTGAATTCCTACACAATCAGACCCCGTGAGGGCAACCCAAAAGCTGTCCTGGATGGGGCTATTCACCTGAAGGACTGCACCTGCCGAGGCACCTTCTGGCTCTGCTCCCGGAGCCGACACACGTCCTTGGAGACTTGCCTCATCAACTTCTCTGCATTCAGACCTTGCTTCTGCTCTTCTTTGGACTGTTCAGCCTGGAAAAGGGAATAAAAATGTAAGAAACACACAAAACACTGATTAGAAATCCCTGGAGACATCCTATGAAGCTTCAAAGATTGTGGACTAAAGTCAGGAGGGCAAGCAAGGCAGCCAGTGGGCTGGTGTCCTTTTTATCACCCATCAGGAGCCAACACCCACATGACCAACTCATGCTGTGCATATGTTGATTTTGGGGTAAGTTCATTTTAATCACATTTTAGAAATCTAATTACACAGGCAATATGTGACAATTTTACTACATCTGAAAACCTAAGAACTCTCAAAAATGAAACGGAAAATTACTCATAGCACTGTTTCCAAAAAATATCTACAGTTAAAGAATGTTTTGGGCAAATACACTTTCAACATCTTATTTATCTTTTTGACCCTTTTTATCTAACTTAGTCATTTAAAAAGCTGTTTATTTAACGTAGAATTTACCAATCAAAAAACCTGCACATGCCGGGTGCGGTGGCTCACTCCTGTAATCCCAGCACTTTGGGAGGCCGAGGCAGGCGGATCACGAGGTCAGGAGATCGAGACCATCCTGGCTAACACGGTGAAACCCCGTCTCTACTAAAAATATAAAAAAATTAGCCGGGTGTGGTGGTGGGCACCTGTAGTCCCAGCTACTCAGGAAGCTGAGGCAGAATGGCTTGAACCTGGGAGGTGGAGCTTGCAGTGAGCCGAGATCGCGCCACTGAACACCAGCCTGGGCGACAGAGTGAGACTCCGTCTCAAAAAAAAAAAAAAAAAAACCTGCACACATACGTGTATAGCTCAAAAAACTTTTACAAATTGAACACACCCATGTAACCAGCACCGGAGGAAGGGGAGAACACTCCTGCCCTTCCCGCTCTGCCCCGAGGGTTCCCAGCATTCTGACTTCTAATGTGCCTCTTTTGTCCTTGGTATAGATGGAACAGTAAACAGAGACTCTTTAGGGTGTGGCTTCTTTTGCTCAACATTATGCTCACGAGAATCATACACGCTGTTATATGTAGTTGTAACTCACTTTCCTCACTGCTATATAGTATTCCACTGTATGACTTTACTACAATTTATCATCTGTTAGTAATAATGAACATTTGGGTACTGTGCATGGACACATTTTAAAATAAAAATGTACTAATGATACTATATTAAAAGTTGTCTTTTCATTTCATTATTTCACTCATATTCATTCACCCAATCAATAAATATTTGTGGACTGTCTTTTAAGGAAAGGTGGTATAAGTTGGTGAAGAGCAAACATTCAGGTCATACAACCTGGGGTCAAATTCCATTTCTACCACTTACTAGCGATGTAAATCTGGGCAAGTTGCTTGACCTTCTGGTGTCTTAGTTTCTCCATTTGTACACTGGGAATAAGTACTTATTTCAAAGTTGTGAAGTTTAAATGAGTACATATATATGTAAAGTACTCAGAGCAGTACCCAACACATCACTGAATATACTATTTCAGAATGAAGCTATTACTGTTGCTTTTTTTTTTTTTTTTTTTACAATATGCCAGGCTCTGTACTAGGAGGCAGGGTTATAGTTGTGAACAAAACAGATGAAGTCCAGGCTGGGAGGCCAAGGTGGGAAGATTGCTCAAGGCCAGGAGTTTGAGACCAGCCTGGACAACATAGAGAGACACTCTCTCTATGAAAAAAAAAAAAAAAAATTAGCTAGGTGTGGTGGCATGTGCCTGTGGTCCCAACTACTCAGGAGGCTGAGGTGAAAGGATCACTTGAGCCTGGGAGTTTAAGGCTGCAGTGAGCTATGATCACCGCTGCACTACAGCCTTCGTGACAGAGCAAGACCCTGTTTCAAAAACCAAAACAAACAAACAGGTGAAGACCAGTGGCAGAGAAAAACAACAGCAAAGAACAGAAATTGTTTAATAATTATTAAAAATTAACAATATATTGTTTTTTTCTCAGGTTAAACCTTCGTCACATAACACTGAAAAACACAGTCTATTTATTAGAGCAGTTTTAGGTTCATAGCAAAATGGGGTGGAAAGTAGAGTTCTCATTGACTCCCTGCCCCGACTCATGTATAAACTCTCCCACTATCAGCATCCTCCACCAGAGTGTACGTTTGTTACAATCAGTGAACTTATATTGACACTTCATTATCACCCCAAATCCACAGTTTATATCAAGCTTCACTCTTGGTGTACATTCAATGGGTTTTGGCAAAAGTATAATGACATGTACCCACCATTACAATATCATACAGAGGAGTTTCACTGCTTTAAAATTCCCCTGTGCTCTGCCTATTCCTCCCTCTCTTCCCCCTAACCACTGATCTCTTCACTGGCTCTGCAGTTTTCTTTTTCCCAGAATGCCATACAGTTGGATGATGCAGTACACTGCCTGTTTAGAACGGCATCTTTCACTTGGTGTATGCATTTAAGTTTCCTCCATGTCTTTTCATGGCTTGACAGATAGCTCATTTCTCTTTAGTGCTGAAGAGTATTCCATTGTCTGGATATACCAGTTTACTTAACCATTCACCTACTGAAGGACATCTTGACTGCTTTCAAGTTTTGGCTATTATGAATAAGGCTGCTGTAAATATTCATGCAAAGGTTTTCATGTGTACGTAAATTTTCAACTCATACCAAGGAGCACAACTGCTGAATTGTATGTAAGAATCTGCTTAATTTTATCAGAAATCTACAACTGTCTTCTAAAGTGCCTGTATGATTTTGCATTTCTATCAGCAATGGCTGAGAGTTCCTGTTGCTCCACATCCTTGTCAGGATTTGGTGTTGTCTGTGTTTTGCATCTTGGCCGCTCTAACAGGTGTGTAGAGGTATCTCATTGTTGCTTTAATCTGCAATTTCTTATTGACATACGATGTTAAATATCTTTTCATGTGTTTATTTGTCATCTGCTTTGGTTAGGTGTCTGTTCAGGTCTTTTGCCGATTTTTAAACTGGGTGTTTGTTTTGTATTGTTGAGTTTTAAGAGTTTTTTGTAACTTAGATAACAGTCCTTTATCAGACATAACTTTTACAAATATTTCTCCCAACGTGTGGCTTGTTTCCTCTTTTTCTTGACAGTGTCTTTCACAGAGAAGTTTTAAATTATAACGAAGTCCAGCTTATCAGGTATTTCTTTCATGGATCATGCCTCTGATGTTGTGTTGTATATGAAAAGTCACTGCCATACCCAAGGTCATCTAGATTTTCTCCTAGGGTAACTTCTAGGAGTTTTATAGTTTACATTCTACATTTAGGTCTGTGATCATTTTGAGTTAATTTTTGTGAAGGGTGCAGAAGGGTCTATATCCAGATTCATGTTTTTTTGCATGTGAATAAATGTCCAGTTCTTCCAGCATCATTTGTTGAAAAGATGATCTTTTTTTGATTTATTTTCTTTGCTCCTCTGTCAAAGGTCAGTTGAATATAGTCAGCCCTCTGTATCTGTGGGATCCACATCCATGGATTCAACCAACCATGAATAGAAAATATTTGGGAAAAAAATGGATGGTTGCAACTGTACTGACATTGTTTTTCCTTGTCATTATTCCATTAATGACATTATTATTACTACATTATACTGTATTACTACTGTCATTAAATATAGCATAACAATTATTTACATAGTATTTAAATTATAACAGGTGTTATAAGTTATCTGGAAATGATTTAAAGTGTATGGGAGGATGTGGGTTATATGCAAATACTATACCATATTATATAAAGGACTTGAGCATCTGTGTCCATGGGGAGTCCTGGAACCAATCCCCACCAAGGATGTTGAAGGATGACTGTATATTTAAGTGGGTCAATCTATTTCTAGGCTCTCTGTTCTGATTTGTCTATTTTTTCACCAATACCACACTGCCTTGATTACCATAGCTTTACAGTAAGTCTTGAAGTCAGGTAGCGTCAGTCCTCCAACTTTATTCTTCTTCAATACTGTGTTGGCTATTCTGGGTCTTATGCCTCTCCATATAAACTTTAGAATCAGTTTGACTATTACATAATAACTTGATGGGATTTTGAGTGGAACTGCATTAAATCTATAGATTGATTTGAGAAGTACCAACATCTTGACAATACTGAGTCTTCCTATACATAAACATAGAATATTTTTCCATTTATTTAGTTCCTTTTACATTTTCTTTCATCAGAGTTATGCAGTTTTCCTCTATAGACCTTATACATATTTTGTTAAGATTTACAAGTATTTCACTTTTTGGATACTAATGGAAACGGCATTGTTTTTAATTTCAAATTCCACTAGTGCATTGCTGGTATATAGAAAAGTGATTAACTTTTGTATATTAACCTTATATCCTACAACCTTGTTATAATCACTTATTAGTTCCCAGAGTTGTTTCTGTTTGTTAGGTTTGTGGTCAAATCTTTCAGGTTGCCTACATGGACAACCATCTTATGTGCAAACAAAGACAAACAAAGACAATGCTGACGTCCTTCCCAAGCGGGATACCTTTTTTTCTTTTCTTATTGCATTAGCTAAGATTTACAGTGTGATACAGAAAAGAAGATGTGAGAGGGACAGTTTTACTCCGTTCCTAGTCTTAGCAGGAAAGCTTCTAGTTTTTCAGCATTAAGTATGATGTTAGTTGTAGAGTTTTCTACATGTTCTTTAAGGTCCCTTTTATTCCTAGTTTGCTGGGAGTTATTTTTAGCATGAGCAGGTGTTGATGTGATTCACTACAATAATTGATTTTGAATGTTAAATCAGCCTTGCACACCTGGGATAAATCTCCCTTGGTCATGGTATATAATTCTTTTTCTATATAGTTGGATATGATCTGCTAATATTTTGTTAAAGATTTCTGCATCTATGTTCACAAGAGATATAGGGCTGTAGTTTCCTTGTCTTTGCCTGGTTTTGCTATTAGGATAATGCTGGCCTCACAGAATAAGTTGGGAAGAATTCTCTTTGCTTCTGTTCTCCAAAAGAGATTGCAGAGAGTTGATAAAGTTTTTTTCCTTAATTGTTTGGTAGAGGCCAGGCACTGTGACAGACTCAGTGGCTGTCCTCCAAAATCCTACAAATTTTGATTAAGTTGTTTTTCATTTAGTTCAAAATATCTTTTAATTTTTCTTAAGATTTCTCCTTTGACCCATCTGTTATTTAGAAGTGTGCAGTTTAATCTCCAAGTATTTTGGAATTTTCCAGCTACGTTTGTTACTGATTTCTAGTTTAATTCCACTGTGGTAAAAACAGACAGTGTAAATATGTATCTTATGGCCTGGACTGTGGTCTATATCTTGGTGAATGTTCCAATTGAGCTTAAGCAGAGTGTGCCATCTGTTGTCATTAAATGAAGTACTCTATAGATGTCAATTATATCCAGTTAAGTAATAGTGCCGTTGAGTTCAACTATGTCTGCTGATTTTCTGCCTGCTGGGTCTGTTTATTTCTGTCAGAGGATAATAATGAATTCATCCACTTCTCCTTGTAGTTTTTTTTTTTTTTTTGCCTCATATATAGTTGGTGCTGTTAGTCACATAGATGTCTAAGAATTGTTATCCTGGTCGGGCACAGTGGCTCATGCCTGTAATCCCAGCACTTTGGGAGGCCAAGGCAGGCGGATCACCAGAGGTCAGGAGATCGAGACCAGCCTGGCCAACATGGCAAAACCCCGTCTCTACTAAAAATACAAAAATTAACTGGGTGTGGTGGCGTGCGCCTATAATCCCAGCTACTCAGGAGGTTGAGGTAAGAGAATCACTTGAACCTGGGAGCCTGGGTGACAGAGCGAGACTCCATCTCCAAAAAAAAAAAATTGTTACCCCTTCTTGGATAATTAATCTCTTTATTATTCATTATGTCATACTTTTTTTTTAAATCCTGGATAACTTTTCTTGCTCTGAAGTCTGCTCCATCTGAAATTAATATAGCTACTCCCACTTTCGTTTGATTAGTATTAGCATTGTCTACTTTTAGTCCATATGTGTTTTATGTTTAAAGTGGGCTTCCTACATACAAAATACAGCTGGTTCTTTTTTGATCAACTCTGACAAACTGTTTTTTAATTGGTATATTCAGACCACTGATGTTTACAGTGATTAATGAAACAGCTGGAATAATATCTACCAATTTGTTACTGTTTTCTATTTGCTGCCCTTGTTGTTTGTTCCTATGTTTGTCTTCTACTCTTTCACTGCCTTTTGTGGCTTTAATTGAGGACTTTATATAATGTCAATTTTCTCTCCTTTCTTAGCATGTCATTTATATTTCTCTCTTATTTTTTCTAGTGGTTGCTCTGGAGTTTGTATTATACTATCCAAATCCACTTCCAAATAACATTATACCACATCATGAGTAGTACAAGTACCTTATAATAACAAAATATCCCTCATTCTTCCCTCTTGTCCCTTGCATCATTGCTGCCACTCATTTCACTTATACGTAAGCATACACACACGTGTATGTAACTGAATACACTGTTGCTATCATTACTTAGAATTATTTATGTGATTAAGAATAAGAAAAATTCTTATTTTACCTTGGTTTATTCCTTTTTCAATGCTCTTCCTTTGTTTACATAGATCCATGTTGCTAACATATCATTTTCCTTTTCTCTGAAGAACTTTTAACATTTCTTGCTAGGCAGGTCCACTGAGCACAAATGTCCTTAATTTTTGTTTGTCTGAAAAAATATTTATTCTCCTTCACTTTTGAAGAATAATTTTGTGTTTGGGTACAGAATTCTAGGTTGGTTTCTTTTTCCTCTTAACAATTTAAATTATTGCATCTCACTCTCTTCTTGCTTGTATGATTTCTCAGGAAGAGTCACATATAATACTTGTCTTTGTTCTCCTGTAAGGAAGCTTTTTTCCCCCTCTGGCTTCTTTCAAAATTTTTTAATTTTTAATTTTCTGCAGTTTGGATATGCTTAGGTGTAATGTTCTGTGTGTGTGTGTGTATTTATTTTGCTTGGTGTTTTATGAGTTTTCTGGCTCTGTGGTTTAATGTTTGACATTAATTTGGAGAAAGTCTCAGTCATTATTCCTTCAAATATTTCTTCTGTTCCCTTGTCTTTCTTCTGGTATTCCTATTAAACACATTGTACATCTTCTGTAGTTGTCCCACAGTTCTTGGATGTTCTGTTCCTTTTTTTTTCTCCAGTCTCTTTTCTCTTTGCTATGCAGTTTTGAAAGTTTCTATTGACATATCCTCAAGAGTTCAGATATTCTTTCTTTAGTCATGTCCAGTGTGCCCGTGAGTCCATCAAAGTTATTTTTCATGTCTGTTACAGTGTTTTTGATCTCTAGGACTTCTTTTTGATTCTTGCTTAGAATTTCCACCTCTCTCCTTATGATGTCCATCTGTTCTGGCATATTGCCTCCTTCTTCCCTTATAGCCCTTGGCATACTAACCACAGTTAGTTTAAATTCCTGGTCTGATAAGTCCAGCATCCCTGCCATGTGTGAGTCTGGTTCTGATGCTTGTTTTGCCTCTTTAAACTCTGTTTTTTGCCTGTTAGTAGGCCTTATAATTTTTAGTTCAAACCCAGACGTAATATACTAGGTGAAAGATATTCTGGCAAACAGCCTTTAGTTTTGTGGTAAGATGGGGGTAAAGAAGGCAAGTGTTCTATAGCTCTATGAACAGGTTTCAGTCTTTTAGTAGGCCTGTGCTCCTGGGCTACGAGTTTCACAAGTGCTTCTCAGTCTTTCCCCCTCCTTAGGTGGAACAGAATATCTAGGATGGGCTGGAGTTGGGTACTCCCCTTCTTCCACATGGAAGACTAGAGGGGGCTAGAGTTGAGTATTTCCCTTACCAAAGTCAGTTAAGTTCTGACAATATAGTTTCTCCTGAGGGCAGGCCTTGCTGAAAAGAACAGAATGCTTTTGTGTGTTTCAAATGGCTACTTTTTTCCTCCCTCTGTCAGAATCAGGGCAAGATTTTTCTTCGACATCCATCGTGAGGACCCAGTCAAGCTCCTGGAAGTAAAACTAACAAAAGTGTGGAGAGCCCCCGACTTCTCATGACTGGGTACTCCTGCAGTTTTTAACTCTCAGACTTCTCTGTAGTGAGCCTCCAGCAGTATGTTAATTACAGTTTAGGTTTTCTTACCCCAGTATCGGTTCCTGCAGAGGTCACTGCTCATAGGTTCTTACTCCAGTAAGTTGTGATTCTTTGTTCTGCTTGCCTGTCTCTCCAATTCTGGGGGCAGTAGTTTGCCCTATGACCTCACCTCTCTAACTGATCTAAGAAGAATTGATTTTTCATTTTGTTCAATTTTTTTACTTGCTGTTAGATTGAAGACTTCAAACTCCTTATATGTTGGACCAGAAACCAGAAGCCTGTAGCTTTTAATGATTTCATAACATTCTACTTAGTAGCTACAGCTTAATTATCTAACAAACCCTCTACAATCACCTATTTAAATTATTTCTAGGCTGCGATGTTCACTCAAGTGGGATTTAACATTTAAAAATCTTGGTAAATGAACATGTGGCTATACTAGATTTCGAGATAAATAAATGCAGGCATGTACTATATAGTTTAAAAAAACTCTCCACAATAAGCCTACATCAGTGTATTCATATAACTGTTTATATTACTCCATTATCAGGGAAAAACTAATGTTAATCTGTACTTTGAGTTTTAAAAACACCTAATATTGTAAAATACTGAATAAAGCTTCCCTGATATAAAATCCAAATTTATGTTTATTTATCATTAAGTATTAAATAGAAAGACAATTCTTTAGCTATGTAAACAAACGGTGAAATAGAAAATAAGGCTTAAATTGTGAATGTGCTACTTGTTACTCCTCCTACACTCATATTAGAAAGTTATGTAATTCACGGTGAGGACTGTCGTCATGGGGTAAAAGGGCCACGATGACTCTGTTCCCCATTTGCTGTCCTCCACCCAAGGCACTGACTCCCTCTTGTAGGTATGCTAAGAGGCTGCCTAGTTATTAACTTAGGATATGGGTCAAGGTTTGCCTTGGTGGCTGAGATGTTTACACTGGGCCCAAAAGCTTCAGGAGGGCAAAGGATGAGTCTGTTTAACATAATTCATAAAGGCTCAAGTGCTCAATACAATTTTTGAACCAGCAGTTTATTTCTGACAACTGTCTATATTTGCAGAAGTTACTTGCAACGCTGTCTTACAAAAGGAATTAATTAAATCAAATGGTTGGAGACTTCATTATATAATACATATCCATTTAATGAGGGGGAGTGGTTTCGTCTTAAATCAATCTTGCCAATACATACTCAAAAACAGTTGTTATCTCCATCTGACAGATACACAAATCCTTTTTTTTTTTTTTTTTTTTGAGATGGAGTCTCGCTCTGTCACCCAGGCTGGAGTGCAGTGGCACGATCTCAGCTCAACCTCCCCACCTCCTGGGCTCAAGCAATTCTCCTGCCTCTGCCTCCAGAATAGCTAGGATTACAGGCGCTTGCCATCATGCCCAGCTAATTTTTACATCTTTAGTAGAAACGGGGTTTCACCATGTTGTCCAGGCTGGTCTTGAACTCCTGACCTCAAGTGATCTACCCGTCTCGGCCTCACACAATGCTGGAATTACAGGCATAAGCCAATGCACCCAGCCTCTATCTGACAGACATACAAATCTAATTTATTTGTGTCTTGAGGGACAGTGGGGTCTTACAAATATGTGAGTTGGCTTCTGTCAATTTTTTGGAAGGCTACTTTAAGAGAAGGCATTCTAAGCAAAATCTCTGCTGCGAATACAGGGTAACTTTCCTGTTCACTTTCCCTCCCAATTCTCACTGGGGATGTTGGGGAAACTAAGCTAACAGCAGTGCTTTGAGAAGCTGCCTCTTACTGTACCTGACAGAGAGAGAGAGAGATCGACGTCGACATTGACTCAGGCAAAGGTCTAAAGGTGGTGGGTAGCCTGTGCCTGCAATCTAAGCTGATGGATAGTCCCACAATTGCGATGCTTCTAGACTTGAAAAGCCAACTGCTTCTGTTATGACTTAAGCAGTTAGAAACATTAGAAGGAAATAAGACTGGTGCTGGCAAAAAGGGCAATTAAGGACCTTGTCATCCCACGTGCATCCACTGCTTCAGACACCTTTAAGGCCAGGAAATCAAACAAGGTCTTCAGGCTTAAAAGGCTCGACAAAGACAAGATCTTTGACTATGGTTCACGGCCAAACTGATACTATCAGCAATTCTCTTACTAAGAATTTATGCTTTAGGAATACTAGTGTGACCAGAAAGGTACAAAAATATGCATAAAAGTGTGTGTTTCCACATTGTTTATAATAGAAAATTTGGGAAATTGTTATTAGAATAATTAAATAACTGTGATAGAGCTATACAAATGAATGCATTAAAATAATGAGTTACAGTAACATTTACTAATATGGAAAGCTGTTCATCACATACTATTAGAATTAAGTGAGGGAAAGAAGCAAATTTCAGAACAATCTATCTTTATGACCCCATTTTTGTATAACTCTTTCAAATAACACTAACACACATGTTGCATAAAAAAATAGCTGGAAGGACATACACCAATTTGTCAACAGTGGTAACCTCTGGGAAGTACAACTCCAAGAAGGACTTCTAGTTTTTGCTTTATATAGTTCTGCATCACCTGAATTTGTTATAATAACCATGTGTTACTTAAGCATTTAAAAAAAATTAAAATATTCTCAAAGCAAAAATATCCTAAACTCACTTTAAATCTGCAAATAAAAATACTGTGGCACTTTTAGGAAAGATGAGCTTTTATGAAAACTCTTTATTCAGCAAATACTTATAAAGAAACAATTATACTCACACTACTTTATGGAAAGCTAAATAACCCACAATGGGGCATCCCTAGTACTTTGCTAATCATCATCTACTGCAATAAGTTTTGATTTTTTTTCATCACACAGTGTCTTTTTCCAGGTATTTTTTTTTACTGCCCCCTATTTCCTCTCCCTGGTTTGAAAGGGTTTGTCTATAAAAGCAGCCTATATTTGTTAAGTAACAGTTCTCTCTTGATTACTTTGTAATTGATGAGATAATTTAATTGCCAGCTGGAGCTTGTGAATTTATGTGATTCAAATACAAGGGTGACAAATGTGATATTTTAGTTACTTTGTGAAGTCCTATCTTTAGTAAATGGATAATTTTTCATTAGGTCCCAGATAAGGAACTGTTGACTTAGTACACACTGAGAAATGACTTCTATCTTGCTATGGTATGTCAAATTACTAAATTAGTAAATATACTAAAAATTTTGCTGCTATTCAAATTCTTCATGAAATACCATAAGAAAAAAAATCACTCTTAAAACAGACATCTGTTGACTGATTTAACAAGGGATATATCACGAAAAGTCAGGGAAGGAAATGAATCATGCATAGGTAAGAAAATCCAACCCACTTTTCTTACCTAGAAGTGATTTTATCAGATAGGAAATAAGACAGGCTCGCAGGATCCTGTTCCGTCTTTGCCACCTTCCACAGGAATAGAACGCAGAGGATCCTATCCCTTGCAGAGAAGTCTTTTGGCAGTCCCTCTAAGTAGTGTAATGGCTGCTGATGTTTTCAACTTCTAGCATTTCTATGGTGACTACAAAATTACTTTGAAACTTGGCTTTGTTTTATAAAAAAAAAAAGCTGACCAGGGAACACCGGAAGATATTTCCTTCCCTGCTGAGTAAGAATATACTTTACTGAAGACTGTATTTGTCTCTATGTTTTTATATTTATATCTGTATCTATACCTATATCTTTCTCCACAAATTAGGTGGCAAAACATATAGAATTATTATCAGCTGCTAATAATCAATACCAAACAATTTTGTAGGTAGACCTCAATGCTGAATACTTTTCTGTAATCATTAAGATTTTTTGAATGCAGTGTATTAATATCTTTGGCATAATTTTAAAAATAGATCTAACTTTTAAGAGTGTTAACATTTGCATTATTTTAAGCTTTACAAAAAATCTAGCAGTTCTGCAGTCTAGCACCATAAAATTTTGGCATTTTGACAGGGAAACACTCTATGGAAAAAAAAAAAAAAAGAAATTCCTGCTTTGTAAGGACCACGAGGCTCCTCTGGAAGAACCCCAGTCCTCTCTCGGCATGCTTTTCCCTCACCCAACGAATCACGATAAGATGCCGGGCTTACGAGGCCTGGGAGCCACTTGGAATGCTGAGGACTCCAGAAGGGTGTGATTCACCTCCAGTTTACATGATGGGAGCCCAACCTGCAGAGAGGCCCAGTGATTTATTCATAGTTGTGTTAAGAAGCCTAATGGAATAAAAAGCACAATCCAGTCTTAATTTACAGTCCTCAGCTTCTTGCTCTGCTTCCTGAGGGGGTTTTACAATACACGAGGACACCAAATAAGATTCTCTTTTTTATTCTGAGCTACAAAACAGACTTTGGGCCACAAAGGAGGAAGGTTAAGGAGTGTGACCCTGAGACCTGACAGTTTTCCTTGACAAGGGAGGCAGATCCAGGATCTGCTGCTGGCTTCGATTCATTGCTTTTCTGGGAGCCATATTTTTTATGGCAATTGGCAGGCTCTTTGCTCATCCTTAGGCACTTTATGGTCATCTTGCTGAAAACCTCACAAATCCCCAATACCACAGGGAAATGATGGAGATGAAAGGGCAATGTGTGAGTGTGGCAGAGTTAGTGTGTGTGTGCCATGTGTGCAGGTGCTGGTGTACCCATGTGTATGTTAACAAATGACTGTGGAAGTGAGGAGGAAGCAGGTGAGGGAAGTCAGTGGTGATCATGAGTTTCTGTCGCTATAATGAAAGGCACACAATGGAAAGTTTGTTTTTTCAAAAAACTGGTTTTTGCAAATTTCACTGGTGAGAAAAGTACACAACTCAAACAGTTTATGTATCCACAGAGTTGTTAAAAATAACGATAAAAACCCTCTGCACTAGGGAGAATCAAATCATTTTGAAAGCAGGATAAATGCACCTTGTTTTGTGAGCTTTTTTCACTATTGCTTGATGTGAAACTGCCAGTAGCAGAAGGAAGCAAAGACGGAGGGGCAGCGGGCTTGGCATCTGCTACGGGTTGAATGTTTTTCCCCCCAAAACTCAAGCTGAAATTCAATTGCCATTGTAACGGTATTGAGAGGTGGGACCTTTGAGAGGTGAGTAGGCATGAGGGCTCCACTCTCATGTGTGGGTGTAATACCCTAATCAAATAGCTTTTTTGGGAGTGGGATCTCTCTCCTGCCTCCTACCCTCCACCATGGGATGACACAGCAAGAAGGGCCTTGCCAGCTGCAGCCTCTGGATCTTGGACTTTCCAGCCTCCCGAACTGTGAGAAATAAATTTTTCTTTATAAATTACCCAGTCTGTGGCATTTTGTTATAGCAGCACAAAATGGACTAAGACAGCATAGTTTCCTACAGTGTGATAAAAAATCTGCTCTGCATAACCTGTGTAAGACTGCACTCTGAGTATCCTGATATGAAAAACTTCCAGGAATCACATTTCACCTGGGACTTCAGAATTATCAAAGTACTGCATGTACCCTAAAGGTTCAGTTCCTTTAGGCCATGCAGACTTCAATTTCCACAAATCTCTCTGAATCCTTATTTATACTGAAAGCACATTAGACTTGATCTCAAATAGATCACAAAATTCTGTAACTAGAAGGGATTCTGGTGGCTATCTACTTCAATCCTCTTAATTCATAGGTGAGTATATAAAATCCTATTAGTGCATGGGAAAAACATAAGCCACAGGTATGGATACTTTTATGGTATTTTATAAGGCTGGTTTGTTTTCATTTACCTATTTTCTGATGGGAAGAAGAAAGAAGTTGTGAGGGAAAGGAATGGGGAAGGGTAATGAGAAAGTGAAGCCACAACAGCATCTAAGATCTGACTCTGACACCACAAGCACTCATGGGTCTCCTGGCCTTGCTGTTATAGTCTCTTTTCACTTGGACCCTAAACAGGGACCTCAGGTGTATACCAATGGCTCTTTCCCTGGGTATCATCAGGCTAGCTAAAGAGTTTTGGCCCTATCTTGGGTATAAAAAGACAGCATTTTGTATATGAGGTTCAACTCCTCTGACAAAGGAGTTTTATACTGAACTGTTACCGGCATCCCCAAGATGTTCACAGTAGTGATCTAGAAAAACAATAGCTATGGCATGGAGAAAGCTGAATACAAATTATTAAGACTGTCAGGTTTACCAGCCCTTAATTTTATTTAGATGTATCTTCATGTTTTGTTAAGCTGAAATTTTCTTAGCAAGAACTAGAAAACACACATTCTCATTCTGAATAAGAGACCTCTAACATATCAGCTCAAATCCTCTTGACCTTTCCCAAATGCCCTTGCAGTCATCAACTCTGCAGGGTCTGGTGGACTTCATGAAGGTATAACTAGTGTCTCCCCTTATGTCCCTTCTCTGGCCCCTGCCATGGCCTTTCTGTTGAAGCCAACATGTGCCATGAGATTGTCTGGCAGCCATATGTGCACATGGGTAGAACAATTCTTCCTCATTTCTCCTCTGAGTTATGACTGTGAGATGTGGTTAGCATGGCCTTTGGGTGCTGGTCCCAAGGGAGCAAGCAGGCAGCACACTAGCGGCCATCTCCTCCCTTGTCTCTCTTCAGCTCCCCTGGGCTGCACCCTCTTAGTGAAGCAGTAGAACAGAAGTGTTTATCCCAGGCCAGGTGCGGTGGCTCACGCCTGTAATCCCAGCACTTTGGGAGGCCAAGATGGGCAGATCACCTGAGGTCAGGAGTTCAAGACCAGCCTGGCCAACACAGTGAAACCCCATCTCTACTAAATATAAAAAAATTAGCCGGGAGTGGTGGTGCGCGCCTGTAGTCCCAGCTACTTGGGAGGCTGAGGCAGAAGAACTGCTTGAACCCGCGAGGTAGAGGTTGCAGTGAGCTAAGATTGTGCCATTGCACTTCAGTCTGGGTGACAAGAGTGAAGCTCCATGTCAAAAAAAAAAAAAAAAGTGTTTATCTCAGGCTCTACCACAATCATAACAGAAAGATCCTTAGGATCTTCTTTCCCTCATTATCTTGGTATGCAAACTAATTTTAAAACCAACTAAGTGCTGGTTCATCAGATAATAAAGATCACAAATCCTCTAGGCTGGGTGTGGTGGCTCACACCTGCAATTCCAGCACTTTGGGAGGCCGAGGAGGGAGGCTTGCTTGAGATCAGGAGTTTGAGACCAGCCTGGGCAATACAGTGAAACCCGGTTTCTACAAAAAAATAAAATTGGCTGAGTGTGGTGGTGTCTGCCTGTGGTCCCAGCTACTCAGGAAACTGAGGTGGAAGGATTGCTTGAACCTGGGAGGTTGAGGCTGTAGTGGGCTGTGGTCACACCACTGCACTCCAGCCTAGGTAACAGAGGCCCTGTCTCAAAAAGAAATCCTCTATTAAGAAATAATTTTTTTTTTTTTTTTTTTTTTTTTTTTTTTTTTTTGAGACGGAGTCTCGCTCTGTTGCCCAGGCTGGAGTGCAGTGGTGCGATCTCGGCTCACTGCAAGCTCCGCCTCCGGGGTTCACGCCATTCTCCTGTCTCAGCCTCCCGAGTAGCTGGGACTACAGGCACCTGCCACCATGCCTCGCTAATTTTTTTGTGTTTTTAGTAGAGAGGGGGTTTCACCGCGTTAGCCAGGGTGGTTTCGATCTCCTGACCTCGTGATCCGCCCGCCTTGGCCTCGCAAAGTGCTGGGATTACAGGCGTGAGCCACCGTGACTGGCCTTAAGAAATAATTTCTAAGCAAGATCATCTATGTAAGGATGATTCTAATCATCGTCAGAAACTTACTACAAGGCCAGAATTATGCACAGGTATCATTTAGTGACTGAACAACTACAAATTAATATAAAATAAAGCACTATTTTACAAAGGAGAGTTCTAAAGTGTCACTCTTTTTCAGACAGTTTCTAACTGGAACAAGGCCTGCTTGTATCCTTCACTGGGCAAAACAAAGGAGATCTTGGCTCTCTCAAATCTTTGCACTCTTGATCCAAATTGAACAGTCCCATGATCTTCGAATTATTCCTGGGCAGTTCTGAGCCCAAGCGACCAGTTTTTACACCATCTAAGAGAGTACTGCCATGTGGGTGCCAGAAGGCCTGTTTTGTGAGCAAAATACAACCAATGTGGCATTAATGTTACCTCTACTGGCAAGGCCAACTTCACTTGGCTTTGTACACAAGTATGTTGGGTTGTGGTGACATTTTAAAAGAATCAAAACCCTCACCCAGCTATGGCAGCACCTTTATGAAGACACTGGCTCTGAGGCAGGCACAGGAAGTGACGGCACCCGTCAGGTATGTTAGCCAGCATCATTTTTAGGCGGTGCCCTGCAATAGGAATAATTAAATGCTGACAATTAGGAGATGAAAGTGAAAAATACCACCCATGTCACACACTTGGTTGCACTGAATGACAGAGATGACAGCTCCCAAAGAGGTCACTTACAAGGCAATTTAGTTCAACCTTACACTATGTCTGAGAAACATGCCTCACATTCCTATCATTATTTCTGTCACTGAGAACAGAATGATAGGTCGGTAGATAGGGACGAAAACAAACAAACAAGGGGTGTCAGGGATCTCGGCACCCTGGGAAGAATGAACTGGGCACCTTTCCTCTCGCGCTGCCATTCTTTTCCTAGATTACGCCTGTGAACATCGTATGAGATGCTGGGAACAAAAACAGCAGAAAACTGTTTCAGAACAGTCTGCCAAAAGAGTTGAGGGTTGATTTCAAAACTGTGTTGTACATAAGGTCTCTAAGAAATACTGATTTGATCTGATAATATCCCTAGACCCTGATATTCCTGAAACTTGGTCCCAGCGTCACCAAGGCACAGCTGGACCAAGGGTTCCCTGAGGACAGGGCAGGGGCCCTCACATGGCCAAGCTACGCTAAGGCCACAGACAGTGCCCACCAGTCAGATTCTCATCACGTTTTACAGGCTGTATTGATCTATTCACCAGTAAGCCCCAGGGTGAAATCCTCTATTCTAGTGGTGAGCAGGAGACAAGCAAAACTCAAAAAAGGGCTAAAATCATGGCTGGTCAACAAGATGAGCAGCTTGAATGAGGCAAAGGGGACTTCTCCAAGGTTGGATGGAACATCTTCTAAGGCAGTGGAATACCAAAGGAAAAAAAGTAGCCTCGCTGCTTCCCTAGGGAGTTTACACTCCAGGCTGAAGGAGCATAGGAGTTCGAGAGGAAGGATTTCATTAGGAGGTGTGTGTGTGTTTTTACAGAAAATATGTCTGCTCAAGTTTCCCAAGAAACTCCTTCTTAATTTTTTTTTTCAGCTGGAAACAAACACACTTCTTGACTGGCTCATTAAAGGACAAATCATTAAAATGAACATGTGTGCCTCAAACATCAACTCTTACTTGCCTGCCAGTTTTCAGAGACTCTGAGCAATGTGTCTGCCTTGATGATTTCCTTGGGTTGTTGGGTTCTAGACTCCTACTTTACATCTACTTTACCTAGAGCAAATCCAAACATTTCTTTAGTGTAGGAGAAAACAAAGGTCACTCTATCAGCCCCCAAACCTTGAACCATTCATCAACAACAGTAAAAATCTTAGCAGAATTCTACAATGAAAGACAATAAAAAAAAAACACTCAGGAAAACAGTATATTTATGGTACTTTTCAAAGAAGGTCTTCATCTTCTTTTTCAATCAGTGTTAGACATACTGTTCGGATCTGCCAAAGTCTCTCTCACTTTATCTCATGAGAAAATGTCTGGCGCTGGGGACTAGGAAGGAGCCTCTGGCTCTAGCCATGGTCACTTATACTACTGCCACACTGTCTTTCCAGAGAACACTTTAGAAACTTCACAGCTCCCCTATTACTTATGCATCACACATCAATACTCCACACAGATACCACCCTCATCACACAGCAACACTGTTTCTAGAGAGCTCTGTATTCATGCCATGACCAATCTCTTAATTTCTCCACAAATTCCCACTATTTTAGCAGTTTAATAAATTTGTAGGGCAAGTCCCTCTCCTTGTTATTCTTTTCCAAAGTACCTTGGCTATTCTTTGACCTTTACTTTTTCATTAACTGCATCAGTATCCATGAAGAACCATGTGGGTATTCTGCTTGGAATTCCATTGACTCTATGGTACATTTTAGAAAGAATTGGCCATCTCCACATTATTAATTCTTCCTCTGTATCAGCAGTTGGCAAACTATGGCCTGCCCTGTTTTTGTAAATAAAGTTTTATTGGAATGCAAATACATCATTTATTTCCATTTTATCTATGGCAGAGCTGAATAGCGGCAACAGGGATCATATGGCCCAGAGCCTAGAATATTTAACATTAATATTTAATTATAATACAATTACATTATATCATAGTATAATTTGATATAATATTTAATATATGGTCATTTATAGGAAAAGCTTACAGACCCCTGCTCTACATGGATGTAATAAATTCTCCATGAATTTGCTTTTACATTTCTTCTAAGTTTTGTAATTTTCTCTATACTGTACGGTTTATTTTTGTTAAATTTATTTCTTGATATTTGATATTCTTTGATACTGTTGTAATTATCTTAATTAAACGTCTAGGTGTTTCTGGTTGGTGTAAATAAATGCAACAGACTTTTAGATATCATTCTATTCACCCACCTTGCTAAACTCTTACTATTTATAATAACTTACAAATTTTTTAATGCATGCAATGTCACCTGTAGATAATGGCAGCTTTATTTCTTTCCAGTCTTTTTGCTACTTTTTTTCTTGCCTTATGGCACTGTTTAGGAACTCCTAATACAATGTTGAATGGAAGAATATTGAATGTCTTGTGTTTGATTTTAAAGAAAGTGATTCTAATGTTTACCTATTTATGATCACATTTACTTTAAGTTATTCTTTATCAAGGTGAGGAGCTTCCTGTCTCTAACTTACTGGGATTTTTAAACATGAAGGAGCACTGACTTTTCTCAATACTTTTCTGAATCTATTGAGTTGACCAAATGATTTTTCTCCTTAATCTGTTAAAGTAATGAATTATATAAATATATTTCCTAGTATTAAAAATTTTCTTAGACATTTTGACATGGTCAACATGTATTTTTTTAATTCACTGTTTTCTAATATTAAAAAACCTGCCAGGTGTGGTGGCTCATGCCTGTAATCCCAGCACTTTGGGAAGCTGAGGTTGGTGGATCACCTGAGGTCAGGAGTTTGAGACCAGTCTGGCCAACATGGCAAAACCCTGTCTCTACTAAAAATACAAAAATTAGCTGAGTGTGGCGGTGTGCACCTGTAGCCCCAGCTACTCTCCAGCTGAGGCAGGAGAATCTCTTGAACCCGGGAGGCAGAGGCTGCAGTGAGCCGAGATCGTGCCACTGCACCCCAGCCTGGGTAACAGAGCGAAAGAAACACTGTCTCAAAAAACCAAACCAAAGAAAACAAAACCTTTGTACAATTCAACATAGTCAACATGTACAATCTTTTTAATACAGTGTTGGATTCTGTTTACCAATATTTTTTAGTCAGGATTCTTGCATCTACACTCATAAATGAAACTGGCCTGGCCTGCGATTTTCCTTTTGATAGAATCTTTATCTAGTGTTGGCATTAACATAAAATTAGTTGTGGAAGTGTTCTCTCTTTTTCTAGTGTCCGGAAGAGTTTGTATAAAATTGAGGTAATTTCTTTTTTGAAAGTGTGGCAGAATTTGTACAAAGCATCCAGAACTTATATTTTCTTTGTGGATAGATTTTTAATCACTGCTTCCATTTTTTTTTTTTAAAGAGTTATAGGATTTTCTATCCTTTTTATTCTTTCCAAACATCCATTCTAGTAGATTTTCCTAGACGTATGTCCAAATTGTAGGCATATACTTTTGATAGTATTCAACTGTTTTTTCCTGTCACTCAGGCTAAAGTTCAGTGGGGTGATCATAACTCACTTCAACCTCATACCTCTGGTGATCCTCTTGCCTCAGTCACCAGAATAGCCAAGACTATATAGCTGTGTGCCACCACGCTCAGCTAACTTTTTTTTTTTTTCCATGGAGATGGGATCTTGTTATGTCACTCAGGCTGGTCTCAAACTCTCGGCACTCTGGCCTCCCAAAGCACTGGGAGTATGTGTGTGTGTGTCTGTGTGTTTGTGTGTATGCATTTATTATTTATTTATTTTTTAATTTTTCATAACTGATTGACAGGGTCTCACTCTGTCACCTAAGCTGGAACGCAGTGGTGCAATCACAGCTCACTGCAGCCTCTACCTCCTGGGCTAAAGTGATCCTCCCACCTCAGCCTTCCAAGTAATTGGGACCACAGGTGCATGCCACCATGCCTAGTGAATTTTTTTTTTTTTTAATTTTTTTTGTAGAGACAAGGTCTCCCTGTGTTGCCCAGGCTGGTCTCCAACTCCTGGGGTCAAGTGATTCTCCCACCTCAGCTGTAATTATTTTTTAAATCTCAAATTTACCTGTAGTTCTGTCCCTCATTAGTTTTATAACATTCTTTATTTGTATATTCTCTTCATTAATTTTGCCAGAGCTTTGTTTTTCCTTTCATTTTTTTCAAAGAACTTTTTGCTCTACTGAGCTTCTCTCTATACAATGGAGATTAGATAGCAGTCAAAAAAAATGAAATGCAATTTATGGATGAAACTTTGCGTTATGATATTAAGTAAAAAAATTTAAGTCCTATAGTTTTAGTAATTATTGATATCTAGAAATTTAGAATTTCATATCATGACACACTAGAAATGAAGAAACAACCAAAGACACAAAGTTCTGTTTGCATCTATAGTTGTAAAACTCCAATTCAGCTTTGGAAGGCTTTGACCCATAACAGTCAAAGACTGTGATGCTTCTCCATGACAGTAAAGTAGGTCAAAGTCAACCAAAAGTTTGAAATTATTGGTAATGTTGAGTTAAAAACTCAAGAGAGTAAAAATGTTGGTTATTGAGATTACAAACTAAGAGCAGGTCATTTCTGCTTGTAATTCAATCTTCCATTTCATAAGACTACCTTCCACCTGCTGTGGCCCTACTCTCCTGCAGGCTCCTGCCCACAGCCCTCCATTGTCTGGAGCCCATCTGGACCTTTACTAATGGAGAGTCCTGGGCCTCTCCCCGCTGTGAAGCTCCACTACCCACTTTAAAAGCCAGTTCAAGTGCCACCTCCTCCATGAAACCTCTCATGACTTCCCCAGGAAGCACTGCTCTCGTAGACCTGGAGTGTCTGGCTCATCTCCTTTATGAAACCAGCACAGTGCCTAATTATCCTGTATTCACTGCTGTGGCAAATGTAAGGCCTAACATTAAACTCCACACTGAGCAAACACCGGTCCTACTGAACGTGAAGGTTTCCTTCTATCAGGTGGGATAAGATAGATACATGTAATACATTTTGTTGCTTAAAGTTTTATTACTGGTGTCAGTTTGATTCTTGAAATTCATTCATTTAGTTTCTGAGTTCCATCAAGGATCAGTAGTTCCAGTCAGCTGGACGATTCACACTTTCCTGACAGTACTATACATGACATGATCAAATAACAACTCTGGGTCAAAAAGAGCAGTTTATATCATAGACAAGATTTTCTGTTAGTTTCAGGAAGTGTCTAATCCATTTTACATTCCCATCCAAAGGGACTGATAGAAAACAATGTTTTGGCATTTGTAATATTAGTATTTCAGCTATGTGGAAAATTCTATTTGCTACTACATATGGATATGAATACACAATCCTAAACCAAAATATAAATTGTACTCTTGAGAAAGTAAATCAATTTCATATGTATGCAGATTCTTGAAAATTTCAGTAGTATGTAGGTGCCAAAATAATGGAAATAGTTTCTTTAAAAATACTGTTTTTTTTTTTTTTGAGATGGAGTCTCACTCTGTCGCCCAGGCTGGAGTGCAGTGGCACGATCTCAGCTCACTGCAACCTCCACCTCCCACGTTTAAGAAATTCTCTGCCTCAGTCTCCCGAATAGCTGGGATTACAGGGGCACACCACCACGTCCAGCTAATTTTTTAAATATTTTTAGTAAAGACGAGGTTTCAGCATCTTGGCCAGGCTGGTCTTGAACTCCTGACCTCATGATCCACCCGCCTCGGCCTCCCAGAGTGCTGGGATTATAGGTGTGAGCCACTGCGCCCAGCCAAAAATACTCTATTTTTTAATCAGTGATTTCATCTTTTTTTAGTATACCTATTTGTAGGGTGAAAGGTAAGGGAGAATGTCAATAAGCAAAATGTAATTTTTCTTTAAGATAAGAATGAAAGTGAAAATTTAGTAGCATTAAAATTAGCAATGTATTTCACAATTGATGTGGTTAATGAACCTTAAAAAGATATCTATAGAAAATCCAAACAAAATGTCCCACTTATGCCAAAATTTATACTGCATTTATTTGTCAAGTCTTACGTTAAGATGGAGAACAATATGGAGGAGAAATTATGACTACTTCCCACTTCTCCTTTGGGCACACCCTCACCCCCACTGGCCACGCCCTCACCCTACTGGCCACGCCCATCCCCTGCTGCCACACCCACCTTCCCAGCTTCCTTGTTCCTTCAACATTTTTGGTTTGGAAAAAAAAAAAAAAGGGCCTATAACAGTGGGAAAAATATGTTCCAAGCTGTAGTAAAACATCTAAAGACTTATGCGCAAAACAGAAGTGTAAGTTGGGTACCTTCTACATGGCACGCTTTAAAAAAAGATGTAAGCCCCTCCGAGATGACAGACCCTGAGCTGCGTACCTGCTTCTCAGCTTGCTTCAGAAGCCTCTGGAACCTCTCATCCTCCAGCACGCCTGGTGGAAGGTCAGTCTCTCCCTGAGCTTTCAGTTCCTCCAGCTTCTGCCGCAAGTCCCTCAGCGCCTGCAGCTCATCATTGAGGCGGCTCTGCCGGGTCAGAGATGCCTGAAGGTCCAGTTCTAAGTCTAGAGATGTCCGCACTGGGCATTCCTGTGTTGTTCTTCTAAGGACTGACTGGCAAACCGTCTGGATAGTTAGAAACGGAATGACGAACACCCTGGTTATACAGGCAGTGGTTACCCCACTTCCCCTCCTTCCTGGCGCATGATGGATGGTGCTTCCTTGCACCCTAGAAGCCAGGGCCTAAGGGGCAGGAGCAACTCGCTCTGGCCCATGGCAGGTGAGTGGGAGAGACATGCCTTACTTCTGGCAGAAGGCTGTCAAGGCCAGTGTGAGAGGTGCACATTTCTGTCCCCTGCTGGAGGGAGAGCAAAGAACCACAGAGGGAGGCTCCATCAGCATGGGCCCTGGGTAAGAGCAACATGGAGCAGGACCTCCTGCCAACCTGCAGTGAACCAGTAGCTAGGCAAGAAATAAACCTTTATTGTTTTATACCACAGAGATTTTTAAAGTTGTTACCATAGTACAGCCTGGCTTACTTAGCCTGACCAACTGATTGCATGAAGCCCGCCTAGTGTAATAAATAAATACATTGCAAGACATTTCTGTTTCCTCCATTTCAGGACACATAACTCCTACCATGTCCATGACAGTCAGCCTGAATACAGCTGGACAGTGTTGCTAAGTTTTGACTATCTCCTCCAATCAGAATGCTTAAACTGAGTTGCCTTCCTTGATTTCCCATTGTGTGCTACTTACTTTCACCACTGAATCACCATGGCTCTTCCCAGGGGCAATCTTAACCTATTCATCAAGCAATAATTATTGAACATATATGAATAAATGTCTGCTGGGGCTGTGCAGGCAAAGTACTAGGAAGAGAAGACACAATCTCTGCCCTTGAAAACTTCGGCTGCAGAATGACATGAGGCCTTAAGCGAGAGGAAGCTGTGAGTGAGTGCAGAAGTGCACAGGAAGTCAGGGAAGGGGATGGATCACTCAGGGTCAGGGCACATGCACTTGAGGAAGGGATTTTAAACAAGGCTGGGTGAGAGGTGAGACTCTACCAGCAGAGGGGAACACGGAGGTATTTCTTGCCTAGATTATTGGCAGACAGAATGCAAAATAAGTGATCACTAATAAGAACTGTTACTATTTGATATGAGCGAGGAGGGACTCAAATTTGACAAGTACTCCAGTTTGAAGATCTAAAATAATGGTAGTGCTCATGCCAGATGGAAGGGAGGGGGCCTGTCTGTCCCTATGCTGATTTCAGAGCCTTAGCCCAAGTCAGAATCACTCTTATTGTGTCCTCCTGTTCTTCCTCCACATCCAGTACATACTGCATGGTCTTCTGTAACATTCTTCTTATTAGGTTCCCTTTATTCAACCTGTACCCTCTCCTCTCTACAAATGCATTACACAGTAAGAATCATCTAGACACACATTATCTTTGACTGTATTACTTACTTTTTGGAATCAGAAATCTTTCCTAGCTGTCATGCACACAGAGCCTAAGGACTCCACATACAAGAGTCTGCTGGTAAATGTTTAATAACTGGCTCTCTCTGGGAGAGAAGAAAGCACTGACTTGTAGGGTTGGCCAGTTTCTATGTGGTAAATACTCCTACCATCACCATTTTCAAGCTATGACTGTGATGTCACTGTCACTCCGATTTAACTGGCAAGAGACGAGCACAATTGGCTCTTGTGAGCCAGCGTGAGGAGGGTGCAGCACACCTCTGCCGGTCGGTACCCCTCTAACCTCATCACTCACACACTTGGCGCTTTGTTCTTCTATTCAGATGAACCTTTTCCTCATCTTTGCAGATACTTTTGTCCTCATACACCTCTATACCTTGCTTATGCTGTAATTCCTAAAGCAGAATACCATTCTCCACTTGTTCCTATCAAACCATATCTGTCTACTTTTAAAAACCATTTAAAACCATCTCCTACATATGCTTCAGGATTAACCTTTGTCTGTTTCAAGTAGTCCTAATAACTAAGTTTATCAGTAACCTAACCGTTTCTCAACTCCACTCGATTCATAAACACTTTTGGTTAATATTTATCTGAAGAGTGAAACTATCCCCTGAGAGTATGAGCTGCTTAAGAAGGCAGGTGACTTAGAAAGGAGTTGAGAAGACTTTTCATTCAAGATGATAAAAATTTAGGTGCTTTTAAGGCATAAAGTTTGGTAACCTGAAAAATCAACATTTCAGAATTTCCTGAAAATGACGAATGCTGAATAAATGCTAGCACATCTCATCTGCCTTTAGAAAAACAAAATATTCTTTTATGCCTTTCAAGTAACAAGGAAGTTAAACCAGGGGCGCCCACTGCTGCCTGGCCAGGCATCTCTTACTCTGCACATGGCAGAATGAGACCAGAGTGGCCCTGGTGATGACAATGCTTCTGATTTACCTTCCCAGCCATCATGCCTGATCCTCCCGTCCACAGTGCCAAAGCTGCTGGCAGAACCTGACACTCCTCATGCCGTGTGTCCCTGCTCCCGTATCATTTTACGCCACCTACCCACAGCGCCCAGTATCCATCACACCCCCACCCTGCCCCAAAGCTACCATTTTCTTTTTGAAATTGTATTCAAGTGTGGAGACCCCCCAACTGCTGTCAACTGAGCCCTTCTGACTCTCAATCAGATGGGCTAATTCCCTGTCATACCCGGCACAGTTGTGACAGTCCTGTGTGTGTTGTGTCCTCCTCTAGACCATGGACTCCTGAGGGTGTGAGTTCGCCGTCAACAGAGCTCAGCACATGTGGTGCTCTGTAGTCACCGAACCACACATTTTAAGCCAAAATGATCACAGTAAACAAATATTTTCCTTTAGTATTTCAGCTGTTAGCAAGTAAACAGGAATTTCTGAACTACTTGAACAGACCAACCTGTTAATTCATTTATTCTCTTAGACTTATCCTTAAGGCTCATGCAGAGACCCATGACCTCCAGGAAAATGCCACCCGAGCTGCCCACCCACATGAGTTTTAACCTTCTAAAGATATCTGTGTAAGCAAGCTACAAAAACTGTGTGTTCCTCCTTTACCAGAATGTGTGTCCTTCAGAAAAGGTACCAGGTCTTACACCCCTTCCCACAATCGCTCAAGACCTGGACATGGTATGCAGAGTCATCAGAAATGTGTTCTACCATCGTCTGATACCCCTGCAGGCTCAGAAGGCCCCTTCTCCAGAGATACTGAAACCGCATTTCCAGCCTTAACCATCACAGGTTCCACACCAATGATGAATAAATGCCCTCACACCCCCCCATCTCCATAGTGGCCATGGCATCTGCGTCTCTGTGTATCCCAGTGGCTGCATTCAGTAGGCCAAGCGCATGGAGCACTGACATTCATTCTGTAGTTCTGGAGTTTGTGCTGCACAAGTGACAATTCTGGACTGGTCCAGGGACAGTGGGACGTGGCTGAGGGAATACATACCCTTTTGACCCTCAAACTGCGGCGTTCGGTGGAGTTTCTCACAAACAGTGATTTTTTAGCCAGGGTTGAACTGTCACTGTCACTCCGATTTAACTGGCAACAAAAGATTTAAAAAAAAAATCACTGCATATCAAACAGAGTGCAAGTGGAAGTTTGGGATTGAGACATTTACCAAGTAAAGCAGGTAGTCATAGTTAAGAGTTTATTTCTTTAAGAAAATCCCCTCAAACAAGTTTTTCCTGTTCTATTTTGTTAAATAACTTCATTTTCCTAAATTACTTATTTATGTATTTTTTTTTTGAGACAGAGTCTCACTCTGTCACCCAGGCTGGAGTGCAGTGGCGTGATCTCGGCTCATTGCAACCTCTGCCACCTGGGTTCACACAATTCTCCTGCCTCAGCCTCTGTAGTAACTCGGATTACAGGCGCACGCCACCATGCCCAGCTAATTTTTCTATTTTTAGTAGGATGGGGTTTCACCATGTTGGCCAGGCTGGCCTCGAACTTCTGACCTCAGGTGTTTCGCTCTCCTCGGGCTCCCAAAGTGTTGGGATTACAGTCATGAGCCACTGTGCCTGCAAATAATCTGAATAGCTGCCTTTTGGTAGTGGCTATTAAAAATCATATGTTTAAGGTACTTATATATTTTTTGAAATGAAATTATCCTTTGTATTTTTAGCTAATACATGATATTTGTTTCTTTAAAGAAAGGTCTGCATGAAGCAGAGCTCAAGGTCAGAGTTGAGACACAGTCTGTGCTATCTAGAACGCTCTCGGCCCAGATAGCCCACACTCACTGTCTCATCTGCTTCAAATCTTTACTGAAATGCAGCCTGCTCTGAATCCTGCGTATCACCCCCAACCCCCTGCACTACTGTTGTCCATAGCATTGATCCCCTTCCAAGATACTTCATAGCTTGTTCATCTTATTTACTGCTTGTGGTCTGGCTCGATTCACAGGAATGTAAACTCTACAATGGCAGGGCTCTGGGTCTCTTGTTTCTAGATGAATCCCAAGTATTTAAGAAAATGCTTAAAAGCAGGTGCTTAATAAAAATGTGTTGAACTGAATGAATAAATTTAGAATTTAAAAAGTATTTCTAACCCAGTTTATAATATTATGTCTATCTTACTAGATAAATCAGAAATACTTCTAGAAGTAGAATTTGGCAAACTGATACAAATCTCATAATTTTCTTCACAGAACTATGGATGTGATTCAGTGTTTATAAGCATTATTAAAAGAGGATTTTTAATCTAAAATGCAATTCACAGTTCTCAGTTCAACAAGACAAACATGGTTTGAAGGACATATGATATAGAACAGAAATATACAGACCACATGTATCTCAAAAAACCACTTTATGTTTCTAAATACAGACCGAAGTCCAAATAACGTACAAATACTCAGCACTCAGATCCTTAAACTTCGCTTACTTGCCAAATAAATCACATTGGAACCAAGGAGGCATTAAATTTGATGGAAAAACAAACAAACTAAAAGGGACCATAAGCACGTGATATTCTACATCTGTTTTACAGCATTTCTAGCATTTGTCGTTGTCATGTGGACTCCCAGTGCACAGTCTCTTGTCCTTTGCAGGCCACTCCCTACCAGCAGGGAAGAAGCTGCAGTCCCAGCGCCTCACCACGAGCACTGCCACCTTACCCTGCAGATGTACTGGTTCCGCTCTCCTGGAGAAAAGGTCTGTGAGCGCACTATCACACTGCTCCTCACAAACGGATGCTGTCTAGAGCTCAGGCTGCTGCGCTCTTTGGGGCGAACTGCCATATTGTCATTAGCGGCTTCATCAGTGTTTGTCTCTTTGTCAACCTATAAGAGAAGTTAACAATTTGTCAGGAGCTGAAAGATGTGTAAACATTATGCTCCTTTCTTCTAAGAAAGAAAAAATATCTAATGTTACAACAGAGACTCATGGAGCACTATGGCCACTCCTAAGAGAAAGGCTTTGCATTACAGACTATAGTACTTCTGAAGTACTTCTGGGGAGAATTGTTCTTCAGTTTTCTACCAAGAATGGTTTTGTACTAAGTTCTTAGGAAGTTCTGCACAGCAGGCCGTGTGATATCTGTCCAACAAGCACCATAAATAGAGGTGCTGCCTCCAAAGGGTTGAACATAAAAATGAAGGTTTAGATTTAAAGTGATTCTATAAAGAATCCTATTTGGGTACATATCATCATTAAACTTTATTCAACTTTCTGATTACATTGTTTTCCAAATAAATGATAAAGATAATTAAATATAAGAAAATGAAATATACCACAAACTTGTAGGTTTAAATAGAATATGCAATTATACATGTATAAACATAACTGTTGTGAAGCTGAGTTGTATTTTTACTGGATCTTTAGAAATGTAACAAAAATAAAACCTAAGTAAAAATGGAAGTTTCTCAAAATACAAACTCAGTAGGCATAGGCAGATGTCTATTTTTTATCTTATAGGTATAATTTGATTCCAAACCTGCCTCTTGATGAAAGTTTGCTCCTTTGAGAAAGGAAGTTCTCAGGGCATAATATTATTTTCTCAGGAATACAAAATTATAATTTTCTAAACTCTACTACCAATATCCCCAGTGTGTGAGCATCCATGAAGCTTGAAAATATTTTCCCCATATGGGGTTGACAGTCTCAATACATCTCTCACTTAACTAGCAAAGTTACCTGTTTAATAACTTGGTTGGCACTTGTGCCTAAACTAAGTCACCTGTCACTTTTCTAATCAGGGCATCGCCTAACCAAAATGAACTTTAAATGTTTACTTCATGTTTGAAATGGAAATAAAACTTACTACATATACGGAACTTGACACAAGACACCCTGTTGTTCTCCTAGGAATTCAGAAAATACTTTTAATATTCACAGAATATTTATAGATTTAAAGTAACTAGCACTATTTCTCTTCTTATATATTCTCCAAATATAAGTGGAGAATATCTTGGGCCCATTTTAAAACGTTAAAGCATTTATGATGCTTCTTAGAGCCTATTCCCACATATGCCTTTCACGATCAGCTTTTGGCACAAAATCCTGACATGGAATTTACACCTAAGGAGACAAACAAGCATCTCCCTAGTCCACATGGTGCCTGTAAGGTATCAGTTTTAAGACAGCACAGCGGAATAGTCACCAGTGTTGGTATTCTAGTAGGTGGCTGACTTCTGAGGTCTTTGGCACAGTTGCTTTCTTTCCTGTTCCCGTCTTCATTCATCTCAGGCACACTAGTGCATGAACTTAAATCTTCTGTACAGCTACTGTCCTCTGGCAATTTAACTTCAGCCTCTTTTTCAGCCACAATTTCATCAGAGGCCTCTCTTAGCATTGTTAGCCTATGGTAAAACAAAAACAAAACACTTTTGGTAGGCAGGCATGCTCCATGAACACGCAACCTGGGCATGCTAAGTTGTTATCTGGGAAATAAACAGACTCACACAATGAGCCAAGCCATTTCTTTGGCTGGGGTTTTTAACTAAATGTCTCATTTAAAAAAATCCTCTCTTCACCCTCTAGTAACCTGCAGCAAAATCACCATAATGTGGTACTAAAAAGTTAAACTCATGAAATTTAACCTAACTTCTAGATATCAAAATAGACATATTCTGAAAATCACATTATAGAGTTTAATGTTAGCATTTAAAAATATTGACACTCACTATAAAATAACTTGGTATTCGTTGTTCATTTATTGTAAAATTAATCATATGACAGTGAATACAGAAATAAGGATTTTAAATCCTCATTTTATTGAGTGTACTCACAGTCGAGCAGGGAGAATCCTACGTTAAGGAAGTTTTTCTTCTGAACTAGCAGAAGGCTCATTTTTAACAAAAGCCCTGGCATGGGCTGAAGTGGCATTATAAGTGGTATAAGTGGTGCTCCAGAATATAAATACAGCTTATATGGAATATATAAAGCAGGAGTACTAGGATGGTTTAGAACATCTCATACTTTGTTGAGTTTCATGTTCTCCGAATGCAGACATTCTTTCCATTGATAACTAAATGTTCAGCTTTAATTTGATTGGTGACATAATGACAAACTGGCACAGACTAGTTAATAAATGTCTAGCCATGAAGTGAACACAAGGGGAACCATTAATGACTACTATGAGTTATAAATTCCTTTGTTTACATATTAAGAGTACTGTTTGGAAATATGTGTGAAACAACTTGTATTTTACATATATGAGAATTACTATTTAAAGATACTATAATGAACCTTATAATCACTCTCGTATTTATTTGTTTTGCAGTGCTGTGATTTTTATTCACTATGAAGGACTTTTTATAAGGACAAAGTATATCTATATCTTTTTACATCACAGTAGAAGCTCTTCCTTCCAAATGTCCATGACTGCGTTATTTATGATATATCGTGTCACTCTAAGTTTCTAAAAAGTTTTCTATATACACACATACAAATGCATGCTATATATGTATATGCACATGTATTAACAGTAGTTCAACCAAACATAACAGTATAAACAACTATATATTAAAAATTAACTCAAATGATTTCACATATATACTTAAAAAGTGAAATATTCACTAAAATTTGTTTTAAGAGAAACAGTACAATCCAGGAAGGAGAGCTCTTTATATATAAATGAACCTGGACAATAACTGTAATAACTTCCCCCTCTGCCTCCCCTTTTTAAAGGATTGGGTATGGATACAGGGAAGGACACAGAAAAAGAAGGTAAGAGTGGTAACAGAGAAATGAGTACTCAGAAGTTGTTTTTTAAATACCTGCTTTGTCTTACTAGAGCCTAAATGGTACTTCCAGGTAGTTAAAAGAAAAATAGAGTCACTTTTAAAATTATCTATAACTCTACAATAAGCTACCATACCTTTCAAAATCAAGTTTAGACTAAAAAAAAAAAGGCTCAGAAAATAGTGTTTTAAAATTACTCGAAACAAGAACAAAGAATCTGGCTAATGTTTTAACTTTGCCCATAATCTTGCCATTACTTCCTTAACTCTCTAATGACCAAGGAAAGACTTTTCCTAGCACAGCTTCCTGAAGGTGCAGTGCATTCCATCATTCTGGAATAAAGCATGAGCCTACAAAGGTTTCACTGTAAGCCGTGTAAACACATCATCTTTGAGCTCCCAACAGCAAAGGAAATAAGTGTTTAACCAGTCTCCATCTGGGCCCCTTGGCTCTTCTTGTCCTGATTCTTCTTCTTCTTCTTGTGCTAATTCTTGTTCCACAGCTAACAACTCAGCTGATGTTCTTGCAAGTAAGGCTGACACTGCATCCTGAAGAATGTAAAGCATACGGCAATTAACATAATATACTTGAAAAAATGACTTAAAAACTCAGCAGATGGGAATTTACACTTCTATCTGTAAAGACGACTCAACTCTCCTGCTGAAAACAAATATGAAAGCTGAATAAAATAGAACCCAAAACAAGCAAAACCTCTCAGATGTTTTAAAGCAATGAAGAGCAACAAAGGCAATCAGGACTAGAGGGCCAAGATCCCAGGTAGAACAGAAATATAATAAGGTGAGCCATGGCCACTCTTTTCCCTTAGCGTATTTGTCAATTCTAGTGGTGAGGTACATGGGCTAAACAGACTGTGGCTGCCTAGAACAGTGGCAGTGTCAGTAGGATATGAAGACTAAAATTGAGTTCAGGACTACCAAGGCAGTCAACTCACAAGAGGTTAGAGAAAATGAACTGTAAAGTGAGCTCAATATTCTACATGATATTCCTGTCATGGCATTTGCCATTCCTAAGCTGCCTATATGCAGAGCAAGAAGCTGAGAAACAAAGCAAAAAAAAAAAAAAAAAAAAAAAAACAGCTGCTATCAGGCTAAAATAGTAAGCAGATATTTCCATTGTCCCATTCAGTCTTATGGAGAGTAAAACTGGAATTCACATCCCCACATGATTCAGGTAAGCTACCCATATTGTCATTTGCCTTTCAGAAGAATAGAAAATCCTCTCTGGAGGAAGATATCAGTTATTCTCATACGTAACATCCAGTATTTCATTAGGAACTAAAGAGTGAAAGTCAAGAAAAACAATAGCTAAATAAGGCAAACCCACAGATGATCCATACACTAAAGGCATTGAGAGAAAAATTTAAGTTTTTATGAATAATATGCTAAAATAACTGAATGAAATGATAAAGAATTTCAGTGGTATAAACAAAAAGAAAATCACATTAGCATATCAGAGTGAAACTGCTGAAAAATCAAAGAAAAAGAAGAATCTTACAAGCAGTAAAAGGAATGATGCTCAGAGAATACTACAAACACCTCTACGCAAATAAACTAGAAAATCTAGAAGAAATGGATAAATTCCTCGACACATACACTCTCCCAAGACTAAACCAGGAAGAAGTTGAATCTCTGAATAGACCAATAACAGGATCTGAAATTGTGGCAATAATCAATAGCTTACCAACCAAAAAGAGTCCAGGACCAGATGGATTCACAGCCGAATTCTACCAGAAGTACAAGGAGGAACTGGTACCAATCTTTCTGAAACTATTCCAATCAATAGAAAAAGAGGGAATCCTCCCTAACTCATTTGATGAGGCCAGCATCATTCTGATACCAAAGCCAGGCAGAGACACAACAAAAAAAGAGAATTTTAGACCAATATCCTTGATGAACATTGATCCAAAAATCCTCAATAAAATACTGGCAAAACGAATCCAGCAGCACATCAAAAAGCTTATCCACCATGATCAAGTGGGCTTCATCCCTGGGATGCAAGGCTGGTTCAATATACGCAAATCAATAAATGTAATACAGCATATAAACAGAGCCAAAGACAAAAACCACATGATTATCTCAATAGATGCAGAAAAAGCCTTTGACAAAATTCAACAACCCTTCATGCTAAAAACTCTCAATAAATTAGGTACTGATGGGACATATTTCAAAATAAGAGCTATCTATGACAAACCCACAGCCAATATCATACTGAATGGGCAAGAACTGGAAGCATTCCCTTTGAAAACTGGCACAAGACAGGGATGCCCTCTCTCACCACTCCTATTCAACACAGTGTTGGAAGTTCTGGCCAGGGCAATTAGGCAGGAGAAGGAAATAAAGGGTATTCAATTAGGAAAAGAGGAAGTCAAATTGTCCCTGTTTGCAGACGACATGATTGTATATCTAGAAAACCCCACTGTCTCAGCCCAAAACCTCCTTAAGCTGATAAGCAACTTCAGCAAAGTCTCAGCATACAAAATCAATGTACAAAAATCACAAGCATTCTTATACACCAACAACAGACAAACAGAGAGCCAAATCAGGAGTGAATTCCCATTCACAATTGCTTCAAACAGAATAAAATACCTAGGAATCCAACTTACAAGTGATGTGAAGGACCTCTTCAAGGAGAACTACAAACCACTGCTCAAGGAAACAAAAGAGGATACAAACAAATGGAAGAACATTCCATGCTCATGGGTAGGAAGAATCAATATCGTGAAAATGGCCATACTGCCCAAGGTAATTTACAGATTCAATGCCATCCCCATCAAGCTACCAATGCCTTTCTTCACAGAATTTGAAAAAACTACTTTAAAGTTCATATGGAACCAAAAAAGAGCCTGCATCGCCAAGTCAATCCTAAGCCAAAAGAACAAAGCTGGAGGCATCACACTACCTGACTTCAAACTATACTACAAGGCTACAGTAAACAAAACAGCATGGTACTGGTACCAAAACAGAGATATAGATCAATGGAACAGAACAGAGCCCTCAGAAATAACACCACATATCTACAACTATCTGATCTTTGACAAACCTGAGAAAAACAAGAAATGGGGAAAGGATTCCCTATTTAATAAATGGTGCTGGGAAAACTGGCTAGCCATATGGAGAAAGCTGAAACTGGATCCCTTCCTTATACCTTATACAAAAATCAATTCAATATGGATTAAAGACTTAAATGTTAGACCTAAAACCATAAAAACCCTAGAAGAAAACCTAGGCATTACCATTCAGGACATAGGCATGGGCAAGGACTCCATGTCTAAAACACCAAAAGCAATGGCAACAAAAGCCAAAATTGACAAATGGGATCTAATTAAACTAAAGAGCTTCTGCATAGCAAAAGAAACTACCATCAGAGTGAACAGGCAACCTACAAAATGGGAGAAAATTTTTGCAACCTACTCATCTGACAAAGGGCTAATATCCAGAATCTACAATGAACTCAAACAAATTTACAAGAAAAAAACAACCCCATCAAAAAGTGGGCGAAGGACATGAACAGACACTTCTCAAAAGAAGACATTTATGCAGCCAAAAAACACATGAAAAAATGCTCACCATCACTGGCCATCAGAGAAATGCAAATCAAAACCACAATGAGATACCATCTCACACCAGTTAGAATGGCAATCATTAAAAAGTCAGGAAACAACAGGTGCTGGAGAGGATGTGGAGAAATAGGAACACTTTTACACTGTTGGTGGGACTGTAAACTAGTTCAACCATTGTGGAAGTCAGTGTGGTGATTCCTCAGGGATCTAGAACTGGAAATACCATTTGACCCAGCCATCCCATTACTGGGTATATACCCAAAGGACTATAAATCATGCTGCTGTAAAGACACATGCACACGTATGTTTATTGCAGCATTATTCACAATAGCAAAGACTTGGAACCAACCCAAATGTCCAAAAATGATAGACTGGATTAAGAAAATGTGGCACATATACACCATGGAATACTACGCAGCCATAAAAAATGATGAGTTCATGTCCTTTGTAGGGACATGGATGAAATTGGAAATCATCATTCTCAGTAAACTATCACAAGAACAAAAAACCAAACACCGCATATTCTCACTCATAGGTGGGAATTGAACAATGAGATCACACGGACACAGGAAGAGGAATATCACACTCTGGGGACTGTTGTGGGGAGGGGGGAGGGAGGAGGGATAGCATTGGGAGATATACCTAATGCTAGATGATGAGTTAGTGGGTGCAGCGCACCAGCATGGCACATGTATACATATGTAACTAACCTGCACAATGTGCACATGTACCCTAAAACTTAAAGTATAATAATAATAATAATAATAATAAAAAAGAAATGATGCTGTATGAACTAACAATTAAGTTGTCCTCCAAAAGCTCAACAGAATCAATGGAAGCTAGATGACAATAAAATGGTATTTTTAATACGTTCAAAGAAATAACGGCAGACCTAGAATTCTGAATATGCAGCAAAAAAACTATCCTTCACAAATGAAGTTGAAATAGATAACTAACAGGTCTATACTAAAAGAAATATTAAAGGGAATTCTTTGAGCAGAAGCAAAATGTCTCAAATGGAAGCACAATAATGCAGAAGGAAATAAAATATAACAAAAGGGTAAAAACGTGAGGAAATCTGAATGAATACTAACTGTCAATGAAACAATAATACTATCTTGTGAGATTCAAAATATATGACAATAATAGCAGAGAAGGAGGAAAGGGAATAAAATGGAGTTAAAGTCTTTGAAAATCTTTGCATTGTCTGGGAAAAAGTAAAGGAATTCATGGTAGTTTTTAATAAGTTAAGAACTCATGCTATAATCTCCAGGGAAACTGCAAAAAATAAAAGACTGCAGATCTAGTAGAGGGGAAAACGAAAATTTAAAAATAATTCAAAACAAGGAAGAAAAAGAATAAAGATGGAATTAAAAGAAAACAAATAGGAAGATAATAGGATCAAACCCAAATATATCAATAATAGCATTAAAAGTAAATGAGTTAAATATTTCAATTAAAAGATGAAGATTTTAAGACTGGATAATGAAACAAAACCAACTACATACTGCTTATAAGTAGAATACTTTAAATATAATATCTCAGAAAGGTTGAAAGTAAAAGGATGAAAAAAGATAAATCATGCAAACACTAACCCAAAAAGGCTGATATGTAGCTTTACTAACACCAGACAAAGTAGATTTTAAAACAAGAGGTATTGCTAGCAATAAAAAGGAACATTTTATAATGATAAAAGGTTCAGTTGAACAGAAAGATGCAATGCAATGCTAAAGGTAAATGCTAAATTTACTTTACCTAATAACAGACTCAAAAAGCAATACTTCTAAGTCTAAATAGACTGAAGTACAGAGATAGAATCTGTAAACAAAAAATTCCACACACAAAAAAGTACAGGACTGGATGGCTTCACTTGTGAATTCTATGAAACGTTTACAGAAGAATTAATACAAATTATTCTCAAACTCTTCCAGAAGGTAGAATGCTTTCTAACTCATACTATGAGGCCAGAATTAGCGTGATAAAAACCAAAGCTATCACAAGAATACTATGAATACAGACACGAAAATCCTGAATGGAATACTAGCAAACTGAGTCCAACAACATACAAAGGATCTACACTATGACCAAGTGAGATTTATCCTAGGAATGCAGGGTTGGTTTAATACTTGAAAATCAATTAATAAATTATATCAATTGAATAAAGAACAAAAACCACATGACCATCTCAACAGATGCAACAAAGGCATTTTACAAATCCAACGGCCTTTAATGATGAAAAGCAGTCAACAAACTTGGAAAAGAAGAGCTTTTCCTTATTCTGATAAAGGACATCTATGAAAAAGCCACAGCCAAATTCATACTTAATGGTGAAAGGCTGAAAGCTTTTCCACTAAGATCAGGACGAAGACAAGGATGTCTGCTCTTACAATTTCTTTCAATATTGTCTGGGAAGTTCTAGCCAGGGCAAATAGGCAAGAAAAAGAAATAAAAGGCATATGACTGGAAAGGAAGAAGTAAAATCACCTCTATTTGCAAACAATATGATCTTATAGAAAATCTAATGGAATCCACTAAAAAAACTATTAGAATTAATAAATGAGTTCAGTAAGGTTGCAGGATACAAGATAAAATCAACTGTGCAACAAACACTTAAAAATGCAACTGAGAAAACAGTTCCACAGTGGCTGGAGAGAGTAGGGAGGGTGAGGAGGAAAAGGGAAAGGTTATTCAACAGGAACATCAAGTTACAGTTAGAGAAGCAGAATAAGTTCTGCTGTTCTAATGCCCAGTAAGGTGACTGTAATTAACAACATTGTATTACATACTTCAAAACAGCTACAAGAAAGGATTTTGAATAGTCTCATCACAAGAAATGATAAATGTTTCAGGTGATGGATTTGTTAATTTACCCTGATTTGATCATTATATAATGAATACATGTACTGAAACATCACACTGTTTCAGTGGGTCCTCAAACTTTGTTTTAAATGATTAAAACATTTAAATGATTAAATATCTGATATAACTTATTGATTTTCAAGTGTTAAACCAACCTTGCATTCCTAGGATAAATCTCACTTGGTCATAGTATAGATCTTTTTCATGTTGTTGTATGGGGCCATGATGAACAAAACTTTTAAAAGCCCAGTTCCATTCACAATAGCACCAGAAACAATAAAATACTTAGAAATAAGTTTAACAAAAGAAGTCGCATACTGATCCTTTTGTAGTTCCTAAGTGTGATGATTAGGTTTTCATGCTCATGTGTGACATGTGCCTCCTTCAAATCTCATTAGGACATCAGCACATTACCCATCTGACATAAAAATAAAAAAGAAAAATGAAAGAAATGCAAACTTTGACTCTGAAAACTATGAAATATTATTGAAAGAAATTAAAGACCTAAATAAATGGAAATACGTCCTATGTTCATGGATCAGAAGACTTAGAACTGTTATGATGACAGTATCTTCCAAACTGACCTACAGGTCCAATTCTACCCCCATGAAAATCTTGGCTATCTTTTTTTGCAGAAATTAGTAAACTGATACTAAAACTCTTATGGAAATGCAAGGGACTCTGAATAGCCAAAATAATCTTTAAAAAGAAAAACAAAGTTGGAAGAACCACACTTCCTGATCTCAAAATGACTACAAAGCTATAGTAATCAAAGCAGTGCAGTACTAGCTTAAGTACAGACATGTGGATTAATGAACAGGATTGAGAGTCCAGAAATATAAACCCTCACACTTGATTTTCAACAAGGGTGCCAAGATAATTCAAGGTGAAAGAACAGTTTTTGCAATAAATGGTGCTGGGACAACTGCATATCCACATACAAAAAGATGAAACTGGATCCACGTTAACAACTCAAATGAATCAGAGACCTAAATATAAGACTTTAAAACTGTTAGAAAAAGACCCAGGAATAAATATTTGTGATATTAGTTTAGGCAAAGCAGTCTTAGCTATGATACCAAAAGCACAAGGATTTTTGAAAAATGGATAAACTGGACTTTTAGGAAAATTAAAAACTTTTGTGCTGTAAATAAAACCATCAAGAAAGTGAGAAGACAATCCACAGAATGAGAGAAAATATCTGCAAATTATTTATCTGATAAGGGGTTTGCATCAAGAATAGGTAAGGAACTCTTATAAGTCAATAATAAAAAAATAAACAGGCTGGGTGCGGTGGCTCACGCCTGTAATCCCAGCACTTTGGGAGGCAAGGTGGGCAGATCACCTGAGGTCGGGAGTTTGAGACCAGCCTGACCAACATGGAGAAACCCCGTCTCTACTAAAAATACAAAATTAGCTGGGCATGGTGGTGCATGCCTGTAATCCCAGCTACTCGGGAGGCTGAGGCAGGAGAATCACTTGAACCTGGGAGGGAGAGGTTGTGGTTAGCCGAGATTATGCCATTGTACTCCAGCCTGGGCAATAAGAAGAAAACTCCGTCTCAAAAGAAAATAATGATAATAAATTAAAAATAAATAAATAACATCGTTTAAAAATAGACAAAGAATGTGAAAAGACATTTCTCAAAAAAAAGATATACTAATGGCCAATAAGGCTGTGATGCTCACCATCATTAGTCATTAGGGAAATGTCAATCAAAGCCACAGTGAAAACACCACTTCACACCCACAAGAATGGCCAGAATCAGAAAGACAGATAACACATGGCAAGGGAGAAACTGGAACCCTCATACACTGCTGATGGGAATGCAAAATGGTGCAAACACCTAGGAACAGTTTGGCTGTTCCTCAAATTATTAAACACAAAGTTACTATACAACCTAACAGTTCTACTCATAGGTACCTACCCAGGAGAAATGAAAACATATGTCCACAAAAACACTTGTATACAAATGTTCATAGCTGCATTTTTCATAATAGCCAAAAAGTGGAAACAACCCAAATGCCCATCAGCTGACGGACAGATAAAATGTGGTACATCCACAATAGAATATTATGTGTGAATAAAAAGGAATAAAATATTAATACTGCAACACCATGGAGGTACCTTGAAAATATTATGCTAAGTGAAAGATGCCACAAAAGAACAAATATTGTATTATTGCACTTACATGAAATGTCCAGAAGAAGCAAATTTAGAGACAGGGATGAGTGGTTGCCTTGTAGTAGAGATTAGTGGTTGCCTTGGGGAAAGAGGTTAGGGAGAACTGGGAGTCTCTGCTCGTGCACACAGGGCTTCTTTGGCGACGATGACAATGTTCTAATATTAGACTGTAAAGTTGGTTGCACACACAACTCTGTGAATATCCTAAAAACCACTGGGTTGGGTGCTTCAAATGGATAAACTGTCACACTTTAAATGGGTGAAATGTATGATGTATGAATTATATTGTAATAAAGCTATTTTTAAGAACTTACATAAAGTGTGACCATTGTAAAAGCATTCTTAAGGATAAAACATCATATTTTGCCATTTTGTATGTGTTGTTCAGTGTCTATCACAAGCCTGGGTATGTAATCTAAAATGTACCGTTATGTTTGTTTCCCTTTCACCACCCACTACAGTGTCTACTATAGTTTCTCACACACAGTAGATGATCCATAAAACACTGTTGTTTAATTATCTGACTTCTGCTTAGGAAATGCCTTCCTCATAATCTAAAACAAACTTGAACTCAATAACAATAACCACAAATGCCAAATTCATGATGAACGGCCTCACAAAAGGCCCCTTTGTAAATTTTTTGAAGTACTACATTGAAGTATGGTTGCTGGCTACAACCTAACCCCCATTTTTTTGAGACAGGGTCTCTTTCTGTCATCCAGGCTGGAGTGCAGTGGCATGATCATGGCTCACTGCAGCTTCAACTTCTGAGGGTCAATCGATCCACCCACCTCAGTCTCCCCAGGAGCAAGGACTTCAGGCGTGCACCACTGCACCCAGCTAATTTTTTTGTTATTTTTGTAGAGACAGGGTCTTGCTATGTTGCCCATGCTGGTCTTGAACTCCTGAGCAAAAGCAATTCGCCTGCCTCAGCTTCCCAAAGTGCTGGGATTACAGGCCTGAGCCACCACGCCTGGCCTTCACAAAACTATTTAATAGAAAATACTTATGGCTATTGATGTTACAAATGAAAAGCTAACACACTGTTTTGGCTTAATAATTTCAAATCTGCAAAATATAAAAGTGCCAAATGTATAACCTGACAGTGGAATCAAACAATGTGAACACAATACATGAAAAGTATATATTTAAATTAAAAGGTTTTTTCCATGATCACTTAAAACCAGTGAAGCCCCTATGTCAGTTTATTTTTACAAGGAAGTGTGAGCAGAAAAGAGTGCTCCTTTTATAAACCATATTTGAAACAAAGCTGGAAATTAACTTTCTTTTTTTTTAGGAAGCTGGGAAAATCAAAGTTGTGAAAGGAGAAAAGGAAGGACAGTGAAAGTGATAAAAGCATGTTGGTCTCGTAGCATTCCATATTTCATATTACTTTCATATATGTATTTCATATATGTATTTCACATTACTTTCATATTATACTCTAATTTTGACTCACCAAGTCTATAGAATCTACTAACGGCTGGTTTGGTTGAAATACAGAGTCCTCATTTTCTTCATTCTTTTTGCAAGGCATTTGCTTGGAAGGAAGCAAGTTATACCATAGAGTGAAAACCTCACTGGAAAATGGTAAATCTGCCAGGCTGATCTGAGTTCCAGCCTATGTAAGTGAAAGAAAACAAAGAAAAAAAAATAAGGAAGAGAAAATAAAATGTTTAAATTAGTATTTGTTCTGATATAATAAAGATTATTGAATGAGCTTGTTTTAGGGTAAAAAAAACACAATTCTCCTGACATAAAGCATTGCTGGATTTTTTAAAACATGGGGATATGTTATATTTTCAGCTGTGACTAAGTAAGAAATAACCCCCAACCTAAAAGCTAATCCTGGGATTAGTTTGTGAGATACCATTTTGCGAAGACCTAATGACTAAGCATGCCTTTTATGTAAATGTGAAATTATTGTTATTATTTTTGAGATGGAGTCTTGCTCTGACTCCCAGGCTGAAGTGCAGTGGTGTGATCTCAGCTCACTGCAACCTCCACCTCCTGGGTTCAAGCGATTCTCCTACCTCAGCCTCCTGAATAGCTGGGATTACAGGTGCGCACCACAACACCCAGCTAATTTTTGTATTTTTAGTAGAGACAGGGTTTCACCATGTTGGCCAGGCTGGTCTCGAACTCCTGACCTCAGGTGATCTGCCTGCCTCGGCCTCCCAAAGTGCTAGGATTACAGGCATGACCCACCACACCCGGCCTCATAGTACTTCTTATAATATGCTGTAAAGGTGACTTACTCACAAACAACCCATTATCCACTGAAAAAAAAATAAAAACTCCACTTTGGTTCTTGAATAAGACATCAAAAAGCAACAGTTTTCTTTAGATACATAAGTTAGTAGAATGGCAAAAAAAGTAAAGGATAAAGGCTTTCCATATTCCACCAAATCACACATAGACAAAATCTAAATTCAATTACACTCTTCTTTAAGGCTATCAATATAATATTTATGAACTTTGTGGGAGCCTCTGACATCTATTATACTAAATATGACATCTATGATACTAAAGCCTTTCTGATAGCCTAACGAGTCTGTTAGCTCTGCTTCTTTCTAACTTTATTGTCAGACAATATCATCAGATATTTTTTTCAAGTAAAGAAAACAAGAAGAAAAATTAAGAAGAAACCTACCCCTCTTAAACTTTGTTCATCATGAAACATGTGTTTCTGTGCTTCCCACTGGACTGCAGAGAAAAGCTCAATTGGAGACTCACATTGTTTTCTGAACACATGGCACATCTCTAGATGCCTGCATTTGAATACTTATGTAACTTTACTGGGACATAATGGTTTTCTGGTTATTACGCACAACAGTGTATTAAACTCACAATTAGTTAACTGTGAAGTCTTCTGCTGTAGCATTTAAATGTCATATTGCTTTAAACAGTAACATCACATCTTCCCGAAAGCTCCAATACTGTGGTGGAGGAGAATGAGGTGAATAAGGGTACTATATAGTACTCAGTGGTCTTGCTTAATTTTAATTTGTAACAGTGAATTATGTAATTATGTGGGGATATCTTTTTGATATCTGGCTTCATCGCTTACTAGTTGTATGACCGTTGAATATATTACCTCTCTAAGCAGCTCCTTATCTGAAAATAGTGGATAATCATCCATTTCATAACCAATCTTTCATCAGGTTGTCATGAGGATTAAATGAGATAATATATACACAGCAGTCACGCAAAGCTTGGCATTGGTACTGGGAGTGGTAAGCACACTCCATGAGTGATAGCTGTCACAAAGGTAAAGTTCTTCTGTGGTGAAAAGGTAGAAATAGAAAGCAACTTTTACAGAAAATCACAATTTATAAGCAGATTTTAAAGGTCTGGAATAAGAGAATAAACAGAAACCACTACTTCAGAAAAAAATGAACAAACACTAGATGTATCCCAAGATGTTGGGCAGGTCTGTAGTGATTTCTAGGGCTGGCAAAATAGCAACTACAAAGTATATCCTCAGACCACCCAATCTAAGTGCTATTTGGTAATGGGAATTATGAAGAATCCTACCAGGCATTCTTCCCTTCGGTGTTTACTGACAGAGCAAAGGTCTACCCTCAGTGTCTTCTGTTGTAAGGCTGTTTGGGAAATGGCGACTCTGAACACATCATTGAATAAAATGGATTCTGTGGGCGGATGAACTTTTGTGCGAAACAGACAGCTGACATCAGTTGAGGAAGGAAGAACGGCAACCCTAAAATATCTGCAAAGAACAAGAATAAAATGGATTTCATAGGTACTTTAATTATACCAGATTCACAGCTATCATTTGAAATTATCTGCAAAGAGAGAAAATGAGGGATCGTGGAGTTCAAGATCAATCTAAAGTGTTGCTGCCATCACGGGTCCGTGCTCAGCTGCATAGATGCTCTGTCCTTAACCCACCCGAGCTGACTACGCCCCTGAGCATGCAATGGCCCAGCCTCCACTCACCACGAGACTGCAGCAAAGGCACATGATAGGAAAGTGAAGAGGAAGAAAATCCGTAGGGCAGACGAATTTAACGTCCCACCTGCCCCATGGACAGCCAATTCCAAAATAAGTTATTTCTGAGCCTGGGAAGGTGGGAACACACTAAGTAGATACTGGTGACTTTATCTCACAGAATCCTCATCCTGAGTATTAAACAAGAGATGCTGATGATCACCTCCCAGGAATGGAATACATTATCCTACTAGAGAAAAAGAAAGGCTCAGTAGCATATTGTTAAGAAAATTTAAAACAGATGAAACAACGGTTCAAAAATATCACTGTCTAGCATCTCCAAATTCTGAGATACGACAAACTGTTTTAAGAGTCCCGTGCTTTGTAAAATTCAGAGGAAGAGTTATAGAAAAACAATAACTTCTAATACTACCTTAAAGTGACTCTTCTGAGCACACATTGTATGAGGACCCACAATTCTTAGAAAGAGCGTGAGGTAACTTCCTTTAAATCCCAGGAAGAGAATACCGCTAAGTCTATCCCCTCCACCCCCATTTCCAGGCTTGTCTAATCTAGATTCTAAAACATGCCTTTCTCCGTTAGAAAAACTGTAATTCAAATGCAGAACTGAGGAATGTCATATTATTTTGTATTTCATATCAATATTAATTATGGAGATTCAGCAATGAAAACCTAGTGGGCCTGAAGCCCACTGCTGTTGATTAAAGAGCCTTACTAAGACACAGCTCACTGTCCCTGGGAGGCCGAAGATTCAGCAGAAGAAAATCTTTTCTGCTTGTCACAATTAATAATCAAAAAATAACTTTTGAGGTTGGGAAAAAAAAGAACAATTTTAAGAATATTTCATACTAGCTGTCATGTTTAGCAGTGTCATTATTTAGGCCAAGGCTTTTACATGTGGGTTTAAGGAAAGATTGCTATATATGTCAGGAAGGTTCGCACCAACTCAACAAGTGCCTGCACATTAGCTGGGGAGCCGAAGAGCAAATGTCTGCTCATTGGTTGGGCTGAGTATTTCACTGGTCCTACACTACGCAGGTATCACCATGCCTCCAGAAGGGACTTGGTGACATCCTATGAGGTAAGTGAGAATGACTGTGATTGGTTTAGTTGAAGTAGAGCATATTGCAGGTGCACCCTTACAGTGAGTTTAAAGAAGGTGTGTGTTCTTGGGGTGTTCTGTAGTTTTCTCCTGAAGTTGTGCATTAGTTCTCACTGTTTATTGTTTCAGTCTCTGGTAGACTTGTCTTCTCCATGATTTGCTTTACTAAAAGGCCACCAATGGCATGCTCCAACATCACAGCTTATCTACTGGTAGGGAGAAGTCACAGTTTATATCAAGCCAGTCTTCCTGGACACCGCTGACTGGTGTTTTTCATCTCGCATTTGGGAAGCAGGCTCTCTGCGTTGATCTAGGCACTTCTATGTGATGCCTGCTCTCCTCACTGGTCTCACTAATGATGTGGACAGTCCACACTTTGATTCAGGAAGTTCTCTAAGCTCACCCTCCTCCTGGAATCCTATCCTACCTCCAGCTTTGATGCTTGTCAACACATTAAAATCTACTATCTTGGCTGGGCTCGGTGGCTCACGCCTGTAATCCCAGCACTTTGGGAGACCAAGGTGGGAGAGCCCAGGGAGTTCAAGACCAGCCTGGGCAACCCAGTGAGACCCCATCTCTTAAAAAAAAAAAAAGAAAGCCACTATCTCTATTCTTCTATTGTCAACTACATAATTTCTATCTAGTTCTTTTTCTCTTAGATCCAGTTTCTTCTTTCTGATGATTATTGGAATGTTAGGAGGTGAACTTACAAGCAACTCTGTAGGAAAAACATGCAGAACTCTTTAATTTATTCTATTAAAAGTCTTATCACTAAGGAATATACTCTATCATTAAGGAAAACATTCACCTGGCTGGGTATAGAGTCTTGGGGATCACCCCTCAACAGCTCTTTTTAAATTTCCAAAGCCTTGCACTGCATATTCAAAATATTATTAAGATCCACTTCTTACAGGAAGTTTCAATGCAGAGTGGACATGCATATTCCGGATTCTACGTCATAGTGCTAAGTCGAAGTCTGGATTCTTCCTGGTACTTTCCAGCCATGAGCCCTTCAGAGTCACTGAAACTCTGATGTCAGAAAATGTGAATGGTGGTGTCTAAGACTTCCAGACTTATTTGTCATGAGATCTTTAGGCTTATCTGTCAGGAAGCAAAAAGTCTCTAAGCAATGGACTGTGTAGCATTATGTCATCACTTTGTTGGGATTCTTGGTTTGATGAAGTGAAATAACTTTAAGAACTCACTGGTCACAGGGAAGTAAATGCTTGATGATAAAAACATACTCTTACATGTAGCATGATAAAATGTTTGACTGGCAATGTTGTACAGATACATAAAATTTAATCACTACATTTTAATGTAAAAGATTAGAAAATTCCTTAAACAACAGTAGTAACAATTACACAAAAACAAAAATTTTACCCATATTTCAATCAAATTCCAACACAGCATAAAACAGTGCTTCTGGTTACAAAAAAGAGATTAAATGTCTTGGCTTCTACTCTTAGAAAGAATCAGTTGAGTAAGAATTAAAACTCAATATGTCTTCCTCACATTTCCCTTCTCATCTTTATCTGCCATTCATTTAGACATGATCAGCCCTGCTATGTCTTTTCCGTATCTTCATTTTGATGAACTGTATGATTACAGTGTAAAATTCTCTTACATGGAAATGTTTAAGTTCCTCAATTTGATCTTCGCTGATTTTACTTACACTTTTGAAGTATGAGGTATCAAGAAGGCATGAAGGTTTCGGAGCTGTGCTATAATCACCATGAAACTTGAACTTTTTGCATTGTATCTGTCAAAAGAGAGGCTAAATGAAGTCAGGAATCACCACAGGCCACTTGCCCTGCACAGATGTCAGAACTGCTCCTTTCCCACGTACATTCCTTACCTGAGTCCTATCTGAACCTGGGCGGTCTCTACAATGGCTACATCCTCTTCACTGTATGTGACATCTTCCATTTCACTAGGTCTATATGGACAGGGAGTAGATGAACAGTTAATTAATGGGGTTATCGATTGTTATGGTTAACAGTTTGCCACTTAGTGATTCTGAATGAAAATCCAAATTAACAGCACTCCTATGCCCTCCCAGTGGAACTGATCCCAGCGAAAGCTTACTGTTTCAGAGGCTCTTTTCAAGAAGAGCCCGCCTCTGGGCTTTAGGGCAAAGCCTCTCTGATGACTACTTTCCTTATTACTAGAAATATACCACACCCTTGAGACATTTCAGACTTTCAGAAATACACGTGAGAAGCTTCATGTGCCAAACAGGGTCTGGTGAATTCTTCCAATATTCCCACTAAATTCAAGGTTTTTAAATTCTAAAGAGGGTCAATTGCCTCTGGGTACACCAATCTGTTTATCGATAATTTCCATGGCTAAGTCATTTTTGATATACTGAACTTTTCAGGCACACCACTTCTTTAACGGCTAAAGTCCTTACTAAGCCAAAGAGCGGACTAATGGTAGCAGTCCATTTACAGCATATAACCCACATCCACGGCGATGGAGATTCGCTGGAGCTAAAAGCGCCCCTGCTGAATCCTTACTGTTTCACGAAAGCTTCATAGACCCCACTGTCTCCAGCCACAGACTCATCAGACACAGCAGCCGACACACAAGTGGTTTTCTCCCCAAGCAAGTGGATCACTCTTCTTTTTGGTAATGATTTTTCCACATCTATGGAGGGGAGGGTGAGAGCACTAATCAGAATGTCTTATTTGGAAAAGTTAAGTATTAAATACATACATAGTTTGGTCATGAGCAATCCAAAATAAGATTTCCTTCTGGGAGTCAAGGATGTTAATATTCAAATCTACAGCTGTAAACAACTCAAGGCACTATGACTTATAAGATTCCTGGGACGCCAGTTTTTTCAGTCATTACTTGGAAGAGAATATGGTTTTTCTTTGTCCTGAAATATTTTAAGGGAAGGGATGAATTACACAAATTCTCATTGGTCCTTAGTCTCTTTCTTTCAAGCATTCACTGCAGTGTTCATATATTCAGGAATAGGAAATGATCTATCTCCCTCAAGTGACATTTCTATCACAGAGAGAGCTTCTAGCTACTCAATGGATAAGTTTCCACCTCTTTTGGTCTCCCCTTCTCTCCACATGCCATATCCTACATCTCCTGTGCTACTATTCTAACAGAAATAAAGAAAAAATGTCTTTGACTCACAGGAACTCCTCACCAGCCAATACCATTAAAAAACTTTTTGTGCTACTGAATCTTTAGTACCAATGACCACTTAACTTTTATCTCGAACTCATATTCATACACCAGCATCCTGCAGTGAGCAAGGAACATTCATTTAAGGCTGTGCTCTGTACTGTAATGAGCTGCAAGCCTGTGGTGCTCTTTCATCCTCCAGTGAGTGAGAGTGAGCGCAGGGATCTGTATTGGTATGCATTTTGGCCCCCTTCTGAGCCGTGACTTTACATCTTGTGAAGATGTTTAAGTTTTAAGGCTTCAGATTACAGGATTGATTGCTGCATTTTCCACTTTATTTCTGGCAGTGGGAATGCTTTTTCCTTGATGATGAAGTGCCTTCTCTCCGCCCACCCCCCTTTGTGAAGGGTGAAGGTGATGACATGATTTATTGATTACCCCCAGGAATAACCACAGCAGCCTGAAATTGACTTTGACAATGACAGTGACTGACTGCGGAAGGCCTTTGCAGTTATTCCAACGTGGTTGGTGTCATCCAGCAGGGACTGGCACTGGACAGCAAAGTTTACGTAAAAGGGACTTGACTTTACCTGCCTAAGCCTCTAGAGCACTGAGGGAGATGACAAACGTCCCTGATAGGGAGCCACCACCCCACATGCAGGGCAGACGTCCCCTGAAAAAAAGTGCTGGTGACTTGAAGATAATTCATCTTTCCTTTTTTTGAGACAAGGTCTCACTCCTGTCACCTAGGCTGGAGTGCAGTGGTGCAATCTCAGCTCGTCGCAGCCTTGACATCCTCCTGCCTCAGCCTCCTGGGACTACAGATGTCTACCACCATGCCCAGCTAATTTGTGAGAATTAGCCTTTATGGTTAAATATACGCTTTCACTTGTTTTCAGACATGCAACTGAATATTATCTGCAATCAAAGCTCTTGGATGTATTTTCTCTTAGGGTAACTTTTTAACAGCAGTTTTCTAATATATGCATTTAAAAAGTTAAAAACTGTTTCACAAAGGTTCAGAGATACTGTCTCCATCCACAAACTTTTCAGACACAGCAAGACCCAAGTGTCAGGAGCAAGGCATGGGCCAACCAGACACACTTGCAAGACAGGACTCCCAGACCTCAGGGTTACTGGGTGGGTGACAGACTTTAGGCAACTTTTTCCCTCATCACTCTCTCCCCTCTTCTCCAGCATCCAGCCTCACTTACTGCCCCTCCAAATTGGCTGAATGTTAGAAGTGGTCACTAGATACCACTCCAAATACAGGAAGAGCAAAACTACCTTGAAAGGTCAAAAGATGTAAGTTCAAAGCACAGGAAGGAACGCTGGCACAGAACATTCCATTTTCTTCTCTTTCTTCTTCTCATAGCTTTCCATGGTTTACAGTAAGAACTGTGTTTAGCCAGAGTTTATTACTTATCATCATCACTGTCACAGAGTACTAATAATTACCATGAACTGTGTGCTGAGTGCCAGACACGGTTAAGTGCTTCACATGTTATCACTGCATTAAATCCTTCAGCCTGACACAAGGATTACTGTAGCAACCCCATTTTGCAGATAAGGAATCATAATCCTGAGAGATTGGGTAGTGTGCTTACCCAAACACGTTGGTGACTAAAATGTGAGTGGAGGCTTGGCTGGTTCCAGGAGTGGTATGCACCCCCTAACACACACACACACACGCACGCACGCACGCACACACACCGTACTCCTTCCCAGAAGCAGTGGTGAAGGCCCCACGCGGCTTTCTGTTTTGTTGGGGCCATTATGTACACACACCATTCCCCTGGTTATTTTCTTTGTGGTTATTTCCATAACCTGCTACTTGTAGCTTTGACATCTCCCCAGGAGAGGGCGCACAAACCACACAAATGTCTCATGGGCCCTCCCACAGGCCCAGGCCACTGACAGGGCACAGCACTTGGCTCTTCAGTATTTGAAACCGTAGAAACAAGGTGGATTTGTCAATGTCTTTACATATCTGAATTGGCCAATCAATTACTCAGAATTCTTAGGACCATACATACAAATAAAAATGCTTCTGGGAACAGGAAGAGAGCACTTCTAAAGAGCCCTGCCCTGTTTTGTGTGGTCAGTAAAACATGTAGCTGTGAACAGGACAGCTGTAGATGAGCACTGGGGCTTTTATTTCACATTTTGTCTCAAGCTAGCTCTGGAACAGATCATCCTCCTCAGACCAACAGTGATCATCTGCCAACAAGGGAAACATCTTGTGCTCTTTACAATCATATCTAACATATTCAAAGTTCCTGCTTTGCAAAGGAAAACAAACAAACAAACAAAAAAATGATATTTTTCCTGTTTCTGTCTTTTTGAATACAAATGCAGGCCTAAGAACTACAATCTCTAGTAATCCCTTCCCGGGGCTGCAACTGTTAACCTGGCCAGAAGGTGGCAGGGTAATACCATACACTGCAACCTGCTGTTTTAAATTAACTTTTCGCCAGAAAAGGAGTCTGGCTTGAAACAAAAACTGTATTTATATAGAATTCCCTGAACAATCTAAACACTGAACCTTGGTACTAATTAGCTACTATGTTAATTGCCTTGGTTTTAATCTGTTTTAGGCCAACTTTTAAAAGAAAATCCTCTTCTTTGCCTTGCTATTTCAGAACTGGAATCTACTTGGAAATATGTTCACAACATATGTTCCCAGTCAGCTACCACACACAGAGTGTCTCTGGACAACTGAGCAGGTACTAAATGATTAAGTCTACTAAATAGGGAAGGTAATTTTTATTTGATAATGAAAAATATCTAGGTATATAAATAAAAGCTCCTTCTTAAATGAAGCCAAAACGATTACTCAAAAGAAAGAGAAGGGGAATCATACCCTTTGTTTATATGGAAAAATAATGCTCCAATCATTCTCCTTAAAATCACTAACAGGGAATACATGAAAGCAAAGGGCTGCATTTACCTGCAGTTCCTTCATATAATGGCTCCCTAGCACATTCATTAAGGTCTTTATCCTCTGAAAGAGACTGGGAGGCTCCTCCTGAATCAGAATCCAGCAAAATCTGATTTTCGATGAGGCTGATATCTGCAAAATGGCTACTCAACTCACAGTCTTCAAAGTCAGCAGTGAACTGATGGAGAGAGGCATCATGAGAAGAAGACATGGGAAACGTGCCTTCCAAAACCAAGGGAGAGCCTGGAGGAGACAAGGAGGAAAGGGAGGACCTCGAGGACAGGGAGGCCACAGACTTCGGGGCCTCAGCCAGTGGAGGAGTGTGGCCTGTTGCTGCAGCTGCCACTCCACAGAGTCCACTCTGGCCAGGCTGGCTAGGGGACTTGACCACCTCGTTTTCATGGATGGTGGTGATGGGTCCAGAAGGAATGTAACCGCTTTTCTCTTGCAGAAGGAAGTCCAGTTTATACTGATAATCCACATCTATCTGATCACTTTGACTGCTGTAATAGAGTTCGGTGGAACTGAGGGAGTTGAGTGACCCTCTGCTGGAGGTGTTCAGAGAGCCCCGACTCGATGCCAGGGAACCCAGGCTGCTCCCAGATGACATGGACAGGGTGCTGGCAGAGAGGCTGAAAGACAAAAAGCACACACCATAAAATCTGTTACAAAATGGAAAACCTAATCACAATCTCTACTGGCTCCTTCAGATCTGCAGAGGGAAGAAACCTGCTAAAGAATGGAATCAATGGCCAGGGACAGAGGAACTCCCTATATTACGGCCGTGTGTCAGTTAACGACCTGGTCTAGTTCTGAGAAATGCATGGTTAGGTGATTTCATCACTGTGCAAACATCACAGAGTGTACTTACACAAACCTAGACGGTACAGCCTACTGCACACCCAAGCTATGTGGTATAGCCTATTGCTCCCAGGCTACGAACCTGCACAGCAGTTGCTGTTCTGAATACTGTAGGCAATTATAACACAATGGTAGTATTTGTGTATCTAAACATAGCTAAACTAGAAAAAGCACAGTAAAAATACAGTATTACAATCTTACGGGACCACCATCATATATGCAGTCTGCCCTTGACCAAAAAGTCATCATGTGGCACCTAACTGTATACCATGTCTATGCTTCTTCGTTAACCTTTTCAGCCTTGCTCTCCAAATACTCTTTAAGTAGCAAATCTATTCTTATTAAACATTATCCTCCTTTTGCAAAAATAAAAGGAATCAAATACCTGTTGATAAGTTTATTTGCATAGACATCTAGAAGCCACTTTGCCATTAAAAAATATTGAAAGCAAGAAAAAACAGGGCAAAAGCGTTAATGTAGTTTTTTATTAAAAAAAAAGCTTTTTATTTTTAGAGAAAAGAAGGCAAGCTTATAAAAAGAAAGAAGTCACACAAAAGACCCTTGGGTTCGCTCACGTTTCCTCTTTGTGTGTGAATGTGAGGAGTGAGTATTTTTCTCATCAATGTAAGGAAATCTATGGCTATTTTAAGGCAAAGCTCCTCCACTTTCCCTTTTTAAAAAATGGGGCAATGGGAAAAATGCGTTATTATCCTAAATGTACTGACAGCTAAAACATATCTTCTTTCTATAACATATTTCAAATGTATTCCAAATATGACACTGGGTTCATGCAAAAGAAAATGTGACTTTAAATCTGATCACTCAAACAGTAACTGTGCTACTATAATGATTTTATTTAAAGTAGTTGGAAATAAAGTGAAAAGTAATCAAAGATGAACAAGAACATGCTATTCGGAGAAAAGCTTTCCCCTCAAAAATCTGATAAGCTCACCTTTTAAGTTGTGAATGCAAATAAGTAGTTAATTTAGTAGTTTCTTCAAGTTTCTGTAGCAGCTCTTTTCTTCTCTCTTCCAATCTCAATCTAGGAAGAAAAAAAATTATTTTCAAATGATTATAACAAAATATGAAAACTAAAAGGAAAGAAAGATTCTCATTGTACAAACATTACAGATCACAAGGGAAAAATGTGAATGGGCTCCACAGACAGAAAACAGGACACCGGCAAGAAGTGTGGGGGGCAGAGCTGCACGAGCCAAGCTGAAGGATGGGGAGGGAGCGTTATGCCCCATCACCATGTCACTGAGAATTTAAAATTGCTGGTAGCCTAGAATCTTTTTAAATGGGTAAGTAATATGGTCCTTTGAGTTGGGGAAGAAGAGTGAGGAGGAAAATAACCAAGGAAACAAAAAACTAACCAAAGACTAGAATCCTGACACAGATCTGTGACCTGGGAACCCTTTCCTAAAACATTTCACAGCAACAGTAAAGGTCACCCTAAATACCGAATTTAGTAACGCTTGTTCCAACATAGTATTTAGTGATAACATTCCCAACCCTGATTTGATAAGAATTAGCAATTAAGAAACAATTTTAGTCCACAATACCATTGTGGGCTAATTTGGGCTCAACTGTTTAGGGAAGAGGATGACCTAAAAGTGATTCCCCTTCCGAGCTACAGCACATCTCATCATCCGCGTCGGACTATCATAAAATTTCATCCACATTCAACTGCAAAAGTTTTTCTTTTTTTTAAGAGTACAGCATTATAGAACTGTATACTTGAATAGTAAGTCATTTTAAAATATACCAAGTACCCAGGGGTTTATGCAACTAAGAGTCTGTGCAAGTATAGTCTATGTCGTGTGAAGGTCTTTAGACATCATGAAATAAAGTAGTTCAGAGCAGTAAGCAGCAGAATGGAATTCAGAAAAAGGGCACCTGGGTTTCTAATCTTGATTTGCAGCTTACTAGCTGCATATCCTTGGTAAGTCGCTGAATCAAGGGTCTTACTTTTCTCATCTGTAAAATGGTGACTATAATTCCCCTGTGTCTCCCTGGTAAGGCTGTTAAAGGGATCAATGGAGTAATGTATGAGAAAGTGCTTGACAGAGAAGAAAAACAAATCTGACTTGTTCAAAGCCTCAGCATGCCCTGAAAAGTGGTGATATAAAAACTAGCCACTTTTCTTTGGAGAAAAATAAAATTTCCTTAATTTCTAATCTCTTTGAAATGTTATATATGTTTTTGGCAGTAAGGAAACATGCCCATATTTTATTTATAGGTATCTATCCCTTTGATGTGTCAACAACACTATTCCATTATATGTTAAACTAAAAAAAGTAATTCTTGCCATTTTCTTTAATACTTCAAAAGCGCGATAAATTCTTAATTCATGGCTTTCAAAGGTGTATTTTTAAAAGCAGCGGTCATTTTAAAAATCTTTCAAATATAAATAAAAACTCAACGAGGAAAAAAGTAATATGAAGTAGACTAACTGAATTAAAAGTGCACAAAGGTCTGAAGAAAGCCCCAAACTCTACTAAAATCCATGTCTTCTGAAACAAGAGAAACACTTCGGAAGGAAGTTTTAAAACTCAATATTGCTTTTATTAAAATGAAGCCTTTTTCTAATGCTTTCAGGAGGCACCAGGATGACGTCAGAATGTGACCCTGAGCCACACTTTCAGTGCTGTCCCTTCTCCATCACTAGGGAGCGTCCTCAGCCTTCTCCAGGTGATGCTCGGCAGCTGCTCTTCCAGCCCTTTAATGTCTGCTTTGAACCACAGATGCCTGTCTTTGTGTTCTTGTTCACGTTTCCCACTTAGCTCCTACAATCCCAGAATGCAGACATCAGCCCTTTCTCCCTGCAGCACAGGGTGCCCTGGCCAGTCCCTCCGTTCTTGCTGGTGTTGAGATGAAACCTTCCCTGGGAGAAGCATGAGGAAGGCACTGGGGAGAGGCACAGAAACCCTCCTAGTGGGCCGCAGTTTGTCTCTGATGTTATCACCAAAGCCTCTCCTAGCGAAAGCCTGAAGTCTTCCTCAGAATCCACGTGTATTTCATGTGAAATGCTCTCCCCAACTTCCCCATAACCAGGGGTTAGAAGAAATTGCAGACATCAGCCCTCTCAAAAGGGTGCACACCTGTCTCTCTAGGTTCTTCTCCAACTCCTGCCTGTTGGTCTGCTGGATGAGAAAGGGTTTCCTCTACTTGGCCCTTAAAAGATTCCTCCCCCTGGCCCATCTGCTCCACATCCCCTTTCAAGCTGCCCTTTGTGAAGTGTGGGCCTTCACACCTGCCTGACTCTGCCCTCAGTGCCCTGCAGGAGAGAAGCACAGCCTGGTTTCTCCTGAACTCAGAATTCTGCACCTAGGGAAAATTTCATGTCATCTATAGAAGCAGGAAGTCCCTTTTCCACTCAAAACTAAGTGACACTCATGCCCCCACCTATTTGCTTTAAAAAATTTTTCAGAAGCAGTGGCAAAAACATTCAAATAATTAAGAAACAATTAAGACGTCTTGGCAATTACAAGGCAAACCCCCAACACTTGTGATAAAACAAGGAGCAATGTTAAGATCTTACCAGCTATAGGAAAGCACAGAGTTTAAGGAATTTCAATAACTGCATGGGAAGAATACGAAAGATGCATAGAAACACCTTCCCTGCATGGTTTTTTTCATTTGCGAGCAATTTCTCTTTAGGCCTGGCAATGCTTCACCATGAGCACCTCTTTCCCACCACCAGGTGGCGAGCACAGTCGCTGCCATCAGGCCCAGTGGGCGACACTGCAGCCCTGTGGGGGCAGGAACAGAGCCGGGGGGGGGGGGGGGGGGGCTGTAGGATCACACTCAGAGACTGAAAATTCATGTGCATCTAGCTCCTTCAGACACCAACGTTCAGCAATGACTCGGAATCTTGCCAGAGGTCACCCCTGAAATAATGGGAACCCCAAATATAAGTGGAAAACAGGAATATGTTGGGGAATACGGCAGGTAGCTTTGACAGTCATGTAGGTACCAAGAAGAAAAGGAAGGATTTGGGGTTGGTGGCACACAATCTGTTCTATGATGAAACTGAGTTTCACACAGCAAATCCTACTTCCCAAAAGAAGCTCCAGCCAGCCCTGCTTTGACACTGAGGAGACACTGCTGGCAAGGGCGTTCTCTTCCCTCTTAAACTCCCGGCGTCAGTGCAACAGCAGCAATGAGCAGAGCAGAAACCCACACACACAGGAGGAAGACACGAAAGGGTGAAGCCATAAGAAAAAATGCCAGAGCATGGGGGAATAGAAAGCAAAACCATAATAGCAACAGCAAAACCCAAAGCCAGACGAGGTTGTATCTACTTGGGAAAGAAAGGATTCAGTGTTCCCAATGGCAGCAGGTTCTGCTCTTCTGGACATGTGAACTACTGAGTCACTTTGAGCATCCCAGGATAGGAGTTAGAAAGCTTTAAGCTGATCAAGCAAGAATGTCTGAGTCCTTCAACCTTTGATGGCAATGTAAGTATGAGGATTTGCCTTTGGCCATAGACACTGATAAGGAAACTAGTATCCACTTATTTGGAATACTAAATGACCTGGCTCTTCCAGGTAACTCAGAAAGTCAACATACTACATATATAAAATACATGTTTCCCTTCCTGCTAACATCCAATCATGGGAGACAGGGCCATGGAGGTATCATATCCACACCACTTACTCCCCAGATGACACAAACCCAGTGGCTGGATCTCACTAAATAAATAATTTTTAAAATAAATATCTTATAGCTCCTCTTCCTAATGAGTTCAAGCCTACTGTCTCTGGTGAGGTTTGGGCTGTTCGTTAAAAAAAAAAAAAAGGAAAAAAAGCCTCCTATTTCACTGGAATTTTGAGTTACTATGTGTGTGCAAACAAAAGTATAAAGTTTAGGTACTTAGGAAAAAGTCAAAGTTTAGGTTCTCAGGAACAAATTGCTATCTTTAATGTTATATCATGAGTCATTTTTTGGAAGCTCTACTCCTAATAAAAAAGGCAAGCAAGACGCCACCTCAATAAAAACTAAGACAAACAAATATGTCTTCTTTCTCTGCCAGAACAAATCTGTTTGTAAGTCCTTCCTAGATTCACCTACTACAAAGTAGAACAGCTGAGATGGACGTGGCACATTAGACACGTATGATTATATAAAATTTTATAATATGTAAATGCTATGTAGTAGTATGAAACATCATTGCTGTTTTATACATGGGCCACATAAAAGCTACCCATTTCATCATAGCTACTGATGACTATCCGTAGCTAGAAACTTTAGGTATACAAATTTAGACACATCAGGGTAATTCAGAAAAACAACAGCAACAACAACAACAAAAACAAATTAATTCTCCCTTGCCTTCTTACTCTTTTTGTTCCTTTTGGTCTTTGTCAGATGGGGCCTTGCTTTGCCAGCCTGGCTGACACTTCCCTCAGGCTGACCGTTTGGTCAGCAAAATTAGACAGAAAAGCCAGAACAAGAAGGGAAGAAAAGAAGGGGAAATGGAGGCAAAGATGAGAATTATTAAGAGGGCAGAAGATTATAGTTCAGAGGCTTTTCCTTTTGATACGTTTTCATGTTCCCTACAGCTATGACACTGAGGCTGCGTGTTACCTTGATCAACATTTTAACCCACAGAAGTCAACTCTCCTAAAACGGTTAACGTTGGGGTGGGTGAGTCCCCATGCTAACACCTACCTGGGAATGTCAGAGACGTCTTCCTCTCTCCCTCCCCCTGCTTTTCAAATGTTTTGATATTATGTAGCCATGCAACCCTAACATTTATTGAGGACAAGGAATTAGAAGGCAAGACGCCACAATTTTTTTTTTTGAAGCAACTGGATTATGGCTGGGTGTTTTAAACTTACTTCCAGGTCACTTGAAATTATATCAATGTGAATTTCTTTCCCATCACCCTGAAACAGGCACTGCTGTTTACTGGCTGGCCTAAAGGATGTACATGCGGTCGTTCTCAACGGCTCTCTGGTCTGTCCTGAAACAGGTATCCAACCCATTCTGCCATCAAGGCCTGGACCCAGGCTCTTATGCAGATGCGTTCATGTCAAACTGACACACAGAGGTCCCTTCACTTAACATTCCAGCTGATCTGTTTTGCAGAACTGGATTTTTTTAGATGGAATAATCAACTCACACCTTCCCAGAGAAAGATGGGAAAATTGCCTAGAGTATTTTCCTTTACAGTTTCACCTGTTTCACGGGAGGGATGCAACTGACAAACAAAATGCAAGTGAGTACGTTGTGACCTGTTAGGGTATCACAGGGAGGAAGCTGTCTTTTCCTCGTGAAATGACTAGCAATAAACTTTTGCATTCCTGTGAGTAATAAAACCCAGAATAGGAAGCTTCAGTTGCTCTAACAGTCTAGATAATTTTTCTTATCGGAGTGCAATAGTTTATAGCTATTGTTATCAGACTTCATCAATGATGTACATTCCTGGTTTTATGTCAGCATTCCTTAGTTATTCAACATCTGTCACAGGTTTTGCACGTTCCTAAAACACAGAACTTATCCTGTCGGGCATTAGGATGGTGCACTTTATTGTTCTACAGAAAGTCCATTTGTGCTGTTTCTCAGTCCACTAAGAACAGATGCAATTGAGATTTCCAAACCCAGGGAAAATAGTATCCAGTTAAGACACCCCCACAAGAGTTAAGCTGCCCTATTTCCAGAAGGAAAACAAACCTCTCGGCCAGAGCTCTGCTTGGTGTTCCCCTCACAGACAGCAACTCTTCTTCCAGCCGCTGCCTTTCAGCTTCTAGGCGTTCTAATTCATCTTGGGTACGTTTCTGTGGGGTGACGAACTGAAGCTCTTTCAAAAGTTCTTCTTTTTCATTAATCAGCATCAGTTTTTCCTTCTCAATATCCAGTGCCCCAGGCCAGGCCTCACTGTCCAATTTTGACAGTTCAATTTTTAAGTTGGCCATACTAAAAAAAAAAAGATAGAAGAGGTATGCACATACTTAAAACTCCTGAGAAAGGTAAACACAGCCTAAGCCAAATTTGGTGTTGACATGCTGTCCAGATTTTCCTAACTTGACCTTACCAGAAAGAGGTGTGGTCTACTGGTGAGAGGCCGGAGTGGGAGCAGCAGCCTTGCACACCAGTCTCTGGGCCTGTCTCTGCACTCAGCTGTCACCCACTTCTTTCCCCCATCTTTAAAATGTGAGTGAGCATACCCAGCTACCTGACAAAAGGGTGAAGGCCAAGTACACAGAGGCTTCAAAAGCTGAGTGCTCTGGGCGCCACGAGAGGCCAGCTCTGACGTGTGACTGCCTGTGTAGGTGACAGGAAAGATGCCTGGGGGGTTCCCTTTAAAAAAACTGAGGTGAATGATGTCTGAGATGCCATCACTATACATTTTATTCCAATGTGTTTTAGATGCTGTCCGCTAGTAAAATGGGAACCCCAGGGCAGGCTGGACAGAGACTAGGGCATTAGTAAGTCAGGGAAGGAGAGAGCAGCAAAGAGAGCAGTGGTGTGGCCAACTGGTATGAAAGCAGTTGGGCCAGGTGCAGTGGCTCATGCCTGTAATCTGACACTTTGGGAGGACAAGCAGCACGATCATGTGAGGCCATGAGTTCGAGACCAGCCTGGGCAACATAGCGAGACCCTGTCTCTACCAAAAATATTTTAAAGATTTTAAAAATTAGCCAGGTGTGGTGATGTGTGTGCCTGTGGTCCCTGCTCCTTGGGAGGCTAAGGTGAGATCACTTGAGCCCAGGAGTTTGAGGCCACAGTGAGCCATAACTGCGCCACTGCACTCCTGCCTGGGTGACAGAGCAAGACCCTGGGAGGGAGTCAGGGGTTGATCCATCAAGGCTCCCCCATTGCCAAAGAGAAGGGGCAGGGCTTGGCCTTCTCCCGTTCACATTCTCCTTAAGCTGCATGTGAGTCTCCTCCCCATCAGTGCCCCGACTGGTGTACAAGCCATTTACTGAGCAGTCATTGCACTGACACTTTATACATTATTGTGCTAGCCCTGTGGTTGCTCTGTACACAGCTATTTGCAGGCAGCATACGGTGGACCTTCACTAGTACAGGCAGCTGGCATGACACCACTGGAGTGACAACAGGTGCTGAAGTGATGTGGACAGGGACAGGAGAAGGAGGAGGAAAATGCACCAAAGGCAAACCTCACTGTTTCCATAATTTTGCCTGACCCCAGATTTCTCTTATGTCTAGAGCTTCGTAACACATGGTAGAGTTAACATTACCCCCGACTCAGTACGAATGTCCTAACCACCTGAGTCAAATAACTTGCTACGTGGCACTGTAAAGACAATGAGGACTGTTCATAAGGTAAGCGGCACATGGTTCTTTCGACCATAACGACAAGATCTCAGTGAACTATGAACTCCACTGATGTCTGCACAAGGAATCTATGTTTCTACAGAAAAACGTTGGATGATTACTTTGGATATTGTTAACAGTACACACCAAAATACGAAAAACAGAAAAGAAATACTTTCCCATTTTCATGGGAGAACTTGTAGAAGGGAAGAGAAAAGGTGAATGAAAAACATAATCAAGAGCAAAGATGGAAGTAGATCTATACCTTTGTGCCATAAGTTTCTTGTTCTAATTAAAAATAAAATTGCATGTTAGAGTGGCACGGTGTATGCAGTGTACTTCTGATTTTCTCCCCCCATCTGCACTTATGATAGATTTAAGTAACATCAGCTATTCTTCAGCTTTAACCACAAAATCATAAACAACTGTCTCAACATACTAGAAAATTAATCATCAAAATGCGAAATAAGCATGATATTATTAGCTTCATTAAGCACATAAAATAAGGGCTGGAGGAGAAAACAGATTTCAGAGAAACACAACCTGCCTCTTTACTTAATCAGAATTGAGGAGGAAAAAGCATTTTCAACATATGCATAAGCGCTTGAGATTTACTTTCTCATCAGCATCACTAGTAACTTTAAAACAAAACCCCAAATGGCACGCCAATGCAACCAAGTGGGAAAGAACCAATGTCTGAAGTTTTGATGTGACTGAATTAACCAACTGAACCAGGAACAATAACATAATACAGGAAAAAGAGGCGCCCGTTTATTATTTGTGTCATCAGACATTAGGCAGGTCTTAAATTTTATTTTAGAAGGAGTGTTCCAAATTTGGGGAGCAGAATATGAAGAAGAGTTTTAGAAGCACCTAGGAAGAGAAATGTGATGTGAGCTCCAGATAAAATTCACTTAGAAGTCAAAGGAGGGTGAAAGTTGAAGCTGATCCATGGGAAGCAAGAGTCAAGCCCGAAAGAATGCAGGGGCTTAAGGCCCAGTTCTCCAAGACTGCTTCTGAGTAATGGCCATTCTCTTTCAGAAAAGCAGACCAAATTCATGGCTTTGTCCACAGCCCTGCCCAGGTGGACACACAACAAGGGGACCACAGGCACTATCTACCGAAAGCTGGCACATTGCCGGGCCACAAAACCAGAAGTTGATCCTCAATACTTATTGAAGGGAAGGCACTAATCTGGGCACTGAGAAGGAGATAATAAAGCCTAAACATTTTTCCCTAACCTGAAGAAATTTAGAATCTCCCAGAGAAAATTTAAAGGCATTAAAATTAGCTGAGTAAATTGCTGTTCAGATCGCCTAAGTGACTTGTTCAAGCTCACATGGTTAATAATTTGTGGAATGAAGCTTAGGTTTCTTTCAGGAAGTGAGGAACCAAGTAATATTAAGAATACAGGTTACATAGAGGTGAATATTGTATTTATTTTACTTTGTTAAAGCCTGATAACCTCTAAGGACTACGGCCAATTGCTTTTAAGTTATCATCATCACCAATAATAAGGAATATACTTCAATATCTGGTTCTCAGCTGAGCTTTTCATGGTCATGGGGAGAAACATGATAAATTCCTGTTTCTTGCAGGACGATAATGCAGTTTCTCCCAATGTCCTCCTAAATAATAACCCAATGGCATTTTAAAGCTCTTATGAGGAAAATAATGAAATCAAATGTATCAGTATAATCCTTTCCCTCATAATAAGGAGTTCTATATTATGAAAAGTATTTGAGTCTATCTACTAGATACGGATAGTGAAATCTCTTTTTTGTTGTTGTTGTTGAGACGGAAGTTTCTTATGTCTCACTCCAGCAGAATCACAAAGTAAGTAAAAGATAGCACAGGGATTAAGAAGAGTTTATGAGGTAAAAGAGAGAAATGAGAATCTCTCTTCCTTTTCCCTAACCTAAGTCGACTGGAACTGCCACCTCAGCACCTTCAAGGACATTAGCAGTAAGACTTCCCTTCAAATCAAAGGCAAATAAATCAATACTTATTTGCCTTAGAACTCCTCAACAGCTATTTAGTCCTATACCTGAACCACTGTATCATATTTCCATCAAAGCAACCAATCTTCTCACTTTTAATTGAGAGTTAAGTATTGTACCAACTCAAAGCTTCTTTTTTCTCAGAGGAGAAGGGGGCAAGTTCATTTGTATACTTCTCACTAATTCTCCCTGTTCTTTAGCTTTTGGTGGTTGGGGGGTGGAGGGCGGGGGGAAGAAAAGGTAGACCAGAGAGGAAGCAGCCCTGACATGCTAAAACCGAAGGGTGGCCTTGGTAAGAATGTATGGGGAGTGCCCAGCAGATGTCACCACAGGAGTAAAGATTAATTCTGGAAAAGAAAATGTTTGAGCCATGCACAAAACAGCTTCTCTGTCATTACCTTCTTTTGGCTTCTTCATACTGTAGGCTTAGCCTGACCTTTTCAGCTAAATTTGATCTACTTCTTACTCCAATCTAGTGGAAAAAGAAAAAGGAAAAAAGTCAATTAACTCTGCTAATGAATGAAGTAAATTGCTTTTGTTTCTGGGAAGTATGTGTAATTGAAAAGTTAAAGAAGATGGTACTGAAATCGGGAAACACCAATTTTAAAAGACACTTATTTTATTGTCTCAGTAGGGGCAAAACATTTCTTTCAATTCAAGCTCATCTGTTTTTCAAAGACTCTAACATTATTTTCTCTACACGTTAAATTCAAGATAAAAAATATCCTGATACTGTAAATACCAAGGTAAATGTGTCTGGTATCTCAGAGTTTATGAAGGGTGTACAGGTCAATAAAATTTATGAACTGGAACTAATTTTTTTGCCTTTATGAGCCTAATTTCTAGCATTTAGCTTTCAACTGTACAAAATATAAACTAAATAAGTTCAAAAATTAATTTTCAAACAGGTAAGCCCTACTGTTGATCTCTACCTGTTTTACTTTCACAGCACATATTTCAAAGCAGCATAAAAGAATATGAAAAGAAATGGGAATGTATTGAGAAGTAAATACCTGCTAATGGCATCCCAAAATGGAGAAGGTAAAATAGTTAACAATAGCCAAGCCACATTAAATATTTAAATGGCAGATATAAATCACAAATTAAACATTTTAATATAATCAATTAAGATTTACAAAAACAAGTTTTCTTATTAGTCTTAAAAGGCATGTTTTTCTGTTTCTCATTGGCCTAATGTTTATTTGAAAGGACCTACATTTCCAAGACTCTAAACGTAATAGGAAAAAGTTAAATTCTCATATGCCTCTAGCCTTTCAGCGTGTCTCTAAAGGAATATAGCATGAGAAAGTTTGAACAAAGCTACTCATATGGACAAATCCTGACATACTTGGCACCTAGATAGAAAAGATAAGGCTATGATTTTTAAAACTAATCTTACGAAAATGGAACACTGAATGCACACAGCCAGAATCCAAGTCACATATACTTCTGGTTCCAGTTCACCATCCATATTGCAATTAAGGCCCATCAAGGACAACACTGGGCCAACTCTTCAGCACAGATAACTTACATCTCCGGAAATGCTTGTTTGTGACCCAGCATCAAGGGTCTGTCTGGAGAGACATAAATGAGAGTTCACAGGACTACATCTCAAATCTGGCTCAGATCTGCCAATGTTCTGATCCAAATGAAACCGCTCCTGCAGCTTAGCAAGACTCTGTTCAGAAAACACAAAGTGTTTCATAAAGCTTAACAAGTAAGACAGCAAACCTTCCCTACCAGGTGAAATTAAAAGGAAAGAGCTAATCTCAATGGAAAAAAACAACTTTATTTTAGTAGGTACTTACCATTTTATATAATTGAAAAAATAACAGCAGGATATAATTTTGCACCTCCATACATGTGACTTTGGAAGCGAGATCATATTAAACCAGTTGTCTTATCTATCTCAAAACAGCATTTTCCTATGAACGGTATCTTTAAAATACATGCATGTCTTATTTCTAAAAATTTCATTAAGAAGTTATCTCTATTTCAATAGGAACCCACTCACTTCATGCAGCTGAAATTGTGGAAACAGAATATCTATAACATAATCTCTCATTTTAGATACAGTAAAAGAACTTCCTACTTTGAAGACTTCTTCAATTAAGCCATTGTACATCTGGACAGGACCCAAGAGATTATTTAGCTCACATCAATGTTAGGGATTAGGAAACTGAGGCTCAGAAGTTGCTAATGAGTGGCACAGGCATGGAACAAGCCCATCTGTGTGTCTACTGCATGGCACTGCCTGTGGTGACATGTTTGGCTTGGTAAAGAGAATAATCAAAAGCAAATGTGCCTGCTGTGGGCACTCAGGTTTAATAAACTGTGTTTACTTTAGAGGGAGGATATGAACAAGTGAAAGTATTGAAAAGGAAAGACTAATCTGAATTACTTAAAACAATAAAAAGGAAACCCTAGGGTAATCCTAATAAAATGATAAGAAACCATTATTATCAACAAAAGAGCCTGTATTTAATCCTGATATTTAAAATTTTCATGATTAGGAGGAATTAGAAATATCAGAGATCTGAAATTTTTTACCTAACTTTCTCTATTTTCTCTCAAAGGGATATATATACTATATACTATATATATAATATATATATAGTATATATATTATATATATATTATGTAGTATATATAGTATATATGTAGTATATAGTATATATAGTACATATAGTATATATAGTATATAGAATATAGTACATATAATATATAGTATATATAGTATATAGTATATATAGTATATATAGTATATAGTATATATAGTATATATAGCATATATAGCATATATATAGTATATAGTATATAGAGCATATATAGTATATACAGTATATATATAGTATATATAGTATATATATAGTATAGTGTATATATAGTATAAATAGTATATATAGTATATATATATGAGGATAAAACTTAAATGGTCACATCAAATAATATAGAAAAGAACAAAAAAACCTTTTAGTGACCTTGTGCAAGTCTTTTCTATTTTTCCATCTATACAGTGAAAAAAAGTCAGTGTTCTTCAAACTCATCTGTGATGGCAATGCATTCTATCAATTTAGTAGGTTGTTACTAGTATTTTTTTAAATGAAATAGAAGATACTAGAAAATAAAATCAGAGTACATCACCAGTTTAAGAGTAGGCATATTTCTGTGAAATTCATTTGGAGTGTGTATGTGTGTGTGTGCGCGTGCATGCACACCTGTGTATCTATAGGTACACACAATTGTGTGTTACTGGGTTTTGATGTAAAATCTATTTCTTACTGTGGTCAAAGAGGTTTGAAAGTCACAGAAGATATCTAAAGTTTCTTCTAACTCTATTGTCAATCTCTGCATCTACTAATTAATGTAATTTAGTAACTGAAAAGGGATCTAATCTTTTAATTTAATCAGGCCTGCAGATGAATCCAAAGTTTATAGGAAGAATGAAAGATGACCTAAAATTGTTGAATTAGAAGGTTCCAATGTAGATTTGCTCCAGTTCTATTAACTTTTTTTTTTAAAGGACCTACTACATGCATTTCTGGAATGACTGACTTAATCAGCAAGACAATTGTGGAACAAAACCAAAATACACACAAGTAAAGTCTTGCATGTGTTATATGTATGTTAAAACCACGTTAACCCAGACTGCCTGGGTTTGAACCATAGTCTTGCTACTTACCAGCTGTATGACTTTAAGAAACTTTAATTTTTCTGTGCTGAAATTTCCTCGTCTGTAAGCTGAGAATAATAACAGTGCCTACCTTTAGTGGCTGTTGTGAGGATCAAGGGAATTATTTATATGCAAGGCAGTTAGAAGAATGTCTGGCACAAAGTCAGTATTTACAATTACATGCTATTATTATTTTGTCTTTTCTATATTATTTTATATTCTTCTTGCAAGTAATGCAAAATTATATGGATCCAAGAATATTTATCTATATTCAACTAATATTTTGAAAACCAACATCAAGTAGTTAAATATGGTATTTAAATGTAGATGTTCTATTGAGAATGTAAACATCATCAGTGACTCTAACATTTTCCCATAGATGCGGACTAAATTATCCCTCAGCTAAGTAAGAACTCCAAATATACGAAATAAGAATTCTTAGTGTTTGGGATGGAGGGAAGGAGAGGAAGAGAGACACCCTTAAAAAAAAACTTGACTGTATTTGATAGTATAGATACTGAGAATACTGATCACTTAACGGCTATTTTGTGTTTTCTACACATGATGCTGGATCACTGGGAGTTAAGACCCACAGGCTGAGAAGTGAACAGGTTTAGTAAGGGGATCTATGGCCATTGGCAGCTTTGCTAGGGTAACTGTATAGGCATCCCCCAGCTGGGTCAGCACTCCCCGCCCCACCCTTAGCTGGCACCCCAGAATCAACTGGGTCGGAAAACTTTTCTAAGCTCCTCACATAGCCTCATCCCCAAAAGGCAAGCCTTCTACTTACTGATGGCAAATGATATATCCCTTGTGTATCCTGGGCTGAGAATTCTGCTTACTGGGGACTCATATGAAGTTTTCAGTGAGTTTCAGGGTGCACCAAGATGTTAATCTCCTCACATGAGCTCCAGGCCCCACCACCCACTATCTCAAAGGCCATCCAAAGGCTGCTTACAACGAAGCATACCAGTCAGTTGGAATCACTCTGCTCTCCTCCAAGGCAGCAGGCTACCTTTGTGCCTGCAACAATCTCCACAGGGCCCATTCTGCACAAATGTGGCAGAGGTAGAAGGGTCATCCAGACTCTGAGGGAGCACTTCTGCCCCAGTAAGAGTTTCTGGGGGCCTCAGAAGGTAGAAGTTTGGCTTAACAAAATGTTTTATAATGTACCTGCATCAGATCTTGTTTTTCTTTTTCTCCTGAGCTAATTGCCTTTCTGATAGATTTTAGTTCTGTTAGAATGGCTTTGGCTTCACTGAGTTCATACCCGCTCTGGCCTCCAGACATTTTTTTATCAATTCTGTGAAAAGAGAAAAAGAAAGAAAAAATATCAAAGAATGATAGCATATAAGTTAAACAGAGAGTAGGAAGTGGTTTGGAATTGTCTCAGTTGGATGATTATTTCACTGCTGACTGTCATATACCAGCAATCATCTTTTCAGGCAGTTTCTCCTCCTTTCTCTCTCTTTTTTTTTTTTTTTTTTTTTTTTAGATGGAGTCTTGTTCTGTCGCCCAGGCTGGAGTGCAGTGGCGTGATCTCAGCTCACTGCAAACTACGCCTCCTGGGTTCAAGTAATTCTCCTGCCTCAGCCTCCCAAGTAGCTGGGATTACAGGCACCCGCCACGATGCCCGGCTAATTTTTGTATTTTTGGTAAAGACGGGGTTTCACCATGTTGGCCAGGCTTGAACTCCTGACCTCGTGATCCGCACGTCTCAGCCCCTCCTTTCTCTTTTAATCACAGGCGGCTAAGATTTCTCCCATCCCTCACTTCAAACCCAGTCCATTTCTAATCACTTTTGGGCTCAAACAAACGCATGTCTTTTTGCCTTCAATCTGTTTGAATGATCCCACTGCTGGCTGAACCCAAACCTTATCAAGTGCTGATCCTGATCTTCACCCAAGAAAGGTAAAAGACGTGGGCAAATGCTTTAGCTGAAGAACACAGAGGCAAGTAAACTGCCACCTGATTTACATAATGTTTTGCTGTAATGTCTGTGCAAAACCTGGCACAGGGCCTGCAGCTTGGGAGGCCTTTAATAAATGGTTAATAAGTAAATTATTATTTATACTAGTGAGTATCCTACAATGTTTGGATTGTGTGGTTAGTTTTTATTTCTCTCTCTCTCTCTATATATATATATATAATATTTATTCTGCTTTTATGAAAGTTATGAGTCAAGATAAAATTGCTTGACTTGCTGGATGAGTTCAAACTTAGGAAAACGGCAGAAGGGCAGTAGTCATTTCTCAACTCATATTGAATAAACAGCTCTTCAATGAGCTAATTTATTATCCCTGCAGAGCTGCTTACCAAGTGTCCTTGCAGTTTACATCGTCACCTTAGGCTAGAGGATTTCACGTAACCTAATTCTTTGTGTTCGAAGGGCCTAATCGAATTACCTAATTCTTTTAAAAAAATAGTTTCATGTACTCTTCATGATCACTCTCCTGGTCCTCCCCAGCTGCCTGTGCTATCTGGGATTCATTATGAATACTGCACGAGTTCTCCTTGTGGGACATATGGCTATGCCTCTGCCCCACCCAACAACTCTATACACGTTCTTAGACATATTTTTGGTTTTATCCAGAGTCTCCAGAGAAATAGTACCTACTGAATCGGGGAAAACAGGCTCTGAGCTCGTTTGGTTTAAAACATTTAATAATTAATACTTATTTTCAATGTGAAAGGTATAATCTGAAAAAAAATAAAGCAATGCCATCTTAATCACTCTTCCAAACAAAGTCCACTCAAACAAGAGCGGTTTATAGATAATGTATTTCCCCAAGCACTGTTTTAGTAACTATCTTATGCTGCTGAACAAGCAATTAAAGACTTCAAGAACCTAAGAAAATAAAATAAACTTGATCATAAGATCATCTGATAATAAAGTACAACCAATCAAGTCACAGATTAAACACATGCACACACACACACACACACACACACACACACACACACACACACACACACACACAGTGTTTAGAATGGGGAGGGCCCCTAAAGATCCCCTAGTCACATTTCTTCCAAATGAAGAAGGCAAGGGAGAAACTTAATGCAAATTTATACCCCAAATTGCACAGACACTTAGCTAGTAGGGGAACTATCCTAAAATGACAGATTCAGAACTGGGGCTCTTATGACTACCACATTTAGAATATCTGATGGGACTAGTGAAGTACTTTGAATATCAGCTAATTCTACTTATTTGGGAAGAGATTTATCAATGGAATTTCTGACTCCCTGAAGTATTATATCCACCAACTTGGCTGAGGAAATGGCTTACTAAATAAAACAAATGATATTTCCAAATATAGCATTTTGGCATTTTCAAATGTAGCACTTTTTAACTAAAAATAAAAACTAAAATGTGGGGTTTCATAAAATAGGTAGTAATAGGGATATCTGAAATTGTGTCAAAGTGAATTTCTAAAACTCAAGTAATTTCTTCCTGTTTGTGTAAAGTCTTCAGAATTTAATGATAAAACAAATCTTTGATTCAGAAATGAACATAAACTTTATCATTTGAAAATAAAAGCAGGTAAGCTGTTTTCAGAAAAAAACCTTAACGTTTAAAAAATAAAAGCAGGACTGGTTCAAGACTGCTAATTTAAATTTCAGAGAGCTTTGAATACATGAAAATTTCTTGGCTATCCACTGCTCAACAGAATGCTAAATGTGAAGAACACAGCTCAGCTTTCACCATGGAACGTTTCTGCTCTTTTTCTTTTGCCTCCTTTGAACTTCTCTACTTTAAGTGCTGCCTTTTTCCTTTATTTCACTGTTTCTTGTTTTTCTCCTCCACTTTTCATTTCCCACCTTTTCTCTTTTGACCCTAACTTGTCATAAAATAAACCGAAGTATGAGCATCATTTGCTGACTTAAAGTATCATGCTTTTTGTTCTTAATATGAGAAAAGCTGTTTTTTTTCTTAAAATTTCTTTTGGAAGTTCTTGACTTGAGTGTGCCCTATAACTAATTTTCACTCAATATATTAGTCTCTTTTGAAAGATAAAATATGTTCACTTGCATTCCTTCTCTGGAAAGTGTATACCTTGAGAACCAAATTTTCACAGAATCTGTATATGCCTGTGACTTGCTGTTTCATCACTAGCCTGTTTTCCAATTCTGAATGCACACTGGAGGCAGCAAATGGAAACAGGCATCTTCCTGGTATCCATTTACACATATACTACACTGCTGCTTAGGCCGAAGTCAAATTTGGGACCACAAACTGAAATGAATAACGTAGAGAACAATGCCACATTTGTCTACCCAGTATAAAACTATTGTACCAAGTAAAATGAAAGCTCAAGTTTAAATTACATTATAATTCCAGATTCAACAAATATATTCCATTCTATTGTAAATAAAAGTTACAAAGCCTACAATCAGATTCTATTTAAATCTTTTCCTGAAATATATTTTCTGTCATGCCACAAATATAAGTCCCTTTATAGTATCAAGAATGTGGTTTCTTAAAAAGTCTGGCTGCTGGGTTTGATTGTTGATCATTCAGTGTTTTAGTAGTATGGTGGTTAACATTTGAATAAGAACAGCTTTATTTTGTCTATAGTTAAGATAAACAGGAGAGGTCTCTGATGTTAGATATCATATCTTTCTGCTCTCGGTTCAAGGGATTAGAATCATTCCAAGAGAATGCCTGAATTTCTACAACAAATGTCTATTGTTTTCTTGTGGAATGTTATTGACAGATTCTTAAACATGCCTTAGATTCCTATAAAAATTGCTTGCAAGCAAACTGCTTTGAAACAATACAGCATTGTTACATCAATATAACAAAGACAGCAAGTTTGGCTAACCTTTAATCCCAAATGGTGACGCGAGTTATAATTTCATGTGCCTTAAAAATGTGGAACATATGGCTAAACACGTTACGGCACTCTTCAAACTCTGTTTTCTCTCCCCACCCCCACCACGAAGCCCTGCTTTATGCTGATAAACAATTACTAAATAATGCATTTATGTCATTCTAGTTCTGCCTGGTTTATCGGGGAGCTCTGCAACCAGCTGAGGTTCTTACAACAGGGCTGGACTTGAGAAGCACTTGGGATCTCATAAAATATACCTGGCATAGAGACTAGAAACATTATTTTTCTAAGCACTCTCCAGATTATTCTAATATGCAGTCAGGTTTGAGAACCACTAGGATGGGAGCATCTGAAGGAGTATCAGGGTCATGATTCTATGCGGTAAGCAGGAAAAAAGGAGTCTGGATGATAACAGCACGTGTGAAATTAAAGTCATGCGTCTGACTGGTGGTCAAGAGCAGTGCCTGCGTATCCCAAGATATGACTAATCACCCAAACAAGAACAACCAGTTTGTTTATCTGGCCAGTGACACACAGGATCTTTAAAGGGGCTTGCTGCTTGGAGCATCCCAAATAAGAGCAGAAGGTAAAGTAAGATTCCACAGGGAAAAGGAACACAGCTGGGTACTTTCCACAGAGGTGGCGCCTGAGACCAGCTTGGCATTCCTGAGGTGCTACCACGGGAGATGCCGGGAAGAACACGAAACCTGCCTGAACACAAAACTGACCAGGGACATCCCTAAAAATACTGCACCGCACTTGGAGGCACCAAGCAGGAGGGAAGTTTTAACTCCTCTCCGTGGTCATGTGGCTGTGAAAACCATGGACTGCTTCTCTCCCATGAGAGGCCCTGTGGAGTGGAGACTGCAGGATTAGAAAGTCTCAGGTGTGCCTGTCACGGTTTGGATAGGCTGGGCCTCAGCAGCAGGGAGAACAGTGGCTTTCAGGGGCCGGGAATGCGGAAGGGATATCCTCATCCTGTGACCCTCTGTCACCTCCATTTCCACTTTACCTGGCCCAGCTTAGGGCTCTGCTAACGGCCCAGCCAACTTCAGTAGCAAACGGGAAAGGTAGAGGAACCAGGAAGTGAGGAGCGCACTCCCGCTCCTTTGCTAATAATCCTAACTTGCTCTTGCTCCCCTGCCATCTGTCAGGGTTAGACTCTAGGTCATCCCTGGGGCTGGCAGAGAGAGAGAGAGAGACAGACACGCCTCCACCCAAGGGCCCAGGGCAGCTGCAGGCTCACACAGGGGTCAAGTACAGCCAGCCCAGCCGAATGTGGAGAGGAATTTCTTGTGCCTAGTCTCTTAGCTCTGTACCACAATCTCAGAGGAGGCCAGCAAGGGTCCAGGAGATAAAGGTAAGACAAAGGCTTTTCACTTTGGTTTCTTTGGATCTCCAATGATTAATAAAAACTTTGGATCTTTTCAAGTGCATAGATCTTTCCCAAGTTTTTTTATCTGTTGGTTGATTGCTTTATTTTCTTTTGGTGTAGAGCTCTGAACTTTTTTACTTTACGTTTCTTTAAGAAATCGCTTATGTAATCTGTACTTCTATTTTCTTTGTATTCATACTAGTTAGGGAGCTTATTCTAAAGTTGATTCAGTCTTTTCATACTCACTGCTGCAATGTTTCAAAGCCTTGTTCTTTATAGAGCAGTTCCTGCTTCATCTGTGAGAGCTCTCTCTTTAGCTTTTTAACCTTTAAAGAGAAATCAACATAAACATTAATGTTTGCAGATAATTAGCAACACAGTCTACAGTTTTAAAAGATAATAAATTAGTAAACAAACACATAAACAAAGCCATGAGTTAAAGTAACATTTACTTTATCAGTTTCTCCTTCACATAAATTCTGTGGAAGGCATATTAATGATGTTTAAAACTATCAGTGATGTGTATTATTACTACTATTTACCTTCATTACCTTACTTAGCAACATTCTTATGAGCTGGACATCATCATTGTCTCCAACCAAAATGGGCAGAATAAGAACTCCAAGTCATGGCATCTCTATAAAAGTGTGTGTTTTTCCTTCATTCACTGTGCCAAGGGCCACTGCCCACCCCTCCGTTCCTCAGATGTCCTGGCAGTTCCTTCTGCCTGGAAAGCTCTCCCCAGATCTCCCGCAGTTGACTCCCTGTCCCTCCAATGCTAGCTGAAATGTTATCTTTTCAAATAGGACTTCTCTAGCCCCCCTGCCCCTGCCACGGCTCTGTTTTATTTAGACCAGAGTATTTTTCAGGAGCTGAAATTCTCCGTGTACACTGTCTGTCCTCCGTGGGAAAGTAAGCTGCAACCCACCAGCTGTATCCCAAGCATCTACAACCATGCCAAGCAAACAGCAGATGATCAATAAATATTTGTTGTCAAACTGATAAAATATATTTTTCCTGTTGTCAAATATATACTTTGGTAATAACAATTCTAAAATTGGACAGATCAGAAAAGCAGCACACGCCTGGTTTAGTCACAAACTAATAAAGGTCTTCTCACAAGGGTTAGAAACTTACTTCCATATATTAAGTTAGAGCCTTAAGTTTTTTTCTGTTGTTTGTTTGTTTTTTTTTTGAGACAGAGTCTTGCTCTGTCGACCAGGCTGGAGTGCGGTGGTGCAATCTCGGCTCACTGCAACTCCGCCTCCCGGGTTCAAGCGATTCTCATGCCTCAGCATCCAGAGTAGCTGGGATTACAGGCGCCCGCCACCACGCCTGGCTAGTTTTTGTGTTTTTAGTAGAGATGGGGTTTGACCATGTTGCCCAGGCTGGTCTCGAACTCCAGGGCTCAAGCGATCCACCCGCTTCGGCCTCCCAAAGTGCTGGGATTACAGGCGTGAGCCACCATGCCCAGCCAGAGCCTTAAGTTTTAAACACATTCTGTTGCGCAATATTTTAGAGTGCTTTTGAACTTTTATGTTGATTTATTTTACTCATTCCACAAATAGGTATTGACTCTCTACTATGTGTCTGGTGCTAGGCCTGAGTGTGAACAAAACAGACATGATCCCTGCCCTCAGGGATCTTACAGACCATGGAGCAGCCAGATATTGAGCAAATAATCAGCCAACAAAAGAAATCTTAGTAATTACCAAAGGTGCTCTAAGTTCAGGATACCTAGATATGCCAAGAGAACAGATCCTAATTTAGTCTGAGGGCTTGGGTGGAGCCTGTCTGAGGAAACAGTGTTTCAATTGAGAGGGTTAGTGGGGCTCACTTGGTAGAAGGGGTCCTCAACAGGAAGAGCTTGTGCAAAACCCTAAAGGGACAGCGGGGTGAGGGGGTATTCAGCAAACCTCTGGAATTTAAAGAATGCCACTGTGGCTGGATTACAGAGGGTGGGGGTGTCAAAAGATGGAACTGGAAAAGGACTGATACACAGATGCCACGTTGAGAATTTCTAAATCTTACTCTAAGAACAACGAGAATCAAGGAGATTAAAGCAAGACCTGCTTTATGATTTTAAATAGTCACTGTGACAACGCTGTGGGGACTGAGCAGAAGTGCCACGAGGGTCCATTATGCCAGCACTGTGGGCTGGCATGTGGGCAAGAGCCAGAGGAGGAAGATACTTCAGAGGCAGAATCAACAGGACTTGGTGATGGACTCAACGTGGAGGGTGTGGGAAAGCATGTGACCAAGATCACATCAGGATTTTGGCTTGCCAGCAGGGTGGACGAAGGTGCTTTCCTGGAGAACAGGACCAAATGTGGAAGAAAAGAGGAAGAGTTTTCTTTAAGACATTCATTTCCGTGATGCCCAGGAGACTTCAATGGCAACTAGAATATGTGGACTTGATGTTCAGAAGTGTCTGGACTAGAGATAGATAATTGAGAGTCACTGGCATAAAGATATTATTTTAGGTGCACGAGAATAAACAAGATTACCTAAAGTGGGTGTGTATTGAAAAGAGAAGAGTGTTCGAGAGCAAGCGTTGGGCATATTCATTATTCACATGTCTACTAGAGACAGAGACAAAATACACTGTGAAGTAGTGGCAAGAGATGTAAGAGGAAAAAAAAAGGGCATCCTCGAATACAAGAGAAAAATGTCAAGAGGGAGACCAGGCACTATGAGGAACAACGTGACAAAGACAAGAGCGGTGTAATACTCATGTTTGCATAGCTTTAGGCACAGTGCTTTGGACAAAGCAGATATTCAATAACATATCCGTTGAGTTTAACCTGAATGTTTATCAGTTTGTGCTTAGGTACTCGTATTTTATTAGGGAAAAGAAATACAAATAATTATGTTTCAAGGCCCAGTTTATAAATACAAAGAGAGGTATAAAGAGTGCTACTGGAACTCAAAGGAGGAAAGGATTACTTATGGCTTGGGGATGAGGGTGGAACTCCTGGAGAAGGCTACCTGAACAGGATTTTAAAGGTGGTGTAATATGAATTAAGAGCAATGAGCTCATTCGCAGTATATCACAAAAACATTTCAGTTTTAATATTAAACTATTATCATATCAAAAGAGCCACAGCAATCAGTAGCTCATTCTACATGTATTTCTATTTAGAACAGCATTTTCAAGTGCTTTTTGCCAAAAAGACAGCAACACTTTTATCTTTTGAAAAAAAAAAAAAATCAGTCCTAAAATTGATAGCACTCAAATATCTGAGCTGAAACCTGTCTTTACCATTGAAAATAGTTTGTTACAACAGCTACAAATAAAATAAAATACCTAGGAATTAACTTAACTAAAGAAGTGAAAGATTTCTACAATGAAAACTATAAAACAAGCTTGCCCAACTCACGATGGCTTTGAATGCAGCCCAACACAAATTCGTAAACTTTCTTAAAACATTATGAGGATTTTTGCTTTTTTTCTTTTTTTTAGCTTACCAGCTGTTGTTAGTACTAGTGTATTTTATGTGTGGTCCAAGACAATTCTTCTTTAAATGTGGCCCAGGGAAGCCAAAAGATTGAACAACCCTGCTATAAAACATTGATTAAAGAAGTTGAAGAGGACACACAAAAAAAGGTAAGATAGACCATGTTCATGGATTGGAAGAATCAATATTATTAAAATGTCCATACTACCCCAAGTAATCTACAGATTCAATGCAATCCCTATCAAAATCCTTTCACAGATACAGAAAAAACAATCCTAAGATTTATACAGAACCAAAAAAGACCCAGAATATCCTGAGCAAAAATAGCAAAACTGAATCACATTACCTGACTTCAAATTGTTAAAGCAAACTAAATATGGCCTAAGAAGGACTTCATACTTCTATAATTGAGACCTTGTGGATGAACTGTAACCTAGCTTAATAGTCAGACAAAACTGAAAACCTAACTTAATAGTATACACCTGTAACAATAACTGAGTGTTGGCCAATCCCAGTGGCCATACTTCAACCACTCATAGACCGCTGAATGTTCCAACTGTGTTCAAATAAGGCAAACACCAAGCTGTAACCAATCTCGCTGTTTCTGTACCTCACTTCCAATTCCTGTATATCACTGTACGTTTTCTGTCTATAAATTTGTTCTGACCACAAGGCACCCCTGGAGTCTCTGTGAGTCTGCCGTGATTCTGGGGGCCGCCCGATTCACGAATCTTTCATTGCTCAATTAAACTCCTTTAAATTTAATTCGTCTGAAGTTTTTCCTTTTTCAAAATTATACAACAGAGGTATAGTAACCAAAACAGCACACAACTGGCATAAAGACAGACACATTGACATAGAAAACCAGCAAACAAATCCATAAATATACAGTGAACTCATTTTTGACAATGGTGCCAAGAACATATACTGGGGAAAGGACAGTCCCTTCAATAAATGGTGCTGGGAAAACTAAATATCCATATGCAGAAGAATGAATCTAGACCCCTATCTCTCTCATATACAAAAATCAAGTGAAAACAGTTGATTAAAACAAGGATGATATTGAACCCATTTAGAAATAATGAATTAAAACAATACTATATCTTACTGACATAAAATAGAAGTCTTAAAATCACTTGGATTACATGAGATAAATATTACACAAAAAATCATTTGGATTATGATGATAGGTCAATTTAAATTTTTTTAAAAATTGTTTAAGACATTCTTTATCTTGAAGAGATATTAGTGCTCCCATGTTCACTGTAGCATGATTCACAATAGCCAAGATATAGAAATACTCTAAATGTCCATTGACAGATGCATGGATTAAAACAACATAGTGTGTATATACAATGGAATATTATGCAGCCTTTAAAAGAAGGAAAGGCTGCAATATGTGACAATATGAATGAACCTTGAGGACATTGTGCCAAGTGAAACAAGATGGTCACAGAGGGACAAATACTGTATGATTCCACTTATATAAAGTATCTAAAATAGGCTCATAGAAGCAAAATGGTGGTTGCCAGGTGCTGAGGTGTACAGAAGGAGAGTTGCTACAGGAAATAAAGTTTCAGTTATGCAACATGAAAATTAGTCTAGAACTCTGCTGTGCAACATTGTTTTTATAGTTGAATATATTATACACTTAAAAATTCTGTTAAGAGGGCAGATCTCATGTTAAGTGTTATTACAAAAGAAATGGAAATTCAAAAAAAATCTAAAATTGACTTGACAAAGTTGGACTCTCCTCTGTTTAGGTGATATGAGTGAAATTTTATTCTATGTTGGGTGACAATCACATAGGAAGCTAACCTGTGCTTTCTTTGTCCCCCACATTATTTAGTTTACCTAAAGTTGGCTATACGCTACTGGTTTTATACTGGGGAGTCTTCTTAATGGACAACCTGAATGATTCTTAGCTCCCAAATACCAAGATGGCATTTTATGAACTATCAAAAAGTTTGCTCCCATAAGTGAAATGAATATTTCCAAGCAGACATTATTTCTAGTTGTTTTGGTTTTATCGGTATGGTGTTAATTAGTAGTTCAACAACCTTTCTTCTTTGGAACCACTTGGCATCATTCTAGCTACTGGAGGATCACTGTTTTCACTCTTCTGTTCTCTAACCCAGCCTCAAATGTAGGACACAGAATGTAAAAACTAATGTCCTTAGATCCCAACTAGAAGATTAAGCTAATGCTGACCTAGAAGCTTAGCACAATGTAGACTCTACTAGGAAGCAATAATGAGAGCTAAGTTCATAAGTGCTTTTAACGTATTCCAGGCACTGTGCTAAATACAAATACCCATTTTCAATCCTCAAACTACACTACTAGATACAGTTTTCATTCTCATTTTATTGGTAAAGAACCCGGGACCTAAAGAGGAAAGGTAAGTAACCTGCTAAAGGTTACCCTGCTATCACAGTCTATCTAGAACCCAGGAGAACTTCTAAAAATACAATTTAAAAAGTTTTGTTATTAATGGCATGATAATACATGTAAAAAGAAAGACAAATTAGAATTGTAGCAAAATGACCTAAATAAAATCTGTGACCCTTATTCTGCCTTAGAAACTTCATTATTCCTGTATCCCACTGGAAATGAAGACATGAAAGGCCCACAATCCCCAGTGTGTGTGTTTTCTCTCACATCACTGAACTTAACTACAGCTGTAGCTAACCACCTAATTTTATTTCTGTGGAGCCAAATCTCACAACCCAGAGTGCTAAATTGGAAGCAAGAGCCCACAATTTCTGCACATTTCCCACTGTCTACACTAACTACGCTAAAGCAACTGATATTTTACATTGATTTCAGTTATTTCAGAAAACCAGGAAGATACTGTGATTAAACGTGGTAAGTAGGACTGAAAATCCAGAGCTTCTTACCACTTCTTATAATCCTAGTGTCATAGGTTTTATTTTAAAAGAAGGGGAAAGAAGATGACAATGAAGGAAAAGTAAACTCTGGAAACCTGTAGACCTTAGAAAGATCACAAGACAGACAGGTTTCAAAAGTTTGCCCTAAAAGTGAATCTTGCAACATTAAAGTTCTAACGAGCAAAATGGTATTTTACTAATGACTGCCTTCCCTTTTCACCATTTTCTCCACTGTCTTGCAGGGAGCTCCTTAAGCAAGCCAATAAAGGGCAACTGTCAACTTGCTCCTTCTGGAAATCCCTCTCCTGACTACCACTTCCACCTTACTGAAAATCCTCAACACCTACTTCATCTCTGAAGCCACCTTTAAAGAAAACAAGAAGTCAACTCCAGATAGATAGTCAAAGAATTCAGAATAAAACATTGTTTAACTTTCATAAAGCACAGAGGAAAGCAGAATCCCAGATGCTGCTAGAACCGTGTATGATGGCTAATAAATGGAATTGGCCATCAGAAACGAGATGGCTAAACACAATTATTTTTTTTAAATCTTTTGTTTAACAATAATAAAAAGGAAATAAAACAAAAGCCAATGAGAAAAATTACATAAAACATTTATGAAAATACTATCTCAAGATACAAATAACAGATAAATATTAATATATGGAAGGTCAATGCTAGATCTCCACAAATAATTAAACCAGTAAGGCTGGGCGAGTGGCTCACACCTATAATCCCAGCACTTTGGGAGGCGGAGGTGGGTGGATCACCTGAGTTCAGGAGTTCGAGACCAGCCTGGCCAACATGGTGAAACCCTGTCTCTACTAAAAAATACAAAAATTAGCCGGGTGTGGTGGCAGGTGCCTTAATCCCAGCTATTTGGGAGGCAGAGGCAGGACAATCGTTTGAACCCAGGAGGCAGAGTTTGCAGTGAGCCGAGATCAAGCCATTGCACTCAAACCTAGGGGACAAGAGCAAGACTTCTCTCAAAAAAAAAAAAAAAAAAAAAAAAAAGGTTTAAAAAGAAAAAAAAAATACACAGTAAATTACCACATGAGCCAACAATTCTACTTCAAGGCATATACCCAAGAGAAATAGAAACCTATGTCCACACAAACACTTGTACATGTAAGTTCACAGCAGCATTATCCATAATAGCCAAAAAGTGGCAAAAAAACAATTATCTGCCAACTGATGACTGGATAAATAAAATACGGCTGGACGCAATGGATCACGCCTACAATCCCAGCACTTTGAGAGGCCAAGGTGGATGGATTGCTTGAGGTCAGGAGTTCGAGACCAGCCTGACCAACATAGCAAAACCCTGTCTTTACTAAAAATACAAAAATTAGCTGGGTGTGGTGGCATGCGCCTGTAATCCCAGCTACTCGGGAGGCTGAGACAGGAGAATCACTTGAACCCGGGAGGCAGAGGTTGCAGTGAGCCAAGATCGCACCATTGCACTCCAGCCTGGGCGACTGAGAGAAACTCTGTCTCAAAAAAATAAAATAAAACTTTATTCATATAATGGAATATTATTTGGCAGTACAGGGGATGAAGTTCTAATACATGCCACAACATGAACGAACCTTGAAAACACATGCCAAGTGAAAGAAGCCAGTCACAAATGATCACACAGTATACGATGCCATTTATATGAAATGTCTGTAACAGGCACATCGGGAAAGACAGGAAACAGTGGTTGTTCAGGGCTCAGAGGATGGAGGAGGGAGGTGTGGGGAATGGGGAGAACTGCTAATGGGCACAAGGTTCCCTCTGGGGGCAGGGCAAAAATGTCCTACAGTTAGATTGCAATAATGGGCATGTAACTATGAATGTATTAAAATCCATTAAAATGTACATTTTAAATGGGTGAATTGTATGGTTTCTTAATAAAGCTGTTAAATTAAAAAAATAAACTAGCAAATGGAAATACACATGGTAAAACATCATTTAAAAATCATCTACTAATAAAGACAAAAGCATTATGTCATTACATACCAATTAAATTAGCAAACATTAAACACAAATAATAAACATATGGTCAAATGGCTTCCCATTTCAGATGCGCATCCACAACCTTTCCAGTGGTGTGTCAGGCCGACACGCTCTTTTGTCTTCATTCCATCACCTGGATTAACTCTCTTCCTTTCTCTATTGAGGCCACATTTGACTTCAAATTGTTTCTGGAAGATCCCACACCTTCTCCTGTGTCAAAACCTGTATGTACGCTGATTCTCCCCCACCTGACTGATTTCTTCATCACTGCTGTCCAGTCTTTGCTCAAATTTTGCCTTCTCAATGAGACTTCTTCTGAACACCTATTCAGAACTGCAACCAAACTGGGTGTGGTGGTGTGTACCTGTAGTCCCAGCTACTCGGGAGGCTGAGGCAGGATGATCACTTGAGCCCAGAAGTTTGAGTCCAAGCTGGACAACAATGCTGTCTCTTAAACAAAAAACCAAAACAGTAACAAAAATCCTGCAACCTGCTCTCCTTCATTCCCTATGTCCTATTCTGTAGCACTCATTCCTCGTTGAATCAATTTTTAAAAACATGAATAAAAGCTGAATTTATCAAAATGCTTTCTCTGGGACGGGCATGGTGACTCACGCCTGTAATCCCAGCACTTTAGGAGGCCAAGGCAGGTGGATCACTTGAGGTCGGGAGTTCAAGATCAGCCTGGCCAACATGGTGAAACACTGTCTCTACTAAAAATACAAAAATTAGCTGAGTGTGGTGGTACCCGCCTGTAATCCCAGCTACTCAGGAGGCTGAGGCACAAGAATCGCCTGAACACAGGAGGCGGAGGTTGTGATGAGCTGAGATCGCGCCACTGCATTCCAGCCTGGGTGACAGAGTGAGGCTCTGTCTCAAAAAAAAAAAAAAAAAAAAAAAAAAAAAGCTTTCACTGTATCTGTTGGAATAATAATTTCCCTTCACTCTGTTAGTACAGTGAATAATTTTCAAATCCTAAATTGTATATTCCTAGGATAAGCCCACCTTAGCTATTATATATAATTTTAAAATGTTGCTGTATTTAGTTTACAATGTTTTGTTTTGGAATTTTGCTTCTTTGCTTATGAATATGGTTGGCTTATATTTTGTTCATACAATCTTGTCACAATTTGATGTCAAAGTTGTGCTAGGCTAATCTTGAGGGTTTCTCTGGAATTTCACTCATGGTAATAGAGCCATTCAGATTTTTTCTATCATCTCGAATCAGTTTTGGTTAATAATATTTCAATACGAATTTAGTCATTTCACTTCAAAATTCAAATGTAATAGTATAAATTTTCTCATGTCTCTTTATTTCTTAAGCATGTGTTCATTTCCTGTACTTTTTTATTTGCTCATTTTCTCTTCTTACTTTTGAGTCAATGCTGAGAGATATGTCAATTTTATTACTCTTTTAAAAAACCAAAATTTGCTTTTGTTGATCCTTTCTATTATAGCCATGTTTTCTATTACTTTTTTTTTTTTAGACAGAGTTTTGCTCTTGGCAGTTGCCCAGGCTGGGTGCAATGACACAATCTCGGCTCACTGCAACCTCTGCCTCCCAGGTTCAAGCGATTCTCCTGCCTCAGCCTCCCGAATAGCTGGGATTACAGGCGTGCGCCACTGCGCCTGACTGACTTTTGTATTTTTAGTAGAGATGGGGTTTCACCATATTGGTCAGGCCGGTCTCGAACTCCTGACCTCAAGTGATCCATCTACTTTGGCCTCCCAAAGTGCTGGGATTACAGGTGTGAGCCACTGTGCTCAGCTGATAATTTTTGCTTTTAATTTTATTTATCTTCTTCTACTGGCTTTGGCTTATTCTGTTCTTAGGTTGACTACATTGCTCATTAAGACTTTCTTCTTTTCTAGTACAAGCATTTAAAGCTTTAAGTTTTTCTCCAACATTCATTCTATACTATTAACTAAACTACAGACTTTTTTGAATTTCCCCAGATTTTTCACTAACGTCCTTTTTTATTCAGGTCCAGCCTAGGTACCGTAGCGAGACCCTGCCACTCTTAAAAAAACAATAGGAGGCTGGGTGTGGTGGCTCACGCTTCTAATCCCAATTTAATTTGAGAGGCCGAGGAAGGAAGATTGCCTGAGCCCAGGGGTTTGAGATTAGCTTAGGCAATGCGGCAAAACCCCAGCTCTACAAAAAATACAAAATTTACCAGGTTGTGATGGAGTGCACCTGTAGTCTCAGCTTCTCAGGAAGCTGAGGTGGGAGGATTGCTTGAGCCCAGGAGGTGGAGGTTAAAGTGAGCCGGATTGAGCCGCTGCACTCCAGCCTTGGCGAAAGAGCGAGACTCTGTCTCAAAACAATAACAACAAAAACCCACCAGGAAACCACTTTATTCAGCAGTTAAGTCTCCTTAGTTGCCCCCAGTCTGTGACAGTTCCTCACTTTCTTGTCTTTAATGACCTATTCATTTATGAAGAGCACTAGTCAGATGTTTTATAAAGTGTACTCCTATTTGGGTTTGCCTGATACTCTCTCATAATTAGATTGAGATGATGGATGCTGGAAAAGAATACCACAGAGGTGACATGCCCTTCTCATCTAATGATGTATGAGTATATGCTCTCCACATGACTCATCCCTGGTGATGGAAACATTCATCAATTGGTTCCAGTGGGATCTGCCAGGTTTCTATAGTATAAATCACCTGTTTTTCCTTTCCATACTCTATTTGTCAGGAGATACTCACTGGATCCAGCCCAAATTCAAGAAGAAAGAGGTACCAAAATTAGCAGACATGTTCAAACCACCAGGGTTAAGTACTACAAAGTTGAGGGGAGATGCTTTGAAGCAATGCAAATATCCTCTTTTTCAAAGTTTTACTCACTAATTTTAGCAAAGAACATTCATATATGTTTGACCCATTATTTAGAAGTGTATTACTCTAGAGTTCCAAATTATGTAGCTTCCAGGTTTCTTAGAAGTACAACATACACACTGAAAGTAAAAAAACTTTAAGCGTAGCAACTCAGCGAGTGTCCTCGAAGTAGCAACAGCCAGGTAATGGCCAACAGCTGAAGAAACAACACATTATCAGAATCCTAGAAGCCACTCTTGTGCCCTCCAAATTACTAAACCTTCCCTTTTCCCTAAAAGTAACCATTATCTCAACGTTTAGGCCTGTAAATAGTTTTGTCTTTTCTGAACTTAATATAAGTGGACTCATACAGTGTGTACTCTTCTGTGTCTAGCTTCACCCACTCAACACTGTGCTGCTGCATGCAGTTGTGTACGTTGATTTGCATTGCTAGATGAGCTTCTACTGCATGACCATACACAATGCATTCATCCATTAGGCTACAGACACATACTTCCAGACACAGGCTACACACTACAAACACTCTACTCTAGGGTGGAGCTGCATGGTAGCAGGTGTGCATGCACACGTTCAGCTTTATTAGGAAAGGCCAGTTTCCCACCAGCAGTAAAGAGTTCCAGCTGCCCCACATCCTTAACGACGCTTCATATTGTTCGTCTTTTGGATTTTAGCTTTTCTGAAAGGTGGGAAACAGCTTTGTTGTTATTTTTTAAATGAATTTCTAACAAATTCACTACAGAGAATGTGGTCTAACCAATACTTTGAAATATATTGAAACAAGTCTAATGGCCCAAATATGGTCAGTTTTCCTGAATGTGCTAAATGTGCTTGAAAAATATTTTTGCTTCCCATTTTTCCCCACCCCAATATAGCATAGGCTCCATGTTGTATACATTAATTAAATAAAGCTTGTCAACCACGTGTATTTACCTATTCTATACTAATTTTTAAATCTGCTTGATCTATCAAATACCAAACGTTATATTGGAATCTCTCACTATGATTGTGGATTTTCTGCCAATTTTTGCTTTATATATTTTGGGGCCCACATTTTAACGGACACATTACAGACTCATGGTCCTTTTTCTTCGGTAAAGCATTTTGCCATAAAATCTATCACTTCTGACATTAACAAAGCTTTATTTACTTATTTATTTGTGTATACCAGCGTTTTTCTGTTAGGATTTGATTGGTATATCTTTTTCTTCCCGTCCTTTTAACTTTTCTGTATCTTTGTTGTTAGGTGTCTCTTTAAGTATCATATAGGTAGATTTTCTTTCCAAATCCAGTCTTTTAACCATTGTATTTTTAACTAGAGCATTTAATCCAATTACACTTAATTCTAATTATTGATACACTGAGATTTACGTTTATCATCTTATATTAGACTCATTTGCCCTGTATTTTTTATTCTTTTCTCTCCTCTCCTGCTTTCTGTAGTAATATAGTGAACAACTGATGCCATACATTACTCTCAAATTTTGTCTGAAAATGTCTTTATTTCACCTATATGTATGGAAGATGTTTTGCTGTGTATAACATTCTGGTTAATGGTTATTTTCTCATAGAACACTGAAGGTATAAGAAAACACGATTGGTATGAAAAAATAAGCTATTACTTGCTAATTTTGGACCTTTGCAAATAATTCCCCACCAGCTTTGATTTTTAATTCATTACGTGATTAATTTGTAGAACTTCTACTTAGTTTGTTTCCGTATTTTCTTGATAATTTTCATGGTATCTTCCTTACTTATATTTCCAATCTCTTTTTTTATTTCTTAAAAACATGTTAAACATGGATATTTTGTATTTTCTCTAATTTCTCAAAAATCTCAAGCATCTGAAGATCAAATTCTATTGTCTGTTCTTTTTATCCTGCCAGTTCTTTGTTCTCTGTACATCTGTGATTTGGGCTATGCGTTCATACTTTCCTACTGAAAGCACTAGTTGAAGGTGTATTACTCTGGAGAAGACGTGCATCTGCAAGTGACTGGAGGCACAACCATCTGTCACTGCTTCAACTGTCACAGCTAAGTGTTTAGCTTGGGCTTTTTCAGACCATCCAGGTAAATGTGAATTCAGGGGTATCTGATGGTGATAAATCCAACGGTCCCAATGTTTTTTTTCCTCCTTTATCTACCTAGCATTGTTGCTCTAGATAGGCAACCTTTCTTGCTGTCTTCAACAAGTAGTGGTGGTGGTGGTGGGAGGTATGCTAGGGTGGTTGGGCTGGCTGAATTTAATTCTAGTATTCTTACACTGAAGGTTTAGTGACTGTCTGAGTCCCCACTTGATGCAGCTGGGGTCTGTCACCATGAGACCAAGAAAGGGACACAATAGAAGGGAATATGCACCTAGCTTATCAAATTTCCTCAGGGCAAAGCCAGCTTTAGTGTTCTGCTTACTATTCTGAGTTCTGAACCCGGTGTACAGTCTCTATGAAATCTTTCTTTCTACCTTATCCAGACTTGCATTTATCTTCATTTATATTACATTCACAATTTTTAGTTATCACTAGAAGGAGACATACAGTGTGGACATATTGTCCACTGAATGGTTGGATAAAAAAAGTCCCCTAATGTTGGCTTTTTGGTGCTTTCTCTCTTCTCTTCTTGTGAAATCCTGACAAAGCCTGATTTGGTGTTTTTTGTTTGTTTGTTTTCTAGCTTTTAAATATTGCAGAGCTATTCTATTGTAACCATTTTAAAATTTTCATTAATTATTGTCTTTATCTCTATTTCTCCCTGTCTTCTTTCAGTTTAGTCTGTTCCTTAAGATTTTTAATGCAAAGCTTAGTTATTATTAGTATTCTTCTTTAAGCCTATATAAATTCCCTACTAAAAACTGCTTTAGTTGCAGCCTACAAAATTTATATGTATTTTTATGACCACTTAATTCTATTTCTATATTTCTATTTAATTTTGTTAACCCATGCATTATACTGAAAGTATGTGTAAGTTTCCTGTAGACCAAGGCAGGTGGATTGCTTGAGCCCTGGAGTTTGTGACCAGCCTGGACAACATGGCAAAATCCTGTCTCTACATAAAATACAAAAATTAGCCAGGCATGGTAGTATACCACCTGTGGTCTCAGTTACTTGGGAGGCTGAGGCAGGAGGATCATCTGAGTCTGGGAGGCTGAGGCTGCAGCGAGCCGTGATTCCACCACTGCACTCAGCCTGAATGACAGAGCCGAGACCCTGTATCAAAAAAAAAAAAAAAAAAAGAAAAGAAAAGAAAAGAAAAGTTTCACAGACGAGTTCTGCATTTTTCGGCTTTTTGTTATTGACTTCTAACTTAGCTGGCATCCAGGCTGGACAGTATGCTCATAATCCATTGTATTAATTTTTTAAGGGCAGCTTTATGACTAGCATGTGGTTAATTTTTATGAGTAATGGAAAGAAATCTGCATTCAATATTTGGTGGGCTCCACATACAACCATTAGACCAAGCTTATTAACTTAGTTGTTCAAATCTCCCCACCCCAATACAGCATAAGCTCCATGAGAGCAGTTACTTTTGTTTGTTTTGTTTATGCTACATCTCACTGCCTAGAATAGTGTCTGAAATGTATCTGTTCTCTGCTACATCACTTGTGTAAAACAGTGTCTGGCATACATGAAGCACTAAATAAATAACTGCTTAATGAATGAACGACTAAAGGCTTCTCATCCTGTTAGTTATTGCATTTGATTTTTAAAATGTCTTACCAGCAGGTTGGCTTTGTCTGCTACTCCCCCATTGTTTTCTCGATCTTTTCTTTAAATGTTTTGTGACTAATTTAAATGAGCTCATGATTGGACTTTTCATGTTTAAATTACTGGTCCATCTGGAATTACTTTGATACAAAAAGTAAGGTAGGGACTCACCTTTATTTTCTTTTCACCTTTATTTAATTTCTTTTAACATGGGCAAAGAGATATCCTTACACATTCACTGAATAATCCAGTTTTATTCTAATCATAAAAAGTGCTACTTTCATTATATTTTAAATTCAACAAGATGTTTCTGCCTATTTGTGGATGTTCAGTTCCATTGATCTTCCTATTTTTGTGTCACTATCACACTGTTGTAATTACTGGTAATGTATGTATTTTAAATACAGTAAGATAAGAACTTACACACAAGTTCAATTTTATTGCCAATTCAGTTGCAATAAACACTCATGCATATAGAGCATGGTCTGTAAATACAACATTTTACAAAAAGAGTTTCTTGAATAAATGTCTGATTCCAGGTCTAGTGCAAAAAAAAAGTCAAAAACATCTTTTCAGGCCAGAGTAAAAGAAAACTTTCAGAATACTAGGATCAAAGGTATGAGGAGTCAACATAAAGAGGTTCCATTATCACAAGATAGGAAAAGTTGTGGATCAATAAGCATAATAATTACAATGACCTAAAACATGTCAGTTATGTTTAAATCTGTGAGCACAAATTGATACTTTAAAACCTAAACAAATAGGCCAGGTGCAGTGGCTCACACCTGTAATCCCAGAACTTTGAGAGGCTGAGGCAGGCAGATCACTTGAGGTCAGGAGTTTGAGACCAGCCTGACCAACATGGTGAAACCTCATCTCTACTAAACATACAAAAATTAGCTAGGCGTGGTGGCACATGTCTGTAATCTCAGCTACTCGGGAGGCTAAGGCACAAGAATCACTTGAGCCCAGGAGGTAGGGGTTGCAGTGAGCTGAGATGGCGCCAGTGCACTCCATCCTGGGTGACAGAGCGAGACTCCGTCTCAAAAAATAAACAAAAAACAAAAACAAAACTAAACAAAAACCTCAACTCTGTTGGTTATCTCTGGCAGGTGCTAGACAGAGATATGGCACAGTTTATAATTTCATCTATCTTTCCAATATGAGCTGAGGATCAGTAAATAACAAACAGAAGTGGTGATGCAGGGGGAAAGTTTCTCTTTATAGAGGTATTCCAACAAATAAATAAATAAATAAGGAATGGTATACTTAGACTGTAATATTTTTGCAATCCCTAACGAAATAACAAATCTAGACGATAAATTACTACTACAATAAAAAAGAGACATGCACTTCATGATGGATATATACAGCACAACCCATGGTGAATGTCCCCGCCCCAAAAAAACTAGATCTCATAATCCTCTACATCTAATTAATAATTTACAGGAATTATAGGAACAAAGGAATTTAAGTACACCATGGGGATGTAAGATACAAAAATCAGACAGCGAGGAATTCTACAAATGACCTAGTTTTGTTTTGTTTTGTTTTAAGTTACAAAGAAAAGAGGGCGATTAAAATTAGACTTCAGCTGGGTGCGGTGGCACACACCTGTAATCCCAGCACTTTGGGAGGCCGAGGTGGGGGGGATAGCCTGAGGTCAGGAGTTCGAGACCAGCCTGGCCAACATGGCTAAATCCTGTCTCTACTAAAAACACAAAAATTAGCTGGGCATGGTGGCAGGTGCCTATAGTCCCAGCTACTCAGGAGGCTGAGGCAGGAGAATCACTTGAACCCAGGAGGCAGACGTTGCAGTGAGCCGAGATTGCCGCACTGCCCTTCAGCCTGGGTAAGACTTCTGGGTAAGACAAGGTGAGACTCCGTCTCAAAAAAAGACAATAAATAAAAAATAAAATAAAATTAGACTTCAGAAATATATTTACCAATTGCAATATATAGACCATATTTACACCCTGATTCAAAAAAGCCAATAGAAAAACAAATGAGAAACATAAATATTGATAAGGCATTTGGACAGCAATAAAGAATTCTAGTTAACTTTTCCAAAATAATAATGGCATTGTAGTTACTTTCTTCTTAGCTTTAAAAATACATGCTGAAATGTTTACAGGTGAATGATACACTATTTCAAGTTGTCATGAAAATAATTCAGAGGGTAGGCTGAAAGTAAAAGATAAAATGGATGAGATGTGACGGAAATATGGGAGAAAATTATACTATTCTCTCTACTCATGTATATTGTTTAGTATTTCCCATAATAAAGTTTAGTCATGTGTCACTTCATCAGATTACACTCTTAGAAATACGATGTTGGGCAATTCTGCTATCACGTGAATATCACAGAGTACACTTACACAGAACCAGATAGCATAGCCTGCTACACACCTAGGCCACTTGGCATAGCCTATTGTCTTAGGCTACAAACCTGTACAGCATGTTACTGTACTGAAAACTGTAGGCAACTGTAACATAATTGTAAGCATTTGTGTATCTAAACATATCAAAAGATAGAAAGGGTATAGCAAAAACATGGCATCATAATCTCATGGGACTACCATCATATATATGTGGTTTGTCATTGACTGCAGTGTCATTTATTTGGCACGTAACTATATTTTTATTATTTTATTTTTTGAGACAGCATCTCACTCTGTCTCCCAGGCTGGAGTACAGTGGCACAATCTCAGCTCATTGCAACCTCTGCCTCCCAGGTTCAAGTGATTCTCGTGCCTCAGCTTCCTGAGTAGCTGGGACTACAGGTATGTGCACCACCACATGCGACTAATTTTTGTATTTTTATTAACAGTAGAGATGGGTTTTCACCACGTTGGCCAGTCTGGTCTCAAACCCCTGGCCTCAAGTGATCTGCCCGCCTCAGCCTCCCAAAGTGCTAGGAGTGAGCCACCACGCCTGGCCACATATTTTTATATGTAAGGTAAATTTGTTCTAGTAACATGTCCAGATGATATTCTGAAAATTTCTCTCTTGTTCCCCCTCCTACATCCCCAAATTAGGATTTTGATATTGCATCCTTATATTGTTTCTATTTTTTAAAATATCTTTCATTTATTAAAATTTGTTTATATCCTTCAAAAATGTTTTATAATTTTCTCTAGATAGGACCACTATATTTCTTGATAAAAGTTAATTCTAGATATTTTATGATTTGGGTTTGCTATTGTGAATATGATTTTTTAATTTTATATATTATGAATGGCTATCATAGATATGTTAAAAGATTTTACATATATATAAAATACATATAGATTCTATTTATTAGTTCTAATAATTATTCATCTGAATCTTTTCCTCCCACATAGAAAATGGTATTTTAACCATATTTATTTATAATAAATGGCACAAATTTTAAATGTACAATATGATGAGTTTAGACAAGTATATATAATCATGTACCACCAGGACGACAACAAAATATTTCCTCACGCCTCTTTATAGTCTATCTCTACCTGGCCCCTAGCAACCACTAAACTTTCACTGTTTTTGAAATTCATCCATGTTGTATCAGTAACCTGTTCCTTTTAAATTACATTTTATGGATATATCACAATTTGTTTATCCATTTATCTATTGATAGACATTTAGGCTGGTTCCCAGTTTAGGCTAATAAGCATAAAGCTCTCATAAATATTTACACTGAATTCGTTGTATGGGTATATGCTTTCATTTATATTGGGTAAATACCTGTAAGTGTGATTGCTAGATAGTATGTTAAATATGTTTAACTTTGTAAGAAATCGCTAACCCGCTTTCCAAAAGGGTTGTACCATTTTGCATTCCCATAGCAATGTATGAGACTTCCATTTGCTAATGGCTTCCCATTAAGCACTGCTGTAGCTATACCCAATAAATGTTTATACAGTGTATTTTCCCTTTTATTTAGTTCAAAATATTTTTAAATGTTCCTCATGAGCTCTCTTCTTTGGCCAATGAATTATTGAGAAGTATGCTAATAATTTCCAAGTATTTGACAATTTTTCCAGATATATTTCTGTTTATGATGTCTAATTTAATTCCACTGTAGTTATACTCTATGCATTTGAGTCCCCTTAAATGTACTGAGACTTCTTTTCATATTCTAGAGTAAGGATTACTTTTGTGATGTTCCGTGTGCACTTCTGCTGTTTTTAAATGGTGTGTTCTATTTTATAAATGTTAATTGGATCAAGTTGGTCTGTTATTGTTTACATCTTCGACAGCATTGCTGATTATCTGACTACACATTCTATCATGTCCAACTATAATTAGAGATTTGTCCTTCACCTTGCAGTTGTATTGGTCTTTATTCCAGGTATTTGAAGCTCTGTTAGCATGTGCATACATCTTTAAGATTCTTATGTCCTTTGATGAACTGATCTATTTATGATTATAAAATCTCTAGTAATAGTCCTTGTTCTGAAGTTTAGTTTGTCTGATATTAATATGACAACTGCAACATTCTTCGGATTTGTATTTTCATGATATATCTTCTTGAATATTTTAATTAACCTATCTAGGCCTTTATATTTAAAGTAGGTCTGTTGCAGCTATCATGAAATTGGGTCTTGTTTTAACCATTCTGATAATCTTTGCCTTTTAATTGGAGCATTTAGGCCATTTATTAATACATTTAGTATATTAGCTTTCTTATTGTCATATTTTCTTCCTCTATTCTTGCCTTCTTTTGGGTTAACTAAATTTTTTCTAATGGTTCCATTTTATCTCCTTTATTGGCTTAAAAGTGTTACCTTTTTTTTTTTTTTCTTTTTGAGACGGAGTCTCGCTCTGTCGCCCAGGCTGGGGTGCAGTGGCACGATGTTGGCTCACTGCAAGCTCCGCCTCCCGGGTTCACGCCATTCTCCTGGCTCAGCCTCCCGAGTAGCTGGGACTACAGGCGCCCGCCACCACGCCCGGCTACTTTTTTGTATTTTTAGTAGAGATGGCGTTTCACTGTGTTAGCCAGGATGGTCTCAATCTCCTGACCTTGTGATCTGCCCACCTTGACCTCCCAAAGTGCTGGAATTACAGGCGTGAGCCACCGCGCCCGGCCATTTTTTTTTTTTTTTTTAAAGTGGATACTCTAGGGCAGGAATCAGCAAATGACAGCTCATCTTGTGGCCTGATTTTTGTTTTTGTTTTATGGCCCACAAGTTAATAAAGGTTTGTAAATGTTTAACTATTATCCAAGAAAAGTAGAAAAAAAGAGCAAAAATCTGCACCAGAGACTGCACATGGCCTGCTATATGAGTTTTCTGATGCTGCAGGACAAATTACCACAGACTTAGCAGCTTAAAATTAATTACAATTATTTAATAGCTCACTAGGTTCTCTGGGCTCTCTGGTCAAATTATCACAAAGCTGAAATCAGGGTGTTAGCCAGGCTGAGTTGTCATCTGGGGCTTTGCAGAAAAATCCACTCCAAACTTCATTCTCACTTTTGGCAGCATTCAGTTCCTTGTGGCTCTAGGACTGAGACTTGTATTCCTTGCTGGCTATCAGTCAAGGTTGCTCTCAGTTTCTTCCCATGTTGGCCTCTCCCTCTGTAATCCAGCAATGGTACATTTAAACCCTCTTATGCTTTGACATCTAATGTCCTCCCCTACAACCAGCCAGAGAAATTCTGTCTTTAAAGGGCTTGTGTGTTACCTCCAGTTCCCCAGGATAATTTCTCTACCACCCAGAATAATTTCTCTATCTTAAAGTTAACTCTGCCATATTAAATAATGAATCATATTCAGCCTGGAAATTATGAAAGGCATGCATACTAGGAAAGGTGGGGGAGGGGAAAACCTTGGAGGATTGGAAAATATTTTAGAATTCTGCTTACTATACCTGCAACATCTAAAATATTTACTATTTGGATCTTTATAGAAAAAGTTTGCTCTAATGTATAAAATGTGCAGTCTACTTCCAATAAAAGTCACTACTTTATGAATAGTCAAAGTGCCTTATGACAGCATCCTTCCGTTCTCCCCCATTCTGTGATGTCTTATATTTTGCTTTTAAATATTTTATAAACCTCACAACCTATTTTATTATCTTTGTTTAAATAGGCATTTTTATTTAAAGAGACTTCAAATTATTTAAAAAGTCTTGTATTTGAATATGTATCATCTCTAACATTTTTCATTATTTTATTTAGATCCAAATTTCCAGGTGGTATCATTTTCCCTCTGCTTGAAGACATTACCTTTAACATCTAATATGTTACAGCTCTGCAGGCACTCAGTTCTCTTGTTTGTCTGAAAAATTATTTTATTCTTTATTTTTGTGGTAAAATATAAATGTTAAGACTTACCATTTAAGTATACAATCATGTGGTATTAAGTGCAACCATTATCACTGGTCATTTCCTGAAATTTTTCATTGTTCTAAACTGAAACTCTGTCCCTATTAAACAGTAACTCCTTTCTCTTCTTCCTCAGCCCCTGGTAACCACTGTTCTATTTTCTGTGTCTATGAAATTGCTTATTCTAGGTACCTTACATAAGATGAATCATATTTGTTCTTTTGTGTCTGGCTTATTTCACTTAACATAATGTTTTCAAGGTTCATCCATGTTGTAGTATGTACCAGAATTTCATTATGTTTTAAAGCTTAATAATATTGCATTATATGTATATGCCATATTTTGTTGACATTTACCTGTGATGGACACATAGGTTGTAGGTATGTAATAGTTAATTTTATGTGTCAATTTGGAGGATATTTTTGGATAAGATTAATTTTTAAACTGGTGAACTCTGAGTATACAGATTGCCCTCCATAATGTGAATATACCTCATCCAATCAGTTGAAGCCCTGATCAGAATAAAAAAACTGACCTCTCTAACCTAGTAGGAATTCAACAGACTGCCTTTGGACTTCATCTGCACTGCCAGCTTTCCTGGGTCTCCGCCTGCCAGCCTTCAGACTTCATCTGCACCATCAGCTTTCCTGGGTCTCCAGGCTGCTGGTCTTTGGACTGGAACTGTACTGGCTCTCCTGTGCCTCCAGTTTGTCAGCCCATGCCGCAAATCTGGACTCGCCAGTTTCCATAATTGTGTCAGCCAATTCTTTATAACAAATATCTTCCTAGATTAGAAGATATGTATCAAAATCTATATAGATATATATCAAAAAGTTAAATTTAGAATTACCTTGTGATCGAACAATTCCACTTCTGGATATATACCCCAAAGAACCGAAAGCAGAGACTCAAACAGATACTTATATACCAATGTCCAACCTGTGTTAGTCAGTTGTTTTTTTTTTTTAAGTAATAGCTTTCCTAATAGGTGTGAAGTGATATCTCCTTGTAATTTTGATTTGCATTTCCCTAATGACTAGTGATGTTTATCATCTTTTCATATGCTTATTGGCCATTTGTATATCTTTGCAGAAATGTCTATTGAAGTCTCTTGCCCATTTTTATACTGGCTGTTTTGCCTTCAATTTAAAAGATATTTTCACTACGTATAGAAATCTAGGTTGACAGTTTTTCTTTTAGTATTGGTACTCTTAAAATACCACTCCACTATCTTATAGTTTGTATTATTTCTGATGAGGAGTCTGTTGTAATTCTTATCTTTATTCCACTGTACATAATGACTTTTTCTATGGCTACTTTTAAGATTTTCTCTTTACCATTGATTTCTGGCAATATGATTATGATGTGCTTTGGTATGATCTTTTTTTTTCATTCTGCCTTGGGTTTGTTGAATTTCCTATATTGATGGATTAATAATTTCAGTTTCTGCAAATAATTGTTGTGATTTCCTCCCCTGCTGTTTCTAGGGAACTTTAATTACACATGTCTAACTATCTGATATTGAACCACAGGACACTGACATGCTGATAAATTTTTACCAGACTTTGTTTTCTCTGTGTAATTCATTTTCGGTAGTTTCTATTCCTATGTCTTTAACTTCACTGATCTTTTATTTGGTAATGTATAATCAGCTGTTACTCCCATATAGTTATTTTATTTCTGATATTGTATTTTTAATCTGTAGAAGTTCCATTTTGTTTTTTTTAATATATTTTTTCTCCCCATTTTCACATTTTCCTTTACATTCTTGAGCATATGTATAACATGTTTTAACATGTTTGTCTGCTAATTAAATTGTACCTGTCATTTCTTCTTTTTGTTGTGGATCATATTTCCTTGCTTCTTTGCATACCTGATCATTCTTAACAGCTTTATTGATGTATAACTAGCATATAATAAAGTGAATATGTTTAAACTACATACATAAGTGTTGACACATGTATATACACATGTAACTGTCAATACACTTTTAGAATATACCCAACACTCCCAAAGGTTTCCTGATGCCCTCTTGGTAAGCCCTCTTTTGCCCCTCCACACTACTCTCATCCCCAATACACATGAAAAATTCTGACTAGATACTGGCCATTGTGAATTTTACATTCTTGGTGCTGGATTTTACTGTATTATCTTAAAGGATCCTGGACTTTGTTCTAGCACACAAATAAATTATTTTAAATCAATTTGATCCTTTCAATGTTTGCTTTCAATTTTTGTTAGAAGAAGTCCAATGCAGCACTAGCCTCAGACTAATTTGGTCCCACTACTATGGCATTACCCTTCTGATGTTTCTGTTCAAGGTTCTATGTCTCTATGCTGGCTGATGGAAACACAAACTATTCCCAGCCCTATGTGAGCTCTGAGAACTGCCCTATCACTTTCTTTCTCCAGCCTCATGGTATTGTGTACCATGGCTACTCAATCAGTATTCAGTCAAAGATTTGAGGAGACCCTACTAGAAATCTCTAGACTGGCACTTGCCTGCTCTTGCTCTCTTCTATCTCTGTAGCTCCCTTCTCTCTGGTATTTCCTATATATTCTAGCCACTTCTCCGCCAATGAACTTTTCTCTTCTGTCTCATCAACTCATGCACACCACTAGACTATGTTTGGGTCCTTCTCCTCATACTGCAAACAGTGCAATCCCAGGGCTCACTTCATCTGTTTCCTTTCAGTTAAGAATTACAGTCTTCTACTGTTACCTGAAGTCTGAAAACAGCTGTTTCCTAGATTTTTGTCCAGTTCTCTAATCACCTGCTGTTAGAGGGCAATTCTTGTGGTAGTTAATCTTTCATGGACAGAAACAGAAGTAAGCTGGATCTTTTAAAATATATCCACATGATTTTGACAGCCTGAATTTTAGGCAAAATGTCTTCTTGTTGAGCCTATTTCACCAATATCACCTTCTCTCTAAAGACACATCTAAAATTGTCATCCAGCTGACGACTCTTGAATCACACAATTTTATTCCCTTACATCTTGAAGGAGCTAAAATTCTGATGCCTTCATTAAGTAGAAGCTGAGAGTATTATGTCTACCACCCTCAGCTCTAGAAATAAATGTGCACCCGAGGCTGCTGAAGATTGCAAAACGTATGTACAATAAATAGCTATTTCATACTTTCACTGTCATGGCATCAGGAGGTTGTTTCAAAATTCAGTGTGAACATGTTAGGTCAATGTATTTATTGCGTACATGTCAAAGAAAAGTACCAAAATATAAGGAAGTGTTGGTTTGAATGTATTCATTATATCTTTATCTCATAACATTCCACAAAGCTTAGACCCTATGACCTTCAAAATATGAGCAAATGAGCTTTGTAGGCTTTATAGAATCATTTAAAATAGATCATTTATGAGTGATATTTTCCTGTCAATCCTGTTTGCTCAGATTATATATTCTCTAACAGGAAAAATTAATTGCTTTTAATATTGTAAAATGCCACAAGCATTATGGATATAAGGGCATTTAAGAATTAGGATGTATATAGATTGACATGGTAGCTTAGCTAGGTGAAGAGAAACTAAATATCTCCTCCTCAACAACACAGTGCCAGTGAATGATTTCTTTTTTAAAATACATATTTAGCCTGCAGTTTCATACCCTTCAAAGCTAGAAAAGGAGGCCAAACTCATAGAGAGTGAGAGAAATAAAACATTATAAAATCAATAAATGTGATTAAGTATTAAAGTTCACTCTACTCAAATTCTGGTATGCTTTTGAAAGAAGACACTACTGTGCTATACATTTTAATTATTTCAAGTTACTAGCATGTCATATTAGATAACACTAGTTCCTGTATTAAAGAGAATCTCTCATTTTCTTTCTGTCTTGCTTTTTTTTTTCTTGCGAATGTAAGTCAAGTCATCTCATTCCTAATTTCACTCAAAATTCACTAAGACTGTTGCACTATTTTCTAACCCAACACTAACTATAATAGTCCTCCCTTATCCACAGTTTCATTTTCTGCAGTTTAGGTTGCCTGCAGTCAACTGCGGTCCAAAAATAGATGACTATGATACAATAAGATATTTTGAGAGAGAGAGAGAGACCACATCCACATAACTTTTATTAAAGTATAATGCGATGACTGTTCAATTTATTATTAGTCATTGTCGTAATCCCTTACTATGTCTAATTTATAAGTTAAACTTTATCACAGGTATGGCTGTATAGGAGAAAACAGTATACAATGGGTTCAGTACTATCTGGGGCTTCAGGCATCCACTGGGGGGCCTGGACCATATGCCCTATGAATAAAGGGGAGCTACTGTACAATACAAATTCATTTCCAAATATCCTAAGAATAACCTTATCTACAGTTTGGTGTTACAAGTTAGCATCATTCTCTTTCAACACCCTAAAAGAAAGCAAAGTCACAGCTGAAAGAACTTGAAATGTAAGCTAAATTGTAAACACAGTATGAGAATAAGGATATCTCTCATGTCTAGTCAAGAGAGAATATTTGCGGCAATTTACATTCTCCAAAGGCATATTTCTTTTTTTTTTTTGAGACGGAGTTTCGCTCTTGTTGCCCAGGCTGGTGCAATCTCGGCTCACCGCAACCTCCACCTCCCACGTTCAAGAGATTCTCCTGCCTCAGCCTCCCTAGTAGCTGGGATTACGGGCATGTGCCACCACACCTGGCTAATTTTGTATTTTTAGTAGAGACGGGGTTTCTCCATGTTGGTCAGGCTGGTCTCGAACTCCCGACCTCAGGTGATCCGCCCACCTCGACCTCCCAAAGTGCTGGGATTACAGGCATGAGCCACCGTGCCTGGCCAGCATATTTCTTTTTATTTGAAGAATACTGATATGATTTTTGCTGTGTGAGATAATTAGCTAAAGTGTCATATTTTGATGTGCACATTATTACTTTACTCACAGTTACAAACTGAACCTTAAATTTGACTGCCATTCTTTTAAATCTGTCTCCAAGATTACAAATAGCTAAGACTGTGGATGACTTTTCTAAGCTCATCACCACTGCTAAAACGAATTCAAAGTGAGTCTATATTAACAATGTGTGAGCAGTACATACTTGAGAACAAAAGATAGTATACTGTTATTAATAACAGTGCCCCCTAGCCAGCTATGTGTTTGGAATGCGGTGCAAATAGTTTAACCAAAGGGGTCTTTGTTCTTCACTCTCACAAAATTAAAAGTTGTATTAAAGCACATGCAATGGGTACTCAATACACTTCTCAAATACATTAGTATTTCTAAAGACTTTCTTTTACATTTCTAACACTCTATTTAGGCTTAACAATAGTAAAAATGTAATAAAAATTAGCCAAAAACTTTCTCCACAAAATTTTCACCAAATTTCACCTATTTATAAACTTCGGTATTGTGTTTTTTTTTTTTTAACGGCAATTGAATTTAAAGTTTAATTTGCATGAGACAGTTTATATTTTAACCCAAGGTGACTATGGTCTAAGATCTATTCTAAATAAATAATAAATTTTGCAGTAAAACGTTTATATTCTTCTTCCTTAAAAAATGGCTATTGAGATTTTCTCAAGCAATTAAACACCAGCTTTAAAAGTTAAGAGTATCTTAATAAAAAGCACTAATGCATTCATTTTACCATTTTGACAAATAAAAATAAGGTATCGGGAAGTACTGTTATCCCATTTGACCAAAGAGGAAACAAGCCCAATGATTATCAGTACCTATGTCCATAACATAACATGAAATATATTTTAGACAGGTGCTTCTAAATACATGATTCCCAAATACTTGACCTACTAGTACTAATTCAGTAAAACAACTGAGGTACACCTGCTAATATTGTTGCAACAAAACATTAAAGCATAAAACTAGCGTTTGGCTTTGCTTTAAAAATTGTTATTGTGACCAAAAATGCAGGCAAGTCTTCCAAAACACCAAAGTGATGAGTTAATTTATTCAAGAGTTACTACTCCTACGGCATTAATTCGTGAAAGGGATTTTTAACAGAGTACGCAAACCAAGAAGGGCCAGATTATCAAAATCTAACAGACTCTGCCAAGTTACCCATCCACTTCTGAATGGCTGGGCCATTCCTAAAGTGCTACCTGGTCAAAACGGACACAGATACCAAACAGCGCACCATCTGTGCCCAAGTGTTCAAACACAGCTCAAAACATCACAACAGCAACACAGTCTGTGAGGACCAATCTGCTATGGCAGCATTTCTAAAAAGGCATTCACAGTGCCAGGAAGTATTAAACAAGCACCTAGGCACTAATGAAAGGGATGAAGCCAGTGTCATTTCTGATCTTTTATTATAGTTATGTATGAATATCTTGTCTTCTTTTTGTGAGGGAAGCACCTTCTTGAAGAGGGCGTCTCTCTCCGACTCATCTTTGTGGTCACAAGGTGATAAATATTATATATATTATACGTTATAATATAATATAGGCCTCTGATATTAAGAGCGAACTAAACCTGGCATAGAAGAAGCTTAATCTAAGAGATTCCGCTACATTAGAAGACAATTCTGGGGAATGTGACCACTTGGGATTTCCTGTGCTACCCCTGATTGGGATGAGGCTCCATTTCCTTCTAAATGGTTAGTTTTATGAGATATCCTAATATATTTTTGTTTCTAAATCTCTCCCTCAGTTTGCATATTTCTTAGCGGATCTAAGTATACAGATTAACAGCTTATTGTGGTTATTCCATTTACAGTGTGTCTTGCAAGGATAAGAACTATGAAAAGGGTGAAAATTTCAGAGGGAAGTAATAATAACTTGCTGAGAAGTGCACAGCTCGAGTATTGGAGTTTATTGAGAGTAAGTTTTGACAAAAATGTCTTCATTTCCTTTTTTGTAAGATAAGGTATCTAGCCTAGTAGATCACAGAAACAAACATATAGACACGGTACAGAGATACAGTACCAAGGCATTTGACAAACCATTGCAAGAACAGAGAATTATGGATGGACTGACAAAGTAAAGGGTCCAGGACACCCTGGAGTGGTATTTATTGTACAGTGACATAGAATGATGACTTCATAAATAAAGAAATCCAAACTAAAGAGGTTTGCTTCCAGTAAGTGTAGACAAACCTTTTTCATACTCTTTTTCTAAAAAGAAATAGAAAAATTATGAGAAAACAAACACATACATCTATTTGAGGACATTCGAGGACTAAGGCAGCAAGAACTTGTGTTAAAGATCCAAAAGAGGCCGGGCGCCGTGGCTTACACCTGTAATCCCAGCACTTTGGGAGGCTGAGGTGGGCAGATTATGAGGTCAGGTGTTCGAAACCAGCCTGGCCAACATGGCGAAACCCCATCTCTACCAAAAATACAAAAAATTAGCCGGGCGTGGTGGCAGGTGCCTGTAGTCCCAGCTACTCCAAAAGCTGAGGCAGAAGAATCCCCTGAACCCAGGAAGCGGAGCTTGCAGTGAGCTGAGATAGCGCCACTGTACTCCAGCCTGGGAAACAGAGCAAGACTCCGCCAAAAAAAAAAAAAATCCAAAAGATAAGGGAAGCTCAGTGTCATAATCCAAACATCGCACTGTTTCTGCTTTTGAGGTATTTGCCCACACAACAGAGAAAGTGAAAGGCTGGGAGCATGCAGTGACTGAGCACCTGAGACACAGAGAAGGGCTGGCAGCTGCACAGAGCTAAGGCATAGGGAAGAGACGTGAAGTTCAGCATCTATCGAACGGAAGGGGCCCTGGTAAAACACCTCAAGAGTTCAACTGGGATTTTGAAGAGCTTTGCCCTAAAAGAAAAGGGAAACTGGAAATTGACCCGCCCTTAGAGAAGGACTGAAGCCCAGGCTACAGTCAGCTCAAATCATGATTATATTAAAATTACCTGACCCTGGCCTGACTACCTAAAACAAACAAAACTAAATCCTCTCTAGGATGACAAAGTGTTCAAAAATTACACATTAATGTGCAGAATTTGGGCAAGTAACTAGAAACAATTGAAAAATAATCAAATAGAAATTCTGAGATTAAAACTTTTTTTAATTTTAATAGAGATTATGTCTCGTTATGATGCCCAGGCTGGTCTTGAACATCTGGCATCAAGCGATCCTCCCACCTTGGCCTCCTAAAGTGCTGGGATTACAGGTGTAAGCCACTGCACCCAGGTTCAAATATAAGTTTTTGAACTGAAAAATACAATGTATTTAAGTTGATGTCAATAATAAAAGAAAATCTCCAATTGTTTGAAAATTAAGCAATGCACTCATATGAGAAATCATAAAGGAAGTTAGAAAATACTTTGATCTGAATAACAATGGAAATATAAAATTCAAAACTTGTGAGATGTAGGCAAAAGCCTGTGCATAAAGTAACTTAGAGACTTAGTGCAGACATAAGCAAGTAAGAAGGGCTGAAACTGGCAGTATCCACTGAGATATGTACAGTCAGGTGCCACATGTCCACATTTCCCTGCATATAAGACGGTATGTCTCGCACTGCCTTTTCTACCATTGGATAAGTTTAGACACAAATACCACTGTGTGTTATAATTCTAGGTACTGAATGTACTTACAATATGTACTTCCAGTACTCAGTACAGTATCATACGGTACAGGTTTGTAGCCTGGAAGCAATAGGCTATCCCATATAGCTGAGGTGTGTAGTAGCCCTATGATACGGGCTTGCATTAGTATACTCTGTGATGTTCACAGGACAAGGGAATTGCCTAACAATACACTTCTCAGAATGTATACCCGTTGTTAAGTGAGCCATGGTTGTATTTTTTTAAATAAATTGTATTGTGTATATTTGAGGCTTACAACATGATGTTATGGCATACATGGAGATAGTAAAATGATTACTATAGTGAATCAAATTAACATATCCATCAGCTCACACAGTTACCATTTTTTGTCACAAAATCTACTTATTTAACTTATTTAACAAGAATCCTAATACAATACAATGTTATTCCCTATAGTCCTCATGTTGTACATTCCATCTCTAGACTTGTTCATCCCACATATCTGCACCTTTTATCCTTTGAACCACACCTCACCATTTCATCTCCCCTCACCTCCGCCCCACCCCCGAGGTCCACGGTAACCACTGTTTTATTCTCTATCTCAGTATATTTGATCTCCTTTTAAGGGTCAACATATAAGTGTTCCACATATAATGCATAATAGATATGTACATTAAGGCATAATTTTTAATAATCAGAAATTGAAATAAACTTTAATGTACATCAATATTACGAGATAAAGAATTTATGGTATGTACACAAAAGTGGAACACTATACAGCAACAAAAATGAACGTGGATCTCGAAATGCTGTTGAGCAAGGCGAGCCATCAAATTAACACATACGGTATCCAGTCTTAGGAAGTTCAAAGCAGGTGAAAAATTAACCCTCAGTGCTCATGAGGCTAGTACCACCTTAATGGAGAGGTGAACTAATGAGGAGAAATCACGGTAATAACCTAGTTCATGACCAGGGGGTATTGGTTACATGAGTTTATTTACTTGGTGAACAGACTTCAATATTCTAAAAATCAAGGATAAACAAGTTCTGGCCTTAACATCAGTTTAGTTAAAAAGATTCAGGCCAAGATTCAGGAAACACCTCTCCATGAGGCATTATGAGCACCTAGTAAAGTCTGACTTAGACTTTTAAGTTGTGGGCATCTTGAAATATTGGGTTGTCTGACAAAACAGCAACTTGGCTTAACTCTGGAGGACAAAACTCAGCACAATGAGGGAAAGCAAGTTACAAGACTCAAATTTTGATTCAATATTCTAACTGCTAACAATAAAACTGCCCAATAGGCCAGGCGCAGTGACTCACACCTATAATCCCAGCACTTTGGGAGGCTAAGGCGGGCAGATAACTTGCAGTCAGGAGTTCAAGACCAATGTGACCAGCCTGGCCAACATGGTGAAACCCCATCTCTACTAAAAATACTAAAATTAGTTGTGCATAGTGGCACGCGCCTGTAATCCCAGCTACTCTGGAGGCTGAGGCGGGAGAATTGCTTGAACCCAGGAGGCGGAGATTGCAGTGCGCTAGCCTGGGTGACAGAGTGAGACTTCATCTCAAAAAAACAAACAAACAAACAAACAAAACACTACCCAATAGTGGAACACATTGTCTCAATAATAAAGACTATCCCACACTCTGAACTTGTTCACATCAAGGTAGAAGGACCACTCATCAGAGATAAGGGGAGGAGTTTTCTACACCAAATGGAGATGAGAACTGATCACTAAAGCCCCTTCCACAGCCTTCAGACTCTATGCATATGGGTCAACATAGAACCACAATTTAAAACTTCTTACCCTTAATCTTGTAGTGGAGATCTCAGCTTTTAAAATATCGGGATCATATTTAGTACTGGATGAAGATCCTGAGAATACTTTTATAGAGAAAAAAGAAAAACTAATTATTTACAAGTTGCATAACTAGTTCTCAGCTTAGAATTTACTGAAGCTAAAAACAAGATTTATGTGCTTCTGTGAATACTTGCTTTCTAATTCCTTTATTGCCATTGATCAGACACCTAAATATAAAAAGTTATCTTCAAACCTCTACCATTTTTTTTAACTCTGTAAAGAGAAATGTCATTAAGACCTTGGTGCTTAATTTTCTTCTGGATTTTATACACACTATGTCCTCAGAGGACTATACTGCAGCAGTATATCAGAGTTTTGCATTATCAAGGAATTTATAATTTAAGCAGAACTTCTGAGCTCATCACAGCTGCTTCTTTAAACAAAGCCAGCTCCAAATAGTCAATCTGTGAGATGAGGGAGCAGTAAATCAACTCAGATGGTCAACAGAAATTACACTCTAGGTAATAGTTCCAGTTCCTCCCCACTAAAAATATTGTACAAAAGTAGCAAAAAGGGCCAAACTACTTGCACTGTTCTGAAAAGGTAAAAATTAACTCGTAAATGCATAAAAGGCAACCTGGCAGAGGCAGGTGCAGAAACAGAAGGCATGCATAACCCCCAAACAGGGATTCTTTTATCTGAAGTAGGGGTGAGAAAATCTGGGGTGTGCCCTCACCTCTCAATGGTTTTGAGAGACTCTTCCTGCTTAGGAGGGAAAAGGACTCAAAATTAAACTCCATAGAAATGTAAGTGGTCTTCTGTTATCTACAATTCAGTCTCCACTTCCAAAGTCTGAATAGCCACACTGTACTTACAGCTTGTGTGAGAACTTGACTTTTCCTTATAGGCATCATTTAATCGCACGTATTCATCCAGGGCCAGCGCCAGCCTCTGCTCCTTCACATGGTACAGTTCCTTCTGTGTCCGGAGGGCATCCTGTGCCACAGAGAGGTAGTCCTTGAGCATCTTCTCCTGTTCCCCCCTCCATTGTTTTCTTGGATCTTCTATCTGCGTGGTTTCTGAAAACATTAGGTGGAGGGTACTTTTTAGAATTTAACTTTGTTTTCCGGCTTGTTTAAGCTTTAGGGAGTAGGCTAGCTTAAGTTCTTGTATCCTCTAAGGAGTTTATTTAGCTGTGCTGGAGTGACTTCTCCAGAAATTTTAGTTTTATTTTACCCAGTCTCATCAACTTCCTTCCTCTTCCAGGTTCTGATCAACAGTGTATTCTCACTATAAATCTACCACACACAATGTTGTCAATCAGATCATTCAAGAATTCTGTGGCTCCCCAGTGCCTACAGAATAAAAGCCAAGCTATTCATTCCAGCACTCAATGCCCTGCATAAGCTGGACCCAACCCACCTTCATTCACCTAATACAGGACTGTAGACACACTGCCCTCTGCATCAGCACTAATCAAAGTTGGTCTACTCTGCAGACCAACACCAGTCCATGAACTCAGTTTTATGTCCGCAACAGTAATGACAGAAATAGAAAACATTTTGTAATCATTATAGCGATTTTAGTCAGTTATTGTTTATCTGTTGATAAATACTATGCATTTCTTTGTGTGTATACATTTTCACTTTTCCAGTAATTCACTTTTTCTTGTATTTTACAAAAATATCAGTGAGTCCGCAGTGGATCTGAAATTTAAAAATAAACAAACAAACAGAACCCTGGTCCTGTTTATACAGAATGCTCTAGCCTAAGGCCCTGGTTCTTGCTTCTGCACTTCCACAAACTACAATCAACCAGAGACCCTTTTAAAAAAAAAAAACCCAGACCAACTAGAGTTTCTGTGGATGCAACCCAGGCACGGTAGATTTCAAAGCTGCTCAGGTGATTCCATTGAGCAGCCGAGCCCAAGAACCAGTGTTCTGCAACAGCATTCACATGCTGCCTCCTCCAGAAGGTGCCCCAGCCACCTCATCTGCAAGTCAGCCCTTTATCCTCTGTCTTCCATGGCAGCTTATGCTCAGTTTATAAACTCCAAACACATTCTTTACTGTGTGGTGAAGCTACAGTAGGGGCCACAAAACATGAAGAAAAACAAAAATGAAAGAATCAGATTACCCTAAACATTTTATGTTCTCACATTTTAAAATTAACATATTTTTTGACCACATGTTGGGCCAAGGAGTTGGAGTGTACTGCTGTCCAGCATTGGGATACCATGGTGTATACAAGAGAACGGACAGTTTTGGTGATGGTTAGTGCAGGCTGGTTAAGAGCTATCCCCCTGTGTCTGCAGACATGTACTGGACCCCTCTGCTGTGAAAGAAAGGAGAGTGGCCATTTGCCAGTAGAGGAAGGGGTTGAGAATGGGACAGAGTAAATAAAAGAGGTTTCCTGGATGCTGATGTTCTATTTCTTTCACCCATCGAAATTACACAGTTCACTTCTAAAATATTTGTTAAACTATGTTATTTCAGTCTATGCACTTTTCTGTGTGTAGTATTCAGTAATACATGTTTTAAAATAAAAGTGGAATAGTTCAAAGGCATAAAAACTATGGTATTGTGACTTAAGATCTCGTCTCTAGCAGGATATTGTATCCGAGTGGACCCCACTCCCAACAACAGCAAACACAAACAGGGGATAATTTGGGACAAAAAGAAGTATGGCTTTAATACAGAAAACACATGAAGCTTGATACACAAAAGGTTAATAGAGATTTTTAAAAAACAAAGCAAAACACAAAGAAGGCCATGGTGGAATAACAGGGCCACTGTAACTAGAAGATAAAATATATGAACAATGGTTTTCAGATGTTGGACAACAGGTAGTACAGGATTGTGATCTCTGAGAGAAGGGAAATGAACCCCACGATTACCCTACATTTCTGTCTGAAAGCACTTTTTGGACAGCAGTGCAAAGAGGGGTAACTCAAGCAGAGAAAGGAGGCACTGCTGAATTGCAGGGAGAGGGAAGCAGATTTCACGGAAGCCATGACAGGTGGAATTTGTAAAGCAAAGCACAGTAGAAGCTCCAGAGACTGGAGAAGTTCCAGAAATTTGCACAGGGGTCACAAGAAGTCTGTGAGTGAATGCTGAGATGACAACGGGAAATGCACAAGGCCAGGCAAAGGACAACTGGGACGCTATAGGCAGATAAATTCCCCGAGCTCACACAGGGCTGTGACAGTTTCAAATTATGACCAGCCAGAGGAGAAAGGCCACAGTGAACATCTAGGGAATCCAGTGGAGACCACAGCAAAGTTACACCTTAACAACAGAGCTAAATAAGACATAGGGTAAAGGCTACTCTGAACCTAACCTAACAAAGCTTTGAAACAAGCTTCTAAAAGACCAAGCTGGTCAGCAAGTAACTTAACTGCCGGTCAGAAGAAAAAAAATATAAAACTCCCTAAAAGGCACAAAACCTAGCACTCAATGAAAACAACAACAACAAAACCAACTTTATAATGTCTAGCATCCACTATAATGTTACCAACATAAAAAGCACAAAAATATGGCCCATAATCTGGAGAAAAATCAGTCAATAGAAACAGATCTCGAAATGTAGAAAGGATGGAATAAGCATAATCTAGATAAAACAGCTATGTTGCAACAGAATAGAGTCCAAAAATAAACCTGCACATCTACTGACTATTGTGCAAATAGCCAGTAAGCAGATGAAAGGAGACTCAACATCACTAATTATCAGCGAAATACAAGTCAAAACTATAATGGGATACCATTGCTCACTATGTAAAATGGCTAGAATTTAAAAACTGGCAATGCCAAGTGTTGAAGAGGATGTGGTGCAATTGGAATTCTCATTCATTGCTACCGGGAATCTAAAATGGTCCAATCACTTTGGAGAACAACTTAGCAATTACCATACAACCTAGCAATCCTACAACTTGTTATTTACCCAAGAGATATGAAAATATGTATCTACAAAAAGACCTCTAAACAAATGCTCATTAGCAGCTTTATTCATAATAGACAAAACTATTACAGGTAATGGCTAAGCAAACTGTGGTATATCCATACAATAAAATACTACTCAGCAATAAAATGAAACAAAATACTCAACAGCAATATATAAGACTCTCAAACACATGTTGAGTGAAAAGATGCCAGACACAAAAGACCACATGCTGTATGATTCCATTTATATGAAATTCGGGCAAAAGTAAAGCCAATCCAATGACAGAAAGTGATTGCCTGGGCCCAGCAGTACTGAGAAGTACTTGTTACAACAGAGCAAGAAGAAAGCTCTTTTTGAGGGGATGGAAATGTTCCCTATCTTGATTATTGTGATAGTTACATGGTATACACCTGTCAAAACTCATGAATTGTATAGTGAAAATAGATGCAATTTATGTATTTGTATATAATAATAAAGCTGATTTACAGTTTATTATTAAAATATGCTTTACAAGGTTCAAATGAATGACTGATGATGACTGATAAAGAGAAATGAGGTATAATGGAACAGCAATAAAATCCTTTGCCACTACCAGCTGTTGAAAAGAGCACTGGTTAGGGAGTAAGGCCGTGTGGGTTCCATATCCACCTAGCCAGATGTGAGACTCTAAGTATTTTACCTCTCTTACTCTCATGTCTCTCGATTGTAAAAAGAGGCTGAAATATGGACGAATATTTTCTGATGCAGCCTTTGTAGCAGACACTGTTGGTGTCCTATCCTGGTATTCTCGGGTCTTTCTGCCACAGCCTGCTGTTTGTTGTTGATGGATGTCTGACTGCTCTAGAGCACTTCGCTAACTCACCTGCAGCCAATGACTGACAAGTGAAGAAGACAGAAAGAACTCCCAGGTAGGGCAAACTCTGAGGTAGAAATTGTACTTTAGAGCCACCACAATCATGTGGAGTCAGAGACTTTGCAGAAATAAAACCTTCAGCTGTTTTTTTCCCTCCACTTTCTTTCTTTCCTCATTTCCTTACTGGTTTATCCTGGGATTTCCTTCATAAACCACTTTCACTTAAATTCTTGGCTTAGGGTTTGCTTCTGAGAGAACTCAACCCAACATACCCTTGTATAATCTATGCAAATGGAAACTGAAGAAGTTTGGTCTTGGACTGTACTACTCATACCCTCCTGTGATGGCGGCTCTTAGTAACACTGTGTGTATGGGCAAGGCAGGGGAGAAATGAGAGGAAGAATCGCTCTTGAAAACAAAAAAGGAAAATAAACCTGTCATTAATAGAGAAATGTAACGGCAAGTTCTAGCAATTGTTTTCTAAGATTCTACTAGAGAACTGAATAAATACGCAGCTCTGGTTATTGTAAAAACAAAATTAGATTAAGGCACAGCCTAACTGACTCAATAAAATCATTTTTGTGTACCATTAGTAACAGTACTCTTAGATTTTAAGCCCTTGATGTCATATCATACCTGAAAATACTTCCACAGCCCACTCAGAGTTCCACAACCCCTTTCTTAGGGGTGTAGAGAGTGTACATTAGTCAGCCCAGGCCACACTGGAAATGAAAGGAGTGGATACAGAAGGACTATGGAACATATAAAAGGAAAGTGTTCCAATAAGAACCTCAGCACTTATTACTAGAAGGGGATGAGGAGGTACAGAGGTGCAGGAGGAAGAAGAAAAAAACAAAATGATATGGTAGCACTACCACCTGGGTGATAATGCGGGTACCTCAGAAGGGCTGAGGTACCCGCATTGTGAAAAACTAAACAGGAAAAGGAGGGATAACTCTTCCTTCCACCTAATACCTGAATAATTAAAATGATTCCATATTGGAATGTACATTGAGAATACTGAGACTCAGGTCATAATGAAAGTTTAAAAAAAAAAAAAAAGCAAATGAATTATTTTGAGTCCTGAGGAAGTTATAAGAATACGAATACTGGAAAAAAGAACTGAGATGTAATATCCCAGTAGTTAAGATCATAAACCCTGTATTCAGTCTAACTGGGTTCAAATTCAGGTGTGTCATTTACAAATTGTGTGACCTTGAGCAGGTTCTTAAACCTTTCCAGGGTTCAATTTCCTCCTTAATAAAATGGAGCTAATTCAGGGGGCTGTTTGGAAGATTAAATGAGATACTGCAAAATATAAAAAGCCTTTAACGCTAGTAAGCTATAACACTGTCTCTGATACTCAGATTGCAAAAGCAAAGAAATTATAAAGTCACATTCCTTTCCCCAGCCTTGACTCCAGAGAGCATCTGTGTCTAGAACTAAGGCTCCACAGATCACTCTGCACCCATGTTAACCTACCCTGGCTTGAACCAGCTGATGAAAATGGGATAGAGTCAGCTGTAACAAATGAATTATATATACATATGCTCAACACTTCCCCTCAATCTGTGCACATGGCAGCAACACCGGAGAAAAAAGAGACTTGTAACTTAATAAATTATAAAATTATATCCACTCTGCTCCCTCTTCCTTTAGTGGAATTTGCACACTCCACCACATATGTATTTATACAAGATGTCAGGGGCAGATCAGCAGATGAGACCGAAAAACAATCAAGAAAATATTTCTTCTCAAAGTTTCTTAGTATGACACATAATGTTGCACTTTCCATTTGTCAGTGGATGGTGTATTGATCATTTTTTAAAATTTTATATATTTTATGATGCTTTGATGTCTTGGGGGCCTTGCTGTCTGGGAAGAGACTGCCCCTCCCAGGGCTAATTTAATTCTTAGAGATAGCAAATGACTCCCATGAGCCCATCCTTCATATGTAAACCAACAGTCCAAAAGCCCATATCCCTAACCTCCTCTTTTATCTAACTCAGACTCCAAACCAATATTTCCCCTGCCCTACACCACCCCCCAGAGAAGATACTGGACAACTAGAGACCATTCCCATAACCCAGAGTCTGCCGAAATTATTCAACCTAGCCAATCCTAAACTTGCTCAGATTTGCCTACCCTGCCTCACTCATTCCTTCCCCAGGAAACCACAATACAGGCTCTGGGCCATGATTTCTCCTCTGCTCCTTCTGCCTTCCAACCAACCCAAGCGCTTCCCCACTATGTGGCCCAGAATGGTGTAGTATGCCCCCTTCCCTTGAGAACTATAATAAAACTTCTTTCAATGGCACTGACCTCTTCCCATCATCACTCAGTCACCTCTATAAATTAAATCCTGGGTATAATCAAAACAAGATGGGCCATGGGGCTGGCCACTATATGAACGTAAGAACCTGTTCCTGATAGATTAGAATAGAAATACTATCAATTTTCTGGAATGCCCAGGGGCATATACTGTCTTCAAAAAGCTTTGCCTGGTAATCTCAATCTTAATGCAGCCCAACGAAGTATTTCTGGTTGGCCCCAAGAGCTACAGCAAGTCAAAACCTAGAGAATAATCTGCTATATTTATTTGTTATTTGTTCGTTAATAAGTCAGAGGGCATCTGACTTGGCCCACAGGAATTTCCAGAGACCAGACTGGTTCTGTGGGTGTTTAACCTGGCCTCTAGGGATAAGGGATGACTCTAAGCTAAAGTGATTCAGGCTGTGAAGGCTGGGTCCTTTTGAGGCCAAGAGAAGCCCTGGGTGATCAACAAAATGGCCTGAGTCGGACGGGCACAGTGCAACCACTGCTTTAGACCTAGAGCTCTTGCCTCACACTCACTGGCTAAAGTTGAGCTTTCTCTAAAGTAGTATTTTAAACACTAATTTTAAAGATGTAAATATTTAAATATGCAGAAGATGTATATCTCACCTAACTGTGAAAAAAAACAAACAAACTGTATGCTAGAGCTGATGTCTAAACAAGAGATGTACAGGATGGACAGACCCTCCAGCCAAGAATCTTCAAGGACATCACCACCACAAGGCAGCCCAGCCATCTGGAGAATGTGGGAGATGGGCAGAGATCAGTCAATAAGAGTCCAAACTTCTCAGGTTCAAATATTCATTATAACTCAGGTCTCTGAATATCCTAATATTTAATACCTATATCTATTTCCAATATTTATATATGTGAGTGCAACCTGCCTCAAAGTACAGAATTCATCCTCTAACGAACATAAATGTGTGGTCTTCAAAAGTTTTCAGAACTGTAGATGACTCCCAATAATCCTCATCTCCTAGTAATTTATGCCTCTTGAGTATGCGCTAGATCTGATGGCTTGCTTCTAATGAACAGAACATAGAATAAGTGACAAGATATTACTTCTGAGATTAGGTTACAAAAGACTGTGCTGTTGTCCTGCTCACTCTCTCTCTCCCTGATTCTTCTTGGCTTTTTGGCTCTAACAAAGCAAGCTGCCCCGTTGTGAGCTGTCCTGTGGAGAGGCCCACGTGGCATGGAATGAGGGAGGCCTGTGGCCAGCAGCCAGCAAGGAAGTGAATCCTGCCAACAACCGTACGAGTGGCTTGGAAGCAAATCTTTCTCCAGTCAGCCTTGAGATGACTGCAGCCTGGCTGACACCTTGATTGCAAACTACCACAGAGACCTTGAGCCAGAGTATCCAGCTAAGTCTTGCCTAGATTCATGGCCCACAGAAACCATGAGATAATAAATATTATTTTAAACCACTAAGTTTTGGAACAATTTGTGACAATGAGATATATAATTAATAAACTAATAAAGAGATAATAAAAATTAAAAATGTATGTTAAAAATCTGAAATGTTCTTAAGTTATAATAATTATAAGATATGTACTCTCAGTTCTCTCTCAATCTTTTGAGGTTTCAGCCAATCATATTTCCCTCCATCTTGGGGACACGGTATATTTCAATAAAATACTTGTCACTGGCTAAAATGCCACGAAACACTGACTGACACTTAAATGAATAAAGGGCAATAATGATGATGATAATAAACTATCAGCATTTGTCTTGGATAGGTCAGGAAAAACACTCCAGTAGACTGGTTTAAACACCGCATATTACAAGAGAGTCAGTGGGAAGCATTCTCATTTCTGAAATACTGCACAATTCAAATATGAACTACAAAAGAGGGTTCCCAAAGCCACCTTAGAAGGCTTCATAAAGCAGGATGGTGCTTCATCTCCATCGTTGTATTTGCAGAATAGATTTGTGAAGATTATTTTTTAAATGTAAATACTCAAGTATATTACACAAATGTGGTATTTTTTATTAAGACCCAGTGGCCTTGGGAGCTCATGGCATTATAATATAATTTGCTGTTTTCTACTATATTAAAGAAGCAATATATAATACTGTCAAAATGCCCTGTACCTCAAGGGAATTCACATTCCATCAGTTTTATAGATGTGAAACTTTATAGGTAGAGAACACATGTGAATTACAAGAGCTTATCATGGAAGATAACATTAGATTCTTCAAAGAAGATTTTTTTTGTCTATAATGCATATTTCTGTTCTTCCTACTGTGCTTAGGAAGAATAAATCAAATGAATATAAGTAACTTTCCTTATCTTCCTTTTTATAAAGTATCTGCTATATTCATTTATTATTTGTTCGTTAATTTCTACAGACAATTATTGGCCATCTACTACAGGGTTTGGAAAAATAAGATAATCGGGCATGATCCCTCCTTCCAAGAAACTTACAAAATGTAGAAGAAATAGTGACATAGATGTACGCAGAACACAATTAATGCCTTGAGCGGAGAATGGCTATGTGCATGGCTAGTGTATGAGTGGCTAGTACCATGGCAGTTTAGAGACAAATGCGTTTCTTCTGGCTGAAAAGAGTACAGTTCCGTGGAACAGGCTTAATTAAAGAGGGCTTTGAAAGATTCCCGACAAAAGAACCTGGCCCGTTCCCTGCCCCAGTCAAAACCCCCGGTTACCCCAGTCACACCAGCCTTCAGCTGCACTGAATTTCCTGCATGTCTTTCCTCAAGTCCTGCTTTCCTCAAGTCCTGCTTCTTGAGACCTTTGAATCTACTTGTGGTCCTCCTTCTTCCCCACCGTCTTTTTCTCCAGCCTGGTTAACTCAGTCATCTCTTTGGTTTCAGCTTAAAGCACTTTCTCCAAGTAGATGTGGCTACACTCTTTAGAATGGAAAGGCTGCTTCTTCATGTTTCCCCATCTTCTCCTGGCATGGTGGTGGTCCTTTCCTTATTTCACTACACATTCTCATTTCTTTACCAATACCCCAAGAAGGACTAGCCTATGATCTCTTGAATGTCCAGTAAATGAATATGAAACTCATTTTGAAAGCAGTAATGTGCCACAAAAGGGTTTTATGCAAGAGCACAAAAGGAACCTTTTTTTTTTTTTTTTTTTTTTTTTTAAAGAGACGAGGTCTTATATGTTACCAAGACTGGCCTTGAGCTCTTAGGCTCTAGCGATCTTCCCACCTCACCCTCCTGAGTAGCTGGGACTACAAGCAAGAGCTACCATGCTCAGCTTCAAAGAATCTTGACTATATTCTATGAAAATCATCTGACAGAAATGTGAAGTTCTATTATCAAAAGAATTGATATCATGGTGCAAAAAATTTTTTGGTGAAAATTATACATTAAATGAAAAAGTTTATAAAACAGTATATATAATATAATCCCATTTGCGATGTAAAATACATTTAAAGCTGTGTGTGAGGTGGGGAGATTCCTTGAGGTCAGATTTAAGACCAGTCTGGGCAACACAGAGAGATGCCATCTCTACCCCCAAAAAATGAAAACAAAAATAAATTTTAAGAAACTGTGTATATGTGCATGTGTGTATCAATATGAAAAAGTCTGGAAGGATACACGTCAGAAGATTTAGAATACTTAGTTAACTCTGGGTTGTATGAACATAGATAATTTTTCTTCTTTTCATTTATCTATATTTTCTACTTTTCTCCTATATACCATTACTTTTCGTTTGTTTGTTCTTGAGACAGGGTCTCACTCTGTCAACCAGGCTGGAGTGCAGTGGTGTGATCACAGCGCATTGCAGCCTTGAACTCCTAGGCTCCAGCAATCTGCCCACCTCAGCCTCCCAAGTAGGTGCGACCACAGGTGCAAACTGCCTCCCAAGTAGTTGGGACTACAGGTGCAAACTGCAAAACACGCTGAAAGAATCTATTCCCAAAACTGAACACAATCCTTTTACATGAAGTTCCAGAACAGACAAAACTAAGCTATGGTGATAGAAATCAGAACAATGTCTGCCGCAGTAGGGAGGGCTGACTGGAAAGGGGCAGGACAGAACTTACCAGGGTGACGGACAAAGTTTGTACCTTGATGCGGGGGCAAGTTACAAAGGACTATACATACGTCAAAGTCCACCCAAAATACACGCTTAAAATCAGTGCATTTTTGTGTATGTAAATGAAACCTTGATTACTAAAAGAAAAAAAATTACAGTACAACTCTGACTCTACCAAAAAGTGATTTACTTCTGGTTGTATTAATAATATCAAAACCTTATAAACCATACCTCCTTATTTACCTTCTAGTTAGCTGCAAACATCCCTCACTGATATCTACACCCCCACTCCACATATACCCACTGGAAGGTGAATATGATCATACAACACTGATGGCCTAAAATAACTTTCACAGTCAAGGTCAAATCTTTTACTTCTAAATATTCAATAGTGTTTCTTAGAAATAGTGTTAAACAGCCAAACATTCCTTATTTCATTTTTTATTTAAATAATGAGAAAATGATGCTGAAACTATACGATGTCAGAACACAACATATGTGTGGAACAGCTGTTTGAGAAGATAATACCATTTGCTTCCTAAACTACTTCACAGGAATGTCTTGAAGATTAATGAGACAATGGACCAGATCGTTTTCAGTGGGTGAACTGTTTGCTGTCGGTCATTTGGGTACAACAGATCACCAGAATACCATTACCATTACAGCAAAATAGCAGACTTAAAATTTTATATTCTAATAGTGAAGTTTTAAAATATTCAAAATGGTGTTTTTTGACACATAATTTATACTTGAAATGTACTTTAATTCCTTTAAATAACAGAAAGCTTTTGATTGCTGAGTTAAGCAATAAAGCTCTTCTTTTTAACATTTTAAGAGTTTATCATTATACTAGTTGCCCAGCGATGAAAACATAAAAGATGCAGTCATTGCCCTTAAGAAGCTCACAATTTAGTGAGGAAAACATACAAAAAATAATATAAATGCAATATGAAAATGCTTTTTAAAAAAATCCCTATGCACCTGGTCCTCTGGAAATATCTGGATGGGGCACTCGACCAGAATGGGACGGGGACCTGTGAGGTGGAGGGGTGGGTATCAGAGAAGGCCTGTGGGAAGCAGTGGCACCTGAGCAGACTGCCCCTAGAAGGATGTGGCCTTCAGACAAAGGGAGGGCCTAGGGGCTGTGCAGAGAGTGCTCAGGCTAGACTCTACAGATGCAAAGAAAGGCAGCCAGCTGAGGAGGCACAGGGTCCTCCTAAAGGCCTCCAGTGCCAGGCAGGGCAGGAGATGAAAAAGGAGAGGCCGGTGCAAGCAGACTAGGAAGAGCCTTCTAGCAAGGAATAGAACACATGCATCTGGACTCTGGGAAAGACTTAGACAGATGTGGCAGCCAGCAGTCTGAAGGAAGTAACTGAAGTTATCACCCAAGGAGATCTGCAGCATGCAAACAGCAGAAGACTAAAGACTATTACAGAAATCCTGACAGCAGGTCCCGGTGAAGAAGAAAGAGGCAAAAGAAAGCTGGGCAGGTGTGGTCACGTATGTGAACAGTATGTCACAAAATCCAAAGAGTAAAGAGCAGGAGGGAATAACTCACAGTGGCAAGTCACAGAGACAAGACTACAGTGTTGTTTGGATTTGATAGTTTGTAGGGTGTATTAGACCCTTCTTGCCTTGTTATAAAGGAATACCTGAGACTGAGTAATTTATGAAGAAAAGAGGTTTAATTAACTCACGGTTCTGCAGGATATACAAGCACGGCCCCAGTGTCTACTGGGCTCCTGGGGAGGCCTCAGGGAACTTTTACTCTTGGCGGAAGGCAAAGCGGGAGCACCACATTATGTGGTGAGAGAGGAAGCAAGAGAGTAAGCGGAAGATGCTTCACACCTTCAAACAGACAGATCTCGTGAGAACTCACTGCAGCAAAGACAGCACCAAGGGGATGGCACTAAACCAGGAGAAATCCACTCCCACGATCCAATCACCTCCCATCAGGCCCTACCTCCAACACTGGAGATTACATTTCAGCATGAGATTTAGATGGGACAAATATCCAAACTACATCGTGGGGTCTCGGGTGCCCTCAGCAAGAACAGGTTCTGTGAGATGGTGGAGAACAATGGAGGAAGTGGAGTTCTTGCAGACTACAGCTTTCAGCAAGTCTGGCTGTGAAGGGAAGAGGAGGCAACCACAGTTGGCAAGGGATTCTGGTTGAAGGATGGTTTTGAGAGGGTGACGAAAGGGAGTTTAATGCCATCTGTTTGTATTTCTTTTGCAGTTTTGGTTTTGTTTTGAGAGTTTCCAGTGTTTATACATTAAGACAAAAGAATCATTTATTAATAGAAATGGTGGGAGAACATTTTAAAATCAGGAAATAACTAGTAAAGATACCAAACAGGAGAGAATGATGAAATAGAAAAGTTATTAAGAGGTATCTGTAGGGGTGGAGGTGTCCAGAGGAATGCCTCCTTCACTGAGAAAGAGGAGGAAGCCCTGAAGGTGGGTTTAGATACCAAAGAGTTTGTAGGTGTTGAGAAGGAGGCTAAGAGGATTTCTTTTCTCATTTTGGTACCAACAGAGCTTATTTTTGTTGACCCAGGATGGCGAGGTTGGTTTCTGGTTTCCCAAATACTACTTTAAGGAAAGAAAGCTACACAATTATTCATCTAAAATAAGCATAAAAGTGAGAGTTAAATAGTTAATACATTTCAGATATTTCACTGACTTGTTTATTTGCAATGACATAAGGGTGAGACACCGTGCTTAAAGTGAACTGAATTTTATCAAAATTAGTTCATTTCACCCTTACAGATGACATTTGGTTGTCAGTGACTGATACACAATAAAACCTGGTATATACTAATACAGTATATCAATAAACATTTATTAGAAAAATTAAAAGCTAACTTAAAAACACAATCATTGATTCTTCATAGAACTTTCAGAAACTTTCAGGGAGAGATAAATAATAGCTCTACAAAAAAGTCGCATTTCTTCTGATCATATAAAAGAGGCTGAGGTAACAACTTGTAGAAACTATTATTTGTATTTGTGTTGAACTAATAATGTACAGTATACATGAAAGCTGGTTCCCAAGCTGTGTATGACAGGTGTTCTACTGAAACAGATCACTAACCATATGTGCTCACTGGACTTCAGAGTGCTTACGCTCCTTTCTGCCCTTCCACCTCACCCGCCTGGAAGATGGTGCCTCACAGCTAATAATACAGGCTTTTTTGGCCTCTTGAGAAATACATCATCTACCTACACAAGGGCAGCTGCAAGCCATCACTAATGAGTGAGTATCAAATGAAACACTTTGCTACAGTGATACTGTTCCTAAAGATACTACAGAGTACTACATATACAAATTTTAAATATAAGAATAGATCTAAAAGAAATAAGACAATGAGGAATAAATTCATTATGTATTCCGCAAAACTTATAAAAATAAAATAATTATTTTTAAGTGAATAAGCAAAGTGAATGAGTATTGTATGCTACCATCTGAATACATTTTTAAAGGAGTAGATAGAGTGCTAGATATTCATATAAACACACACACACAAACATACACAAATATATAAAAAATATTTCAAAGTATGTGTTTTTGAAAGTCATTCACGGCCACAGTAATCCTCTGCCCTAGACTGACCATGTCAGAGATATGACAGATTTAAGAGCTGTTAAAATGAGAGGTTTTTCCCTTCCAACGACAAAGAAATCAGGAAACAGAAAAAAGGAAGAGGTTTAGGACCTTTCCCAGCTACGCTATGTCTTCCAGAGCCACTGATGCAGGCCAACCCCTCCCCAGTCCCAGCCTACAAACCACATTGTGCCAACGCCCAAGTCTTTCTGTGGCAAACACAAGGAAAGGAAGAGCCTGTCAGAAGGTGCAGTGGCCATGGAAAGAGGAGCCCAGCAGCTCTGATCCCCACAGGTTCCCAGACCTGTGCTGAAGGAGAATCCTCATTCCCCAGCAGGCAGGCAGGCAGGCAGGCACACGGGCCAGATACCCTTTCTCCCTCTCCGCCCCCATAAGGACAACTCTATGTACATGCCCCAAATACCAAGACAGGCACTTCAGTTAAATATTAGTCACTAAGAAAATGGGGTTTTGGAAATTCACTTTGTAACATGTTTATTCTTTTGTGTGACTGTAGGTTTTGGGGGATTACTTTTCTGATATGTTTGCTTTTACCAAAAAGGAAAACTTACTGTTGATGTGATCGATGTAGTAGACACCAATCTGAGGGTCAAACCCTGCTTCCCATCCCCACGGCAGCTCATCCCCAACACAATCAGCAAATGACAAGGGCTTCGTTAACCTACAACAAACCAGAATTGACACACCAGTGATTCTTTCCGTCAAACCGCATATGTCAAAATTCAGCACCCTAACCACAAGTGTCTAGGTTGCATTTAAAATCTTAAAGAAAAAAAAAAACCAAGGATAAAATACAGATGTATATATCCAAAAAAGTAGGACAAGTCGTAATACCCTTTTGAAAGTTCACTGCTTAATATTTGGAGATAAATCTATACACTAAATAAATAAAGGCATCCTAAATCAGGGAGAACGCCAAGCTGAGAGTGAGGAAGCTTGGGATCTAGCTCTAGCTCTGCAGTGAAACAGATACCCCATTAAAAAGAAAAATGTGTCCCAAGATTCAAATACTGGTATCATGAAAATCCTATCAGTAGCATGGAGACAAGATCCACATCAGGTTACACTAATTTCAGACTGGATGCCCATTTATAAATTAACTAAACATTCAACTGTGAAGGCTACTATAAGTTCTCCTTGAGAGGAAGGACAAATTTTTTTTATAAGTATCTTGTACATAACAGTCACTCAACAAAATTTTTAACTGAACCAAATACACCAAGTATTCATTCATATATCAATGTGATCTCACCTTCTGAAATTGCTTTATACTCTCTCTTAAGACCATTTTTTTCTTTAAGACGCTTTCTCTGTAGGATTTTTCTCTTTAAAACTAATGAAGAAACCACACAGTTTCCTAAGCAGAGTACAGGTTTCAGACTTAATTACAATAGATTTTTTTTTTCTCACTCTCTTGCATTTTGCTTTTGAGATTTTCCTTGGCTACTGGAGCGGCCATGGGCAGGTTAACACCACAGATGCCTTGCTGGAGTGTGGCCACCATCAGTCAACACATTTTCTAATTTAATGCACTAGCACCACTAGCATGGTTCTTACATACAAAATCTCCTGGAATCCCTTTTATCCAAAGATCTCACAGTTCAACTGAAATATAGGTCATTTTCAGAATCACATCATTCATCAGAATAACAAAGTACATCATCCACCCTTCAGAATGCTCAAGAATGATATAAAAAGGAGGAAAATTCTTTTTTTCCAGGCCTGCTCTGCAATAGTCCTCCAAGGACAAAAAACACCAGTAGATGAAAGGAAGGGTCTACTTTTCTTTCAACCTTCCTATAGCACGAAATCTCTCCTTCTGGAGATGGCTCCAAAGAAGACACTGGCCTTCCAAACCAGCTCAGCAGACAGAAGCAATAATGAGGGTAACCTGCTCTACCACTGACTCACTGTGAGACCACTTACTGGGCACCTCTTCCTACTTCAGTTTCCTTCTCTTTGAAGTAGTGAGTATAACCTCACGTACTCTCCCTGCAATTTAACTAGCTCCTAAAATAAACTCAGGATAAAAAGGAATTAACTTGGAAGAGCATCCAGGACATTATAAGTAGTCAATAAATGTCAGTGATTATTAACACAAGCACATGTGAATTCTCTCATTTATCCCTCAGAGGAATCAAGTCAGGCAGCACAGCATAGAACTGTGGTTCTTAGAATATAGTTCCCAGAAACAGCAGCATAAACATCTGGGACCTTGTTACAAATACAAATTCTGGTTGGGCACCGTGGCTCACGCCTGTAATTCCAACACTTTGGGAGGCTGAGGCAGGAGGATGGCTGAGACCAGGAGTTCAAGACCAGCCTGGGCGACACAGTGAGACCCTGTCTCTAAAAAAATAAAAAATTAGCCAGGCATTGTGGCTCATGCCTGTAATCTCCGCACTCTGGGAAGCCAAGATGGGAGCATCACCTGAGCCCAGGAGTTCAAGGCTGCAGTGAGCCATGATCGCACCACTGAATTCCAGCCTGGGCAACAGAGCAAGACCCTGTCTCTAAAAAAAAACTAAAATGATTAAAAAAAAATAATAGAAATAATACAAATTCTTGAGCCCTATTGTAGAATCAGAAACTCTAAGTCCCAGCAATGTATGCTTTCCAGGTAATTCTGCTCCACACTAAAGTGCGGGAACCACCGGCTTAGAAGTTAAGAGCTTGAAATTTGGCATCAAAGAGATCTGGGCTCAAATCTTTATTCTGCCACTTACTCACTATACAACCTAGAGCAAGTTATTAGCCTTAAAAGCCCTAGCTTCCTAATGTATTTTTTAAGGGGGTAGGAGGAAAGATTAAGTTTAGATGAGAACTAAACAGTATAACACCCGAGAAATGGTAAGCTTCAATATATGTTAGATGAGTAAAATGAATCTCAAACATGTTAAGCAATGTGCCCAAATATGGAAACTGGCCATATTTACTTTGTAAACATGGAGTGTATTTGAACTCAATCTGAGTTCAAATGCAAAACATTTTATTCTTAGAATTGTGCTCAAATTCTGTCTTCTATCAAAAACTGCCCTGGAAAATTGATTTTTCTTTTGACAAAGAGTGAGATACCATATCAAAAATTCCTACACCCTAGGACACCTCCTTGTCTACATACATGGTCTCTTTGACTACCTCAATAAAGCAACTAGATAGAGCTCTGGTGCCAGGTCACCCTCTGTATCACTGTTTGATGATTCTCTTTCATTAACTCCATTATCAATGCTGTCTAAAAGGCACATGCATCCTAAAGAAATGAAGAAGGAGAAAACACGAGAACGGTAAGTTTAAGTGCCAAAAGAGAAATATTAGACCAGTATTACCCAGGCACCAATTCAATGTGCTTAAGCGTGAGTATGACAGGAATATATTTATTACTTTAAGAATAGGAAGTTATAAAAGCTTGAGAGCATGTGCTATGATTACAAGTTAATAGTAACTTGATTACATTTGGAAATAATCCAGTTTGTTCCACTAACTGGTTAGCAGATAAGCATTTAATTGTCACTGTTCTAAGACTACAATTACATCTACAGGTATACATGTACTTGTGAACTCTGAAAAATTCAGAAGATTCCATTCTTAAAATTTTTAATATAAAAATTTCTTTGCAGAGTTCCTTCAAATATAAATTTAATACTTTATTTTCTATATATGGATAAATATATATACTTTCTCTGCACTCTATCAATAAGTAAAACCATTACATAGATATTTGTAAATATTAAAGTTTTAGGACTGAATTCTTATGCAAATTATAAAATATAAATAGAACAACATTCTCAGGTTCCAAACAAATTAAGTACCCAATTATGGTGCTATCCTGATAAAAAGAAAATATTACTATGACGTACTAAGAGGTAACACAAAGCAAAAAGAACTAACAGATGTATTCCAAAATTACAAACAATATAAATTAAAACAAATACAGTGAACGGAAATGTTAATTAACTTTTAAATTTCTTCCTCTTGTTGTGCACAAGGAATTTCTTACACATTCAAGCTTTCTTTGATGTTAAGTCAGTAAAAATGGATGGAGTTTGTTTTTGGTTGGTTCCCTGCAAAGGAGCAACAACAAGCAACAACAACAATAACAACAAAATCCTGAAATTAACTAGAGTCTTAATGCTGAATTCCAGAGATTACTCTTTGCTTAAAAAGGTCTTCCTTTGCACCATGCAAAGGAATTTCATATTATGAAGAAAACGGTAATTTACTGCAGCACTTTGCCAACGTTTATATGCAAAATTTAACTCTGTGTGGTATTTCTTCTCCTTGCTGGCATTATATCATTCTTTCACAGTCATTTAATATTTATTGTCAACTCAAATACATGTCCTACGACATGAGATGCCACACAGTGATGTATTTGTTCACTTCACAATTACATGATGGTGAGTACAAGCACAACTCCAAAAAAACCTGAGTTTGTACTAACTGCACTAAATGAATAAGCACTTAAAAAAAACATTTCAGGTTACTAAAACTCTTGCCACAATTCAGAGCCTCCCAAATGTACAGTTTAGCACACACATTAAAAGTCTTAACAGTTATTTTTACTTTGTAGCATCTGCTGTTCTCATTGTTTAGCTAACACAAAGCAGAGCGAATCCTGTCAACTGCTTATGATTACTACAGAATCTGCTCACAGAAACATCACTGAATTGCTCTAAGAGAACAGGGAGGAAGTAAAGATGTGTTTCACAACTTGAATTTTAAAGCAAGGATAAAGCACTAGAAATCTTTCCACAGTCCTAAAAGAATCTTCATTTATAATGATGTCAATTAGTTCCCTCGAAATAACTTTTTTTTTTTTTTTTGAGACTGAGTCTCGCTCTATCACCCAGGCCACAGTGCAGTGGCGCGATCTCGGCTCACTGCAACCTCCACCTCCCTGGTTCAAGCAATTCCCCTGCCTCAGCCTCTCGAGTAGCTGGGATTGCAGGCGCCCGCCACCACGCCTGGCTAATTTTTTTGTATTTTTAGTAGAGACGGGGTTTCACCATGTTGGCCTGACTGGTCTCAAACTCCTGACCTCAGGCAATCCACCTCCCTCAGCCTCCCAAAGTGCTAGGATTACAGGCATGAGCCACTGCGCCTGGCCAACAACTTCTATCTATCACTAGATAGGGAAACTAGCAACACAAAGAAACAAACAAAGGAAAATAGTAGAAAACAGTGGATGGAGGCAACAAGAAAAAAAATGGCTTTCAAGAAAAATTATACAAACCACTTTGGAAGATAATAATGAGATTCCTTCCCTGTGTGTGAGGAAATTAGCTTAAATGATTGGAAGGAAGTCATATTAGAGGGGCAGGCACGGTGGTTCATGCCTGTAATCTCAGCACTTTGGGAGGCCAAGGTGGACGGATCACCTGAGGTCAGGAGTTCGAGACCAGCCTGGCCAACTTGGTGAAACCCCCGTCTCTACTAAAAATACAAAAATTAGCCAGGCGTGGTGGCACATGCCTATAATCCCAGCTACTCAGGAGGCTTAGGCAGGAGAATCGCTTGAACCCGGGAGGTGGAGGTTGCAGTGAGTGAAGATCGGGCCATTGCACTCCAGCCTGGGGACAAGAGCGAGACTTCGTCTCAAAAAAAAAAAAAAAAAAAGAAAGGAGCAAGAGAGAGAGAGAGATCATATTAGATAGAGAGAGAGAGATCATATTAGATAGAATTTCTAGAAAACAAACATTAGATATCAGAATAGGTCACAATGGGCCACGTGCAGTGGCTAATACCTGTAATCCCAGCATTTTGGGATGCTGAGACAGGCAGATCACTTAAGGTCAGGAGTTCAAGACCAGCTTGGTCAACATGGTGAAAATCCATCGCTACTAAAATTACAAAAATTAGCCAGGTGTGGTGGTGGGCATCTGTAATCCCAGCTACTCGGGAGGCTGAGGCAGGAAAACTCTTGAACCTGGGAGGTGGAGGTTGTAGTGAGCCAAGATTGTGCCACTGCACTCCAGCCTGGGCGACACAGCGAGACTCTGTCTCAAAAACAAAACAAAAGAACACGTCACAATGGGGAGAATCATCTCTTCCTAAGATCATTTTTACCTAAAGACAAAAAAATAGACTTGGCAACATCTGGAGGCTCCAATCTAGCCTCACTCCCCCGTTCTTCCTGCCATGAGCCCTTTTGGGTGTCTGGCAACTTATATTACTGTTTACTAGAACAGTTACTCAATATTTTGAAAATCATTTTGTGACATACTAATTTTTTCAGAAAGGAAAGAAACTAATTTTATTAGTTGTCTATTATGTTCCAAGAATTATGCAAGGTTGTTTCATATGTTATCTCATTTAGCCCTAATAACAACCCTTCAAAATGGGTATTTCTGGTCTCTTTTTTTTTTATTTTTATGTATTTATTTATTGAGACGGAGTTTCACTCTTGTTGCCCAGGCTGGAGTGCAATGGCACGATCTTGGCTCACTGCAACCTCTGCCTCCCAGGTTCAAGTGATTCTCCTGCCTCAGCCTCCCAAGTAGCTAGGATTACAGGTATGCGCTACCACGCCCAGCTAATTTTTTTGTATTTTTAGTAGAGATGGGGTTTCTCCGTGTTGGTCAGGCTGGTCTCGAACTCCTGACCTCAGGTGATCTACCCACCTTGGCCTCCCAAAGTGCTGGGATTACAGGTGTGAGCCACCGCACCATGCCTATTATTATTATTATTATTATTATTATTATTATTTTGAGACGGAGTCTCGTTCTGTCGCCCAGGCTAGAGTGCAGTGACACAATCTCGGCTCATTGCAACCTCCGCCTCCCAGGTTCAAGCGATTCTCCTGCTCAGCCTCCTGTGTAGCTGGGACTACAGGTGCGTGCCACCATGCCCAGCTAATTTTTGTATTTTTAGTAGAGACAGGGTTTCACCATGTTGGCCAGGCGGGTCTCAAACTCCTGACCTCAGGTAATCCACCCGCCTCGGCCTCCCAAAGTGCTGAGATTACAGACGTGAGCCACTGCGCCCAGCCCCTATTCCCGTTTTTTACAGATTTAATTCTGTATGTGACACATCCAGAATTTTGTGTTTTATGTGAAACGTAAAACGTGTCACAAAATCCTGTGTTTTAGATCCTGTCTGTGTGCAGTGGGGGGATATAACAAGGAAAGGATTTGGTGCTTGCCCTGGGGAGCCAAGGTGAGGACAGCCAAGCAGATAACTAATTTGTCACCCTAGGACTTGGCCAGGAAAGCCCCTAGCCTGGTGCAATGGGTTAGGAAGGAGACTGCTGCTCCAAGATTTAAATGATTCACCCAGTGCTACAGAGCTGGCAGGAAACATAACGAGGTAGCCTAACCAAGATCACTTCTTCAGATTAGTTCATGTTATGTCTGCACCTGCTTGGGTCCTCAGACAATTCTCCCCTCTGTTGGTCCTAGGTCTGGTCCTCCTACAGCTGGCATGAGTTTTGTCACCTGGTACCAACGAGAATTAGTTTGATACCTCCTCCACATGACAGACTTTCAAATATCTGAACACAACTGTGTTGTCTCCCAGGTCTGCTCCCTGAGACCCACACACCCCACTCCTCTCTACATGTCTCGCATCCCCTCCTCCAGGCTAGCCTGCCAGTCTCCTGCCCTTACCCCAGCCGCTCCTCTCTACTCTGCAGTCTCATTCCATCTCTCATTATCTGATATTTATCTCTTCTCATATGGTTAATTTTTTCTCCTTCAGTCTATATTCAATGCCCCCTACCCTAAAAAACCTTTCCTCAAACCTTCTGATTCTTCTTTTGACATTCACTTACTAACCATTCCTAACCATTCCCTCATCCTAACCTAGAGGCTGTAAACAGGAGGACTTTAGGAGGCCCTATCATAGAATTTCCCTTCTGCCATCTAACACTTAATCCTACAGTTACTTCACGAATACACTCTTGAAAGACAGTATTTGTGGGTGATTTGCCTTTGAAAAAGCACATGGCTCATGCTGTTGGGTTTTGGGATCCAGATATAGTATCTGCAAAAGCTTCAATGCTTACAATATTCTATGTTAGGCCAGGCACAGTGGATTACGCCTATAATCCCAGCACTTTGGGAGGCTGAGGCGGGAGGATCACAAGGTCAGGAGATCGAGACCATCCTGTGAATGGTGAAACCCTGTCTCTACTAAAAATACAAAAAATTAGCTGGGAGTGGTGGGGGGCGCTCGTAGTCCCAGCTACTCGGGAGACTGAGGTGGGAGAATGGCGTGAACCCGGGAGATGGAGCTTGCAGTGAGCCGAGGTTGCGCCATTGCACTCCAGCCTGGGTGACAGAGTGAGACTCCGTCACCAAAAAAAAAAAAAAAAAAATCTATGTTAAAGGTCAAATTTTACATACAGCAATTATATTAATAATATAAAACACTTACTGAATGTTTATCATGTACCACACATGCTCTAATATACATAAATGTACATACATAAAACTCTGCAAAGTAGGTATACTTTTTCCATTTGAATAGCCTGGGCAGAGAAAAAAATAAACACTCCTCTCCAAATAAGCATGTGTTAGGGTCACACACACACATCTCTCCAGTCAACATTTGTACATAGGGCAGTAGTGGTTGCAAGCTCTGCCGCATAGCCCTTCACACTAAAAACCTTCACAATGTTGGCTCTGAAGAAGTAAAAAATAAAGTCTAGTTACGAATAAAAGGAAACATAGCTCATGAAAAGCAGGGCCAAAAAATTGAAAAATTACAAATAACAGGAAAAATATACATCATGGGTATGTGCCTCTTAAATTACTTCAGTATTTGGCCAAAGATCAAAAGTCGCTTTTGAAAAATACTTTCCTCTTTTTTACGTGATTTGTAAACCAAATAGCAATTTCTAGGCAAAACTGTATGCTTTATGCTTTCTTAAATAGGAGGTTATAACATGATTCCAAGTTAATTGTTCATATTGTCTGACTACTTAAGCTAAAAAAAAGTTGGTGCTAATGAGACCAACATTGTGGATTTCACCTCCCACAAGAGCTGTTTATCACAGAATCAATCTGAGAATGTTGGTTTACAGTAGCGGTTCTGAAACCTATGCGTGCATCTGATCTGACTCAACTGAAAGGCTTATGAAAGCACAGACTGTTGGGGTCACCCTCAAAGTTTCCGACTCAGTAGATTTGGGAAGGACCTGAGGATTTACATCTCTAAGTTCTGAGGTAATACTGATCGGTAAACTTCAGGGACCAGAAGTTCACCTTGAGTGCTATTGTTTAAAAGACGTAAATTAGATTGGATCCCTAATCCAACCAGGTGATGGAGAAGTGGAAAACAAGCTCAAGTTAAAAATAAACCTGAAGGCTTTACAAGTATCTCTGTTATGAAAACGATGAAATATTTAAACAGATAATGGCTTAACAGTCCTCCTATTTGGAATAGTAGACACTTCATTTAATTTTAAGTAAACATTTCCTTTCTTCAAAGGATACTTAACTAATTTGAAAATAACTTCAAGAGCAAGGCTTTCTTTATCCTTCATTTTCTAACTTATATAAAAATAGTAACAGTACTCAACATCATTAGTTATTATGGAAATGCAAATCAAAACCACAGTGAAGCACCAGTTCACACCCACTATGATGGCTATCATTAAAAAACACATACACAAAAGACACGAGTATTGACAAGGATGTGGAGCAATGGGAACTCTGTACATTGTGGGTGGCAACGTAAAATGGTGCAGCCTCTGTAGAAAATGGTTTAGCAATTCCTCAGAAAGTTAAAATGGAATTACCGTATGATCCCACAATACTACTTCTAGGTCTACTTCTAAAGGAAGTGAAAATAGGTACTCGAATAAGTACATGTGTGTGCATGATCATAGCAGCATTATTCATAATAGCCAAAAGGTGGAAAGAGCCCAAATTCCCATAGACAGGTGAATGGATAAAAAAATTGTGGTATATACATGAAATGGAATATTATTCAGCCATAAAAAAGAATGAAGTACTTATACATGCTACAATATGGATGAACCTCCAAAACATTATGCTAAGTGAAAGAAGCCAGGCACAAAATGTCACATATGGTACGATTCCACTATATGAAATAGCTAGTTCACAAACGCATAAAAAAGGAAAGTAGGTTGATGGTTGCCAGGGGACAAGGAAAGGGGTAAATAGAAACTGCTCAGTGGGTACCTTGGAGGAGGATGACAATGTTCTGAAACTAAATATAGGGGTTGGTTGCACAACATTGTGAATGTACTCAATGCCACTGAATTGATCATTTTAAATGGTTAATTTACATTAGGTGAATTTCACTTCAGTAAGTTGGTTTTCAAAAGGAGTAGCAAGTAAACAACAATGCCAAGACTTAAAGTGAATAAAATATTTTCACAAAAGATAGTAAAAACATGGGAAAATGTTAAACATCACTAATAATAAAAAGAAACGCCAAATACAATAAAATAATGAGGCTAAAATTTAAGCCTATCAAAATATCAAGTTTTTGCCTTTTTTCTTTTTTTTTTGAGACAGGGTCTCACTCTGACATCCAGGCTGGAGTGCAGCGGGACGATCACGGCTCAGCTCACTACAGCCTCAACCTCCCGGGCTGAAGCCATTCTAACACCTCAGCCTCCCAAGGAGCTAGAACTGCAGGTACACACCAACACGCTTGGCTAAATGTCTTTTTTCCGTTGTAGACATGAGGTCTGATGCCCAGGATGGTCTCAAACTCCTGAGCTCAAGTGATCCGCCCTCGCTGGCCTCCCAAAGTGTGGAGATTACAGGCATGAGTCACTGCTTCCGGCTGTTTTGCTTTGTCTTAGTGATGAAACTCACTCTGGTGAGGATGTGGGGCATCAGCTACTTTCATTCATTGCTGGTGACTTTGTAACTCGATACAGTCCTTTTAAGAAACAATTTGGCAGTGTTAAAAAAAACCATTAAAATGTTGATTCCAGGTGGGGGAAGGGAGACTGTTAGGGAAAAACAGCTAATGCATGCTGTGCTTAATACCTAGGTGATAGGTGATGGGTGATAGGTGCGGCAAGACATCATGGCACACGTTTACCTATGCAACAAACCTGCGCATTACTGCACACGTACCCCAGAACTTAAAATAAAAATATTTAAATTTTTAAAAATGTTAATTCCTTTTAACCTAGAAATACTATTCTTGATTGTGTTGCATGAATCTTGTCCCACCTCCACAGGGATCAGCTGCCACCTAAGGCATGTTACTACACTCAGACTCAGTCTCTAGGCAGGGACCCTGCCTTCTTCTCGCTCTCTAGCACAATGCCTAATGCCTACCTCATACACAGTCGACACATAATAAATGTTGACTGAATGGAAGAAGAGTAGGAAGGAAGGCAGAAAGAAAACGTCAACTACATCATGAAAGGGTTGTAATTTATTCTTTCAAAAATTTTCTATTTATACAGAAGTAATAGTATATGCATTTATTCAAATAACAACATGAAGGCTGGTATTAAGGTGTTAGTTGATACATATGTTTCCTGACTATGGAACAAGATACAAGAAAATCTTTCAATACTGCATCAAAATATTTGGTCTTGTGATTTATTTTTGCTATTATTACATTCTGTATCATAATGAATATCTTAACAGAAAACAGATTTAAGTGACAGACATAACAGAATTTATCTCAAGTATTTCAATAATTCAGCAGGTTTTTAAAGTATTTTTATGCCACGGAAGAAAACAAAGTGGTCAAACACTTTAACCTGAACCTCTTTTTCTCTCCTAAGTGCCAAGAAATGTTTGCTTGTCAGATTATTTGGTTTTGAAAAATAGTCTGAAATTTTAAGTGGCTATGCCAGCAAAGAAGGTATGAGTGTTTGAGAGAGGTAGAGAACTTAAAAAGGATTATTGTCCAAACAAATAACAGAAATCCACCAAGGCTGCCTCAATTCCCAACCTGTAGTTCAACACACAGCCAGTCAATTTCATGGTGGATAATAATTGCTCATGGACGAAGACTAGAAGAGGCTTCAGTATTCAGTCTGGAGAATTGAGCTCCAGTCAGGACAACAAAGAAATGACACATGGCACACCTTTCTGAAGGGCCACAACTTCCCTTTTGAAGAAGTTAAATGATTAAAATACACCTGTATTACTTTTATCAAAACTTAAGAAACTGAGAGGACTTTAAAAAATCTCTATAACCTCACTACATAGGAATAATCCCAGTTAACAATGTGATGTGTTTCACTCTAGGCTATGTTTTTTAAATAAATATATACATATGTAGATATAATATTATGTACAAAATATACATCATATTTTGGTATCAAACTAAATAAACTCTATGTATACTGTAGTTTTCAATGTTGACTTAAAAATATACATTTTATAAAACAGTTAATAGATTCTCATTATGAAGAATACAGAAAATAACAGGATGAACTGTTATTAAAGTCCTTGCTTCACTTTCCTGTAGAGTGACATCTACTCCAATACTTTGGTATTTTTTCAGTCCATGTATAAACTTATGTACAGTTGACTTCTGAACAATGCAGGGGTTAGAGGTGCTAACTCCTTGCACAGATGAAAATTCTCTTATAACTTTTGACTCTCCCAAAACTTAATTACTAACTGCCTACTGTTGACCGGAAGCCTCACCAATACATAAACAGTCAAGTAACGTATTTTGTACACTGTATTATATACTGTATCCTTACAATAAACTAAGCTGGAGAAAAGAAAAAGTCATTAAGAAAACCATAAAGAAAAAGAAATACATTTACAGTACCGTACTGTATTTATTGATGCTTCAAGTTTAGGTTATCTGTTTATACACCATGAATCGTCCATCTGAAATGGTGGAAACCTAAGCTGCAGACCTCAATCTACCGTAGATATCAAGCAAGTCAACATTTTCTTGTAAGGTCATTACTTTTCTCCACTTCTTGGGAGCACTTCCAGCATCACAAGTGGCACTTTGTATGGGTCCCACAGTGTACTAAAGGTTTACGTATTGCACTAAATACAATGAAAAATACTTGAGAACTGTGAGAGATCACTTTTTACTGTGATATGCAATTTACCAGAGAGAGGAAATGCTCACACAGAGATGATTAGCATCACAGGGCATTTTAAGCAGATGCTCCCAAAACTTGAGCTCACCACAACAGAAGGTGGCTATGCAATCATTACAGTAGTACACTATATACTATAGTTAATTATATGCAGTTATGATTTAATACTGCCTCTTTACATTTGTTTACATTTCTCTCAACTACAAATGGCATCATGCACAATTTGTAATGTGTGCATAAGTTTTGATAAATTTTAAAGTCTTATAATGGTGTGTATATTTTATGGTAGTAAATAATAAAACAGTCTAGTATGTACATATATTTTATGCATTCGTGCCATACCTTTTTCTTAATTTTTTTCAGTGTTTGTAGACTATGTAGTTCACGTAAGTTTTTTCAAATTGTGGGAAATCTCCCCGCCCCCGCCCCAGGCAGCCACTCATCTACTTCCTGTCCCTACAGATTTACCCTTTCTGGAATTGCATATAAATAAGATCATACAATTTGTGGTTTCTTGTGTCTAGCTTCTATCATTTGGCAAAATGTTTTCAAGATATATAATGTTATTATATAGCATGCATTAAGAATTCATTCTTTTTATTGCTGAATAGTATTTCACTCCACAGATACATTTTGCTTATCCATTTACCAGTTTACAGATATATGGATTGTTTCCACTTCTAGCTACTATGAATGATGTTGCTATAAATGTTTGCATCCCAGTCTAGCTTTTGAGAGGCAAAAAATAAATAAAATAAAATAGACTTCAAGCTTGGTGAGACTGGCCAGGTTTCAGAACATCGTTGGCATGAGTTACAGGCACAGTATTCTACGAATACTAAACATCTAAGAAGAAAGAAACGTCAGCTAATACCAACAAGATACCCTCATGAATACAAGGAAATCATGAGACAAGACGGCAAAGTGTGGAAGTACTACTTCACAGCTCAGAGGCAGGATATCTGCGTTGCAGATGCCTATGACACCAACTACTGAAAAATCTACCAAAAGAAGCCCAGGAGAGGTCAAGGAGAAGCCAGTCCGCCTGATATACAAGTAGCAAAAATATCTTTAACACGTGCAGTTCCCTCCACCTGGAACATCTTCTCTCCCTCCACTTTTCCACCATCCTGCCCCTTTTATAGTTTCACACTTAAACAGTTGTCTTCTTCTAAGATTCAACGTCCTTAAAAATTAATTCAAACATCATCTTCTTGGGGAAGACATCATGTTTTCCCAAAGCTGTCACTATTTAGTGACATTGTTAAGCTCTGGAAGTATTTTCCCATTAAAATATTTCACACGGTTTACATTTTTTAGTTGACTTCTCTGTTCAGTTCACCGAGTTCCTAGCGGTTGTTTCATCTCTGCATGCCAAACACATACATGGTACACAGTGCTCAATGTTTGTTAGAGAAAACAGTGAGTGAGTGATTTCCAGAGAGACGTTTCCTTAGAGGTCCAGATTTATCAGAGAGCATCTCCCTGATCATTCCATAGCAGGGTATCTAATGGCCACATCAAACAACTCATAAAAAACAACGCTTTAACTTCCCCCTCATGACCACTTCCCCAGTCCCATTCCTCCCCCAAATGACCTGTTTGGAAAATGGCACCATCATCAACCCAGATGCTCACCTCACAACCCGGGAGGCGGTCATCCTTGATGGCCCCCTCTCCGTCAACATCCTGTAGGCTCACCCTCCAGAACACAGCCCTATTTACAACTATTTTTCCTCCACCACCACCTCTCTAATCCAACCTATTAGCATCTCTTGCCCCGATTAACTTCCTAACTAGTTGTTACATTTCCACTCTCATCCCTCTATAACCCATACTCCACACAGCAGCTGGTGGTCTTTTGAAAATAGTTATTAAAATCTTACTTTTAATATAAGATTTTAGTTAAAAAATACATGGATATACCCTCCTTGTAAAGTATTAAAATACTGCAGACAATGCTAAGTCTCTTTGACCACCAGCTCTCATTCCAGTTCTCACACTCCTCTCTTCAGAAGTATCCACGACCACCGGGGCAGTATGTGTTCTTCCAGGCCTTTCTCTACATACAGCCTAGAAAATATAATATACTGTGCACATCGTTCTGAAGTTTACTTTTTTCATTCAACAATATAATTTATGAGGCTTTTCATGTTGCTACCTCGTTTTTAATAGTAAGTTTTTTTAAATTTTGTTTTATGTCACAGGAGCATCTTTTACAATAAGCTTAGATCACAGTTTAGCCCTTCCAGTATTGTCTGGTACTGATAGCCATTTTAATTGTATCCAAAACAACACTGTACTGAATATCCTTGAATGAGCCCTAAGTTAGATACTGACAAGTATTTTACTCAGACACAGATTCATAAAGTTAACCTCAGGAAGCACTTCCTGCTATGCAGCTCCTGCAGTAAGGGGACTTGGGGCCATGATGCCTTAGCCTTACTTGTAGTTCTCGATTATGCGCCCTGAAGCCTGCTGCTTCTGAACGGAGAGCTCAGCTAGATCAGACTGAGTCCGAGCTTCCATGCAGCAAGCTCCCTGGTGTAAAGGCACAGCTGCTGTCAGTGGAGAGTTATAAGAACTAACTCAGCCTTAATAGCTTGTGGGGAAGTATCTGGTGCTTCAGTTCCATCCTCTGATTTTTACTTTTTTTTTTTTTTTTTAAAGAGACTGGGCAGCACAGCAAGACTTCAGGGGTCTTGCTCTACTGCTCAGGCTGGGCTGCAGCCTCGAACTCCTGGGCTCAAGTGATCCTCCTGCCTCAGCTTCAAGAGTAAGCTAGGACTTACCGGTATGTGCCACTATGCCTGGCTAATTTTTTAAATTTATTTATTTATTTATTTATTTATTTATTTATTTATTTATTTGTAGAAACAGGGTCTCACTGTGTAGCCCAGGCTGGTCTCAAACTCCTGGGCTCAAGTGATCCTCCCACATTGGTATCCCGAAGAGTTGAAATTATAGGCATCAGCCACTCTCTGGCCCTGATTTTAACTTCTTTTGCAGTCTACAGCTATTGTTACATTTAGAGACAAAATAAATGAATTTCACAATAAATTTCAAAATGTTCATAATGTGAGGTTGGTGTTATTTCAGTATATCTCAACTCTTAATCTTGCCTGGATAAATGCAAGAAGAAAGTATGTTGGTTTGGCCACATGATCAATGCATTTCTGTGGGATTTACCTGAACAAATGTCCTAACGCTATAGTGATGCTGTTAGCAGGGCCTGGTCTTTAACTAAGGGATCTCTACATAACTGACCTAAATGGAGTTACCCAGCATTGACTCTCAGTGATCTTGCAGGGTCCCAAAGTGAAGAAGAAATTCAGTTAAGCACAGGCCTTCCAGAATGTGAAGATCATGGAGGCAGCTGGCCAGATTACTAGACAATTAAACCAAGTCTAACTGCTTCCCAAAAAAGCTTTAAGAAGGTAAATGAGTCAATCAATCTCGGTGCACCTGTAGCTTCTCAGGCCAGAGAAAAAGCACATGCTGGAAAGCATGCTTAACATTTCAAAGATGACTATTTATAGACATCCAAAAAATATATGCCCATGTTCATAAATGTTACTCTTTTTTTTTCTAACATCATCTAAGGCATTTTAAACTTAGATTCAAGTTTCTATTATAGTCTGCTTCTACAAAATGTTCACTTTTTTATATATAATGTATTTATTAAGAAGAGGAAACAGCCTTATTTATTCTTGAACCTTGTTAAACAACAAAGGAGCTTCTGACCAAAGGCCCTACAATTTCCTTCTTTGATTTCTTTGTATTAAATTGTTTTATATTAAATTTACAAAGGTTCTATTTTTATTGTCATAATCTGACTCTTTTGTGTTATGCATATATTTCACCAAGACCAATTTGAATTTTTTCTAAACATTTAGTGACCAATTTCACAGATCATGCATGATCCTTAGCCTTGAGATTTTTACATAATTATTTCACTTTATTCTCTAGTTGACAATGTAATACGAGCTAGAAGGAGACACCTGTTGTGGAAGTCACAGATTTACAGGTTGCTTATTACCACAGCAGAGCTGACTAATGCATGAGTCTATCTAAAGTAGTCACTATCTATCATGGCATACAGTTGATTTCTTTAATGCTATTATCATGTCTGAATTTATCTCCTTTATTGCTCTAGTCCTCCTTCCTACCTCCCCATGACTTATTTTGTCCACCACTGTGGTCCTTAGTGGCTAGAACAGCGACTGCTGCTCATTCAACATGTGTTCAATGAACCTATCTTCTGGTGACCACCACATCTGCACTGGTGACTCCTTCAACCGTACACTAAGTCACGCTTAGCTTCTGCAAGTATTTGTTTTGCAGTATTGAAAAACTCCTCCATGAGGAGGGCACAGCGTTCTGCCTGGAGTGTGAGGCCGGTGTTGCTTGGCTGCAGCTGCCATTTGCCACTGATGATCATTCTTCTCTTCCCCTGTGAGAGTAAGGAGAGGATGCAGTCTGAGTGGTTCAAAAAAATTTAAAAAAACAAAAATAAAAATAAAAGGGCTGGGCATGGTGGCTCACGGCTGTAATCCCAGCACTTTGGTGAGCCAAGGTGGGTGGATCACCTGAGGTCAGGAGTTCGAGACCAGCCTGGCCAATATGGTGAAACCCCATCTCTACTAAAAATACAAAAATTAGCTGGGCGTGGTGGCAGGTGCCTGTAATCCTAGCTACTCGGGAGGCTGAGGCAGGAGAATCACTTGAACCTGGGAGGTGGCGGTTGCAGTGAGCCGAGATTGTGCCACTGCACTCCAGCCTGAGTGACAGAGTGATACTGCGTCTCAAAAAAATAAATAAATAAAAAATAAAAAATCTCCTTATTCTGGCCCTGAGTACAACTAAAAGACAAACTGAAAGAATCACAGATTTTTTTAAGCTCCGGGGCTGGAATTTCAAGAACCAAGAGAAAACTAAGAAACGTTCCTAAGCAGCCTAAAGAATGGTACTAACATGCCACAAATCAATCCCATACCTACTATTTGCTTTGCTATTTAAACATACGATTGAATTTTTATAGCTTACATGGAGACTTTCCTTGGTGATATTTCTGTGTGCTCTCTAGCCTCTATGTTCCTCTGGCACAGCACCAGATCCTCCAAGCACTAAAAATTAGACATATGGAATGTGAGGAATGTTTGATAACTATACTAACTTCAGAGATCAGCCCTTATTCATAAACAAAAATGCATGCCCTTTGAGCTTAGACTCAAATTCAGTTTGAAGCAAGCATAAGTCATGAGGCTGAACGCTGGCAAAGTATGCAAGGTGAAGTGAGGTGGGCTGGGAAAACTCTAAATATAGTTCTTCATCACAGTGAAGACAAATACTGCTTCTTTGTTTTAATTGAATGTGCAAAGCACTGCGTGGCTAAGTTTTAGACTAGTAGCACCTGGGTTAGAAAAACAAACCATTAAAAAATAAAATGTGCTCTGTTTCCCAGTGCTTTCACGAACATCTCCTTATCAGGGCCTCATCTTTATTTATCTTTTTCTATAGGTGCTAGCTCTGTTCAAGATTAATTAAAAGCAAAAAATCAAGTACAAAAAACGATGCTTTGAGAAACTGTTCTAGTCCAAAAGAGAAATAACAACCAGTTGCAGCATGTTTACCACGATGGGATCGCAATTTTTAAGGCAAAAAAAGTTATAAAAGAATTTTTGAGGCCAGGCACGGTGGCTCACGCCTGTAATCCAAGCACTTTGGGAGACTGATGTGGGCCGATCATTTGAGCGCAGGGGTTTGGGGCCAGCCTGGACAACATGATAAAACCCCATCTCTACAAAAAATACAAAAAATTAACCGGGTGTGGTGGCGTGTGCCTGTGGTCCCAGCTACTTGGGAGACTGAGGTGGGAGGATCACCTGAGCCCAGGAGATCAAGGCTACAGTGAGCCAAGATCACACCGCTGCACTCCAGCCTGGGCAACAGAGACACTGCCTCAAAAACAAAAACAAAAACAAAAAAATAAATAAATAAGAAATTTTGAAACTATATAATTTATGCTAGATGTCAGATGATGTTAGACATGCTAGATGTTAAATGATGTTATGGAACTATTTTTTTAATTTTCCATAGGTATGATAATTATAGTCCTGTAAGAGAATATTTTTGTTCCTGGGAAATGTATGCTGAACTATTTAGGAGAGAAGGGTCATAATAGCTGTCTGTACCTTACCTTCAAATGTTACAGCAAGAGAGAAAATATAGACATAAATATATTTACCTTACATATACCATATATACTGGGAAATGTATGCTGAACTATTTAGGAGTGACGGGTCATAATATCTGTACCTTACCTTCAAATGTTACAGCAAAAGAGAAAATATAGACATAGATATATTTATCTTACATATACCATATATACTTGTAGAATATTACAGAGAGAGAGAGAGCGCAAAAGAGAGAGAGACAGAGAGAGAGAGAAAGGAGAAGGAGAAGGAGGAGAGGAGGAAAAGGAGATGATAAAATTGGCAAAAAGTTAATTGTCAGATCTAAGAGCAGGATATATACAATGGTGTCCATTCTACTGTTTTCATTTTTTCTTATGTTTGAAAATTTTCAAAATAAAAAGTTGGGAGGATAAAATTCATTATTAAAGAACTTCCAGTAAACACTACACAGATTTAATATATGTGCTTACCTACATTCCCTCTAGAAAATAGCAGAAAGGGGATTTTTTAAAAGGCATAAACACAAAAGGACAATGGGAAGGTCAGCGGATGAGAACAACAAAATTTGGGACGGTGGGAAGCAAACTGCAGCGTGGTAAGTGATTCAGGAGACATGAGAAACAGAAAGCCTAGGTTAGCAATAGAGAAAGCCCAGAAGCAGATCCATTCATACTGCAAAAGCCTGAAACGGCTCAGGAATTCCAGCACCACAGACTTCAGACGGAGGGTGTGACCATGGAGGACTTGCCAGAAGTCTGTTAAGAAGCAGTCAGACCCCCTGCCTGCCTTTGCCCAACCTGGGCAGAAACAGAAGGTTTATTCTCTAGAAAGACTTAATCAGATGGGCCGTGGACTTCCAGGTGGCTCGGACTGCTGAAAGGAGTACCTTATTAAAAACAGGGAACATTACAGAGTGTGCACACACTGAACAGCAAGCATCCCAAGCCCCATTTCCATTACTCAGTTTGCAGAACCCAGGAGTTGGGCTTACATTTGTCAGGCCGAAGAATTGGAGGGTTTTTCCTGGGAAAACTGACCAGACCAAGAGAAAAGATCTACTGACATTAACATCTGGGAGTGCCTTAACAGAAATGCTAAGCCAGATCACTGCCATATGACTACCCCACCCACTAGTAGAGAGCTTCCAAACAGCTTTTTGTGCCTCATTCTTAAATATGACTGAGAGCTGTCTCAGTAGGACAGGCTAGATAACGCTGCAATAAAAAACAATACCAAAGTCTCAGTGGTTAAAAACAACAAACATTTACTTCCCATTCAAGCCAAGTCCAAAGTGGCTCTGGATGAATCCCCGGGCAGCTGGCCCCCCGCAGTGTGGAGCATTCCACACTGCATCTTGGGTGCCTGTGGCATCTCCAATCTCAACACAAGCATCGATCATCCAGGTAGGGGAGACGTGCACATCACTTCTGCTTGCAATCCACTGGTCAAAACAAGTCAGATGGAGGCAGGGAAGTTAATCCTGTCTCCTGTGTCTGGAAGGAGTGAAGAGCCAGAATGGTTGGTATTACTTATCTCAAACGCAAAAGCTAAGAATACTAGTCCCCTAAAATGAAAGCAGAAACCAAAACAACACTGAAAAAATAAAACTGAAGAATTCATTTCTTCAGAGATATTGAAGAAAACTTCAATTAGCATATTCAGAGAGATAGAACAGGTTACTATCAAAAGAAAAATATGTGGCCAGGCACGGTGGCTCACACGTGCAATCCCAACACTTTGGGAGGCCAAGGCAGGAAGATCTCTTAAGCCTGAGAGTTTGAGACCAGCCTGGGCAACATAACAAGACCCCACCTCTACAAAAACAAAGAAATTAAAAAATTAGCCAGGCATGGCAGCACATGCTTGTGGTCCCAGCTACTCAGGAGGATGAGGTGGGAGGATCACTTGAACCTAGGAGGTCAAGGCTGCAGTGAGCTGTGATTATACCACTGCACTCCAGCCTGGGTGACAGAGCACCCTGTGGGGTGAGGAGAGGAGGGGAGGAGAGGGGAGAGAAGGGGAGGGGAGGTAAATAAATACGTACATAAATATTTGGAGAAAAGAATTTAAAAATTCCTGGAAATGAACAATATGATGGCAGAAACCATCTATTGACAAATTAAAAGATCAAGTTTAAAAAATTTCCCAAAGAGTAAGACAGAAGGGAAAAGATAAGGAAAGTGAACAACCAATCTAGGAGGTCTAATATCTGACTTGCATGAGTTCCAGAGAGAGAGAACAAAGTAAATACAAAGAGAAAAATATTATCAAAATACTAGTGCAAGAAAATTTCCCTAAACTGAATCTGAATGACACTGGTTTCTTGATTATATATGACCCACCTAGCACAATGGTTACAAAAGGCCTACATCAATGCCCAACATTGTGAAATTTTAGAACATGAGGGCAAAAACAAAACCCAAAAACTTCAGAGAGGAATCAGGTCACAAAGAGGAAACAAACAAATAACAATAACAAAAAAAAAAAAAAAAAACAAGAAACATAAAAGCATCAGACCTCTCAAACACAACACTGGAATATACAAGTCAGTAAAGCAGTACCATCGAATTTTTACTCCAAATTACTTCCAACCTGGAATTATGTCCCTAGCTAAAATATTAATCACATATGAGAGCAGAATAATGGCATCTGTGGAGATGCAAAGCCTCAACAAATCTATGCTCCCTTTCCAACGCTACTCCACCAAAACAGAGAATAAACCAAGAAAACTGGAAGACATGATATCCAGCAAATGAGCACCCAACACAGGAAAATGACAAATGAAACCTACAAGATGACAGTAAATGGAGGCCATAGGATGACAGTGTGCAGCAGTTACAATGATTAACCAGGACAAACTTGAAATTAAGAACAGAAGGTGCAGGAGGTTCCAAACCAACAGAATACACAGTGTGTTGGAATGTACTGAAAGGAGATTTATAATTCTGGCCACAAATTGGTAATAGGAATATAGAGAAGTAAGCCAATGGAAAAAAGAGATGATTATTAACTACAGAGAAAACAAAAGGAAATGCAATCATAGTACACCAGATAGGTCATCCATGAATAATATTTACATAGTCATAAAAATGTACACACAGACTACTGATTTCTTTACAAGGTGATAGAAAACACCAAGAGGATGAGGGGAGGGAGGCACATGTGCATGAGGAAGGCACAGTAAGAAAGCTGAATCCTCAACCAGGGCGGGAAGTCAGTTCTCAAAATCCAAAGCTAAGAAGTCAAGATAGATAGATAAAGTTATTTAAAAACACAGCGGCAAATACCAAAAGAAACTTTTAAATATGTAAATGTGGTCGACTGTAGAGACAGTGAATCAAGTGTGGGGGAGAGTAGTGGGTCACAGGATGCCTGTCTTTGCTTTGGGAACCATTTGAGTGTTTGTTAATCATTTACAGATATAACTTTGATTAACGTAAAGTTTTAAAATCTCCCACTAAGTTTCCAATTTTAATTTTAAAAGTCAGAAAAGTTTCCCTACCATGTTTATTTACTGATTTCAAATTTACCTCTAAAGAAATCTCATAAAACTTTAGTTACATTTGCTCAGAGATTATGTAAAGTATATTTTTCAGTACTCCAAAATACATAATATAAAAATATGAAGATATTACCAATATACACTTTTAGTATAACTAAACTCTAGTGAATCTTAAATCAAATTTTAAAACATAAATATTATACCTTGTTCTTCCAGTTTTCATTTGGAAATCCCAGTCAATATATTGTTAAAAGACACCAAATAATATATATGAAAAGTATTCTATAAAGAGTTAAAGCACAACATAAATGTTTTCACTTTTATTTTTAACCCTTGACCCTGCTCTCAATGAGGCTAATTGGAAAGACTGAGTCTAATTGGAAAGATAAGGCACATGCAGAAATGTTTATAATCTAAGGCAGTTTGTGTTAAGAACCCTGTAAACAGTACAAAGAAGAAATGAAGGCCTTTGATTAGAAAAGCTTCCTTATGGTTGCATCTGAAATAATGGATGTCACTGTAAGCTCTCATCAGTTACATTCTCTCTTCATTTTACAAAGTGGAAAACCAAATTGATTTGAAGAAATTACTTTTTCTAAATGTCATAATAGGAGACTGAGGCAGGAGGATCACTTGAAGCTCAGAGTTCAAGACCAGTCTAGGAAATATAGCGAGACTCTCTATTAAAAAAAAAAAAAAAAATTAATTAGCTAGTGTAGTCCCAGCTACTCAGGAGGCTGAGGCAAAAGGATCACTTGAGGAGTTCAAGGTTATAGTAAGCTATGACCATGCTACTGCACTCCAGTCTGGCTGGCAGAGCGAGACCCTGTCACTTTAAAAAAATATAAATAAATAAATCACAACATGATGACTATTTATTTCTCTTCCCTGTTATTTCTACCGTGCTCTCAATAAATAGTATGAAAATCAACAGAAATGCAAAATCATGTCACAAAAGTGCATCTCAGCATCCCAGGCTCCCCAGGTTTCACCTTCAGGACTTTTACCTCTCCCTGTGCCAACCCTTTGCAATACATGTTCCCAAGCCTGCTCTCCTCGAAAGTGCTTTCCTCTTTACCCCACCCACCGTCCACGTACCCCACAGGCATCCTAATGACTGACTCCAGAACTTGAGAGCTGGAAAGTTTGTCCAAGGAAGCCCCTGAAACTGTTGTCAGGTGTCTGAAGAGCATGTTTGTGCAAGGCTATGGAATGTTTTAGTTTATACACTTCGAGCCTCAGTGAGGCTGAACTGGTTAGCTGGTCCCCCATTGTGACTCTAGGTGTCTGCCTCCTGAATCTGTTTTAAGACAGATAATGGATCAAGCATGACCCGCTATTTTCTACAGTGGAAATCATTCTCTGGCCAACGGCACAATAACTGTTAATCTAATGTTCGTGTCTTTTTAAGTTAATAAGCATCTGGAATACTAATCCTCTCAGCATTATTTCTGCTATAGCTTTCTGTTCACTTTTTCCAACAAACCAACTATCCTTCAAGTAACTTGAAAACCTACTTTCCAAATAAAAGCATCCTTTGAATGATACTGTTCTTTTGAAGCTCAAATTAGTATCCATGAGAAAGTAGTGATTTACAGCAGCTTCTCTACTTAGGTAAAAGTCTACCTAATTGCTTATATTAAAGCTAGCTAGAAATCGGGTTTTCAAAAGTGTTCCTGCAATGAAAACATAATTTTACATGAATATTTACTTGATAATATAATTATTAGAAATTTAGTGATTCACTGGTTTGAGGGGAACTTGTAGCACTTTAATGCTTCTTTATGCACAGTCTTAAATCTCCAAAATTACTTGCTTCCTTTAACATATATACTATATTATATAAACAAATTAGGCTTATATGCATAAATATATTCACCCTATTATTTAGGTATCCCATGGTCATTCCAAAATCATATTTTTTACAGGGTCTCTCTGATGGCCACCCAAAAAACATAATGATTAAGAAAAACATGGCCAGGTGCAGTGGCTCACACACGTAATCCCAGCACTGTAGGAGGCTGTGGCAGGAGAATCACTTGAGGCCAGGAGTTCAAGAATAGTTTGGCAACATGGTGAGACTCCACTTCTATGAAAAAATAAAAAAAAAATTATTTTAAAAGCTTTGAGTCCGTGTTACAGCTCTTTTAGAATTCATCTAGCAGGTTTTCCAGTCTTCGATAAATGTGTAAAAAACACATGAAGCGTACTTGTCAGTCAGTCCTTCCTCAACTCTTAACAGCTTTATAGCAACACGTAAAATTTCAAGGAGCATCAATAATGATTAAGCAAAATTAAAAGTTTCATGTGCCAATGATTTGTAAGTTTATACCTAACTGATCAATTCTGTTGATTTTACAACTTCTGAATGTTTTTTAAATATGCACATATAAATTTTAGAGGCTGGGCGTGGTGGTTCACGCCTGCAATCCTGGCACTTTGGGAGGCCAAGGCGGGCAGATCATCTGCGGTCAGGAGTTCAAGACCAGCCTGACCAACATGGAGAAACCCCATCTCTACTAAAAACAGAAAATTAGCCGGGCGTGGTGGTGCACGCCTGTAATACCAGCTACTCGGGAGGCTGAGCCAGAAGAACCACTTGACCCCGGGAGGCAGAGGTTGTGGCGAGCCGAGATCGTGCCATTGCACTCCAGCCTGGGCAACAAGAGTGAAACTCTGTCTCAAAAAAAAAAAATTATAATACTATATGCCATAAAATGACATTTCATATTTAAAGAGTTTTTTAAAACTCTTGTATTCACATGCCATAATTTGAAACCCTATTTCACTGAATGAGAATGGTATCTGTTGTCCTCATTTTTTCATTTTTATCCTTAACAATTTCCACCACAGCCAGTGCATATAATGGCAATGACACCCAGGGACGGAATGATAAGTTCCATCACAGCTCAGTCAAGACGCAGACATTGATGTGGCCCCAACAACAGTCAATAATGGAGTCTCCAAAATAAAGCTCTATAGGAAAGGTAAATACCCGCTGCACAAGAAACCACAGCATCTAGGTTCTAACCCCATCTCTATGAAGAGCTTGCTGGGAGAGTTTTGACATTTAACAATCTGTCTGATTGCCAATTTTCTTCTTCTATAAAATGATAATGTTTGACTCAAAGATCCAAAGTCAATTCATGGTCTAAAACTTAATGATTTTTTTAGGTTTTGTGACATTTCACTGTACACTGTAGTAATTTATATCTTATTTTCCCACTAATTTAGAAAAATATCTAAATGATCCTTAATTGGCAATGGGTCCTAAGAATTTTGTTTTAAATCCCTGTTACCCAAAAGAGCCCTTTTTTGTATCTCGCAGTAGTTACAAGGATCTTTCTAAATCTTAAAAAAAAAAAAAAAAGAAAGAAAAGAAAAGAAAAAAAGTCAGCCGGGCGTGGTGGCTCATGCCTGTAATCCCAGCACTTTGGGACCAAGGTGGACAGATCACGAGGTCAGGAGATGGAGACCATCCTGGCCAACATGGAGAAACCCTGTCTCTACTAAAAATACAAAAAAATTGGCTTGGCATGGTGGCGCACGCCTGTAGTCCCAGCTACTCGGGAGGCTGAGGCAGGAGAATCGCTTGAACCCAGGAGGCAAAGGTTGCACTGAGCCAAGATCACATCACTGCACTCCAGCCTGGTGACAAAGCAAGACATCATCTCAAAAAAAAAAAAAAATCACAAACTTCCATGGCCAACTACATAAAATCAAGGTATCTAGTCTGGCATTCAGGATACTCAAAATTTGACCTCAACTCACCTCCCAACCTTCATTTCCAGTGATTCCCTTTCCTGTTCCCAAAGCTACAGTCAAACTAAACATGTTTTTTCTAAGTGCACCAAAGTGTTCCATCACCCATGTTTTTTGTTTATGCCATTTATCTTTACCTAGACTGTTCTCTATCTCCACTAAGCCAAGTCTTACCTGATTCTCAAAGCTAGGGGGACCATCCATATAATTTATCACACAAACTGGAACAATTTTGACCAGAAAGATGTTAATTGGAGGGGACATCAGGACATCCGGAGTAAACTGGGGCTGACCCAAGCAGACTGGGAGATATGACAGCTCTACACAAAGCCCAACTCAAATGCACATCTATCAGAAATAACCTCTCTCTCCCTTAAATCTCTGCCACACTTCTCACTTGTATCTCTTCTCACTTATCATTTCTGCATGTATTCGAGCTATGTGTATAAAAGGCTTTATTCTCCCTCACTAACCTGAGTCATCATTATCCCCACAATGTCTAGCATACGGTAGGTTCTCAATAAATGTCTAATGGGATGAATTATTTCCTAGGTATGTCTAACTCCAGTATATAAAATTAGGTTTTCTCGAATCAGTGCATGCCTTTTAAAAATCAACACCAGAGTTCACACAGAGAAGAACCACACTCCGTGGCCATATGAAAATTCTGTGTTCCTCAGAGATGTCCCATGTTCACAAACCATGGTGGTTTGTCCTGATGTGAAATTTCCATGGTGCAAATGACAAATCCATATATGACGTCATACAGGCTGGGACAGAAACCATATTGCCCAGCCACATGGTGCCTTGGTATTAACTACATGTCTAAGCTCTGGTGCAAGACCTACAGAACTCTGTGCTTCCAATTTGTGAGGAGATAGTTCAAGAAGAGCATTGTTTCAACTTAGGAGAGCTTCAGCTCTCAGGACACAGAGCTGAGAGATTACCTTTTTATCCAATAAGGTTTTGACTACCCTGGATCCCAAAGTATTTGATCTTACCTTTCTTATGATATTGACTACCTTCTAGTTATATATTCTAGACACCTGAGGGTCCAGGGCTGTAATCACTGATCTTTGTATACTTCAGAGTACACAGAATAACACACATTATACATATTCAACAAATATTGGTTGAATTAATTTCAAAAACAAGTGAGTAAATGACTTGAGATTGTTCACCAACTGAAACAAGACTTCTCATGGCCCTGCTGAAGCATGTTTCAAATATACACGAACTCAGGCCTGCTTCACTCATGTATTCCAACTCCTTTATAGGCAAAAAATATCCTGTGAGATAGATTTAATGAGGCTCCACCTTACAAAACACTATGGCTCACAAAAGTGAAGAGCACTGTCCAGAATGAGCAGCCAAGGGATAGCCAGTTCTGAAATCGAGACATTCTGCCGACACAGGAGCACTGCAATGAACTTGACAGACATGACATTTATATAAAGAAAATATTTACAAGTTTGATGGCTATTCTCATCCCTGAATGCCACGGGCTACAGCAGACAAATACCCCAAATGCCTTACCCAATTCTATCAATTTCCCTGAAATCAAGGAAGAAAAAAAAAAGCTTTCAGTATCTGTGTCTTTTAGCCACTAGTACAGATAAACCTGGCTATATCTGGGGGAGGGAGTAACATAAATGAGAGAAAAAAAGAATGTAGGACAAAATTAGAAGTAGAAAGCTTTAACTTGTATGTTCTCATTACTAACACAAGATCTCAATTTATTACATTACAGGTAGATACTAACAGTATGATATCAGTGTGGCACTCTTCATCACAAGCACACATTAAAACACTGCTACATAAATGTATCAAGTTACTACTCTGGGGACTCCATAAATGAGACACTTTGTCATCTGGAATGTCTACCTGAAGACAGACTCTTTTACTATGACAGAAAGTCTTATGAATTAAACAAAAGCATTTTTTAAAAATCAAACACTTATTTTTTGTCCAAGTGTATTTCATCACACCACATTCAAATTCCACAATGTAAGATTTGGATGAAAAAGAAAAAGTTGCATTTGGTGCCAGTTTTTAAGGTTCTTTGATTACCTATATAGTTTCTACATTCTTTGTAACAGTAATTAAATGTAAGCCTCAACGGGCTTCAGTCCTATTTGCTATGAGTCTGAAGGCATGAGAAGTATGTAGCATTTATGTAACAGGAAATATCTAAAAGCATTCTGCTGAGATTTCCTTCCCCCACACCCCCTTCCACACCCATTCCTTAAACTGCCTTCAAAAGGCCTGCTGTGTTCTCTAAAAATTAAACATTAGTTACTAAAAGAAACAGTGTACCTATTCCTCAGCACATCTCCACTAAAGTTGTATTTAGCCTGGCTTAAACAGCTTCTCAAGCCTAGCACCTGACCCTTAATGCTCAAATATTTTAATGTCATAGAGGCCAAAGATGCTTTTCTGTTGTTATCAGGGTGGAATTTAGGAGGAAAGAAGAAGGCTTCCCAACTCAGCTTTCCACTCTCCACACACCAAACCCCAGTCAAGAGGCCCTTCCAAAGCCCTGACATGAATGTGTCCCTGACACTCCAAGTCAGAAGAGGCCCTTGTACCTCTTCTACCCTCTCTAATCCCGTACTCCCTGTCCTACCCTCAAACCAACTTTGCCCAACCATGATTTGAATTCCCATGGGCATTTACCCAGTAAATACAAGACTCTGAAACAAATGGAATGTGAAATGCACAGACCCAGGAATGTTTGTGTTATGCTAGAGGTAATGATTGTTAATCCAGCTCTTAAATGAGTCTAACATTTACTATTAGTTATTAGTACCTCTGCAGCAGTACTTATTACTATTAGTTATTATTAGTTATCAATACCTCTAGTTTACTAAATGCCTAAAATGTGCCTTTTCTACAGTATACCATTGGTCATTAAAAATCCTTATGGTAACCAGAATGTGGATGTCACTTAACTGGAGGCTGCCACATGGAATTGGTACCCAGACAACTATAATTTGCCTGGTCTCTTGAAAACATGTGCCCATGTCCTCAGAAGTCAAGCGCTGCCCAAGAATACCCACAAGGCCTGGCTCCAAGGAGCATCCTCCTAACAGGTGAGCCAAGTGGGCCTAAACCCAATCCATTCCAGGACCCATACCCACAGGAAAGGACCTACTTCTCTGCTGCTGGTTTCAAAGCCATTCATATCACAGGGTTTTTCTCCAACAGTGTGAACTGTCTAAAGAGCTTCCCAAAATTATTTTTAGCTTTTTTAAAAAAGGTAGGAATTCCTTAGTTCTAATTTTCTCTGCCTTTTGAAGATCAACTCCTAATCTCTTCTTTCTGTGCCACTACTTAAAATATATATATTAAAAATATATATAAAAATATATATATTATATATAATATATATGTATATATAATATATATATGTATATATAATATATATATGTATATATAATATATATATGTATATATATATATATATGTATATATAATATATATATGTATATATATATATATATATATATATATATATATATGCGCACACCAAATCACATAATGCAGGGGACACTGACCTACGTTAAGTCATAACATTTTCCAAGTAAAATATCACGGAGCTTAAGATCATGCAATCTTACTAAATGAAATTAGAGCAGAAGGTGAATCTCTTATATGGACCTTCTTAATTGCTGCTCACAGAAATTATTTTGTCCAAAGTGCAAGAGACAATTTTAATTTCAGTTCCATTTTCTCATTATCCTCAAAAACTCTAATAGTACCATTTTGTTAAATTGAGTCAATCCCAACTGAATACAGTAATTCAAGAACTTGACTCAATTGTCCATAGGAATACTAATTTCATTTTATCTAAAATTAATATAACCTGGAACATTAAAGCTAGCCACTCCCATTAATCTTGCCACCTTATTTGATGATTCAATTCTAACTATAATTATGTTATACAATTTGAGGCACCCAATAGCTAGATCACAAATCACT